>NC_000006.12:21272121-21575151 GCF_000001405.40 Homo sapiens
CCCTGAGAATAAATGTGCACTGATTTCAAGCCCAGAGTTCAGGAATAGCCAGGAGATAACGTGAGTTATATACGCACCAAGTAGCACAGGCCATGAAAGACAGCAGGGGTTGGAACTAACCAATTGGAAACGTAGCCAGGAGCAAGGTGCAAAAGCAAAAATGGTGTTCCCATCTTCTTGGCTTTCCAACGGGGCTGGAAGTCATAGTGTGCTCCATCTCAGACTAGAATTTATATCAGATAGACTCTAAGACAATGACATGCAGATTTTCGAATTTCCCACACTTTTCAAGATCAAATACTATCTTTTCCTATACCTTTCCAGGTTTTCCTCACCGTTTGCTCCGAATCAACGGCTCCTTCATTTTGTACACCCATGAACAGGACTCTGTCCCTCTTTTGAGGCACACGGAAATGACGAAGTTGAAATAAATTAAGACATTTTTGAAAGTTCAGACATAGCTAGTATGATTCAAAGCCAGTGATCCAAACCAGTGATTCTGACACCATGGCCAGTGTTTTCTCTCTTTTTTGGGGGAGGATACATAAGTATTTTAAGTACATAGAGTTTGAATTGCCAACACGACACCCATTTGGGGATTTGCAGTGGGAGGGGAACAGTGAGTCAAGAAGTAGAGAAAAGTCTAGGCTAGAAATGTTCATTCAGGAGTCATTTGGTTGAAAGTCGTGAGATTGATGAGAATGTTCAGGGAGAGAGTATCAAGGGAAGCACAGAAACCTGATGATAAACTTGAAGGAATTACCCAATTTGGGTGTCGAAGGATAAAATGTAAGCAAATAGAAGGGGTAGTCAGAGAGGTGGGAAGAGAACCAGAAAAGACTAGTGCCATAGAAACCAAGAGAGTTATAAGTAAGAGGCCGTAGTCAAGAGGATTTAATTGGAATTACTGGTTTGCAGGAGATCAGATCCAAAAAAGTTGTTTTTTCTTTTTTTTTTTTTTAAGTTAAATAGGCAATTGACCTTAGAGATCTTCAGTCTAGGCCTCTTTTCTGAGTTTCTGAGTACTATATTTGTATATCAATGTGCTTACTTGACATCCCAAAGGTACCTCAAATCATATATTCTTTCTTTCTCTCTCTCTTTTTTTTGGGCACCAAAGTGGTCAGCAAAGCAAATCATATATTCTAATGTCCTGAACTTACATCTTCCTCTCTTTACTCCACCCCCCAAATGTGGTGCTCCTCTATGGCTGCTATTTTAGTCAATGTTTCTAGCATCTATTCTGTTATCCAAGAGTAGCCCTTGGCCACACCTTCTTCCTTACCTACTGTATACAATTCAACATCTTCCTAGCTGCAAGGGAGGCTGGGAAACTGGCTGGCATTGGCTTGGACTGGGACTTGGCAAATGTTTTCTGTAAAGGGCCAAATAGTAAATACTGTAGGCTTTGCAGGCCATATGGTCTCTGTCACAACTACTAAAATATGCCCTTGCGGTGCAAAAGCAGCTATAGAAAATGAGTAAATGAATGGGCACATCTGTATGCCAATAAAACTTTGTTTATAATACCAAGAGCTGGGCTGGATTTGACCCAGGGGTAATTTGCCAACTCGTGCCAACAAAACATGGCCTGTTCTGAAGAGCTGGGAACATCATATTTCCAAACAAAGTCATGATTCTGTAAACTAAAAGCCAGAGGGTATTTAGTGGTGGGTATTCAGTGTCTGCTACCCTGGTCAGTAGGATTTACTTCTCTGGGATGGGAACTCCCTATAACAACTATCTATCAACTATTGGAGGTTTTTGTTGAATTATGGAAACTCTACTTTTGTGTGTGTGTGTGTGCGCGCGTGTGTGTTTATGTGTTTAAGACAGGGTCTAGCTCTGTCTAGGCTGGAGTGAAGTGACACGACCACGGCTCACCATAGCTTTGACCTCCTGGGCTCAAGCAATCCTTCCACCTCAGCCTCTTGAGTAGCTAGGACCACAGGCACACACAACCATGCCTGTCTAATTTTGGGGGTTTTTTAGTAGAGCTAGTAGAGACAAGGTCTTGCTATGTTGCCCAGGCTGGTCTTGAAGTCCTGAGCTCAAAGCAGTCATCCTGCCTCAGCCTCCTAAAGTGCTGGGATTACACGTGTGAGCCACTGTGCCTGGCCTAGTTTTTTTTGTATTTTTTGTTTTTGTTTTTGTTTTTTATTTTGTTTTGAGATAGAATCTCGCTCTATTACCCAGGCTGGAGTGCAGTGGCGTGATCTCAGCTCACTGCAACCTCTGCCTCCCAGGTTCAAGTGATTCTCCTGCCTCAGCCTCCCAAGTAGCTGGGATTACAGGTGCGCTCTGCCACACCCAGTTAATTTTTGTATTTTTAGTAGAGACGGGGTTTTACCATGTTAGCCAGGCTGGTCTCGAACTCCTGACCTCAGGTGATCCTCCGCCTCAGCCTCCCAGAGTGCTGGGATTACAGGCATGAGCCACCGCTCCCAGCCTACTTTTGGTTTTTGATAAAGGGTACGGTTGAATGTTTTTTTCTTCTTCTAGCTATTGCTGGTTAAAGACTTAGTCGTTCTGACCACTGACTTTGGAAAAGGGCCCCACTAATTCTACCAATCACTAAATTATCCAATTTCTAAACTGATGCTCTGGCTCTAGAAACTTGATGGAAGGAAAAGTAAGACTGAAATAGCTGGAGGGAGCTGTGAGGGCAGAGCACCTGCGCTGGTGTGTATGTTAATTTGTTTGGAAATATTTATCTATGCATACATAGATGGTACTCTTGATGAGTAACTATATTTGTGCTGCACTTACATGCTTTTTCTCCGCCGTTAATGCAATCAGTGCACATTATAGAGGCATGAATATGCAAATGTTGAATAAAGCTTGAATTTTTAAATTAAAAAAGCTAAATCAGGGGAATTATAAGCACCCAATTTAACATTTTAAATATGAAATGAAATGTTCTCCTTCATTCCCATTCATTGCCAACAAAAATTCGTGGATTTTGTTGATATTCAGCAAGGAACTTGATTATTTTATCCCGATCTGTTTTTGAAGGAGTTGGCTTGGGTTTTGGAGAGATCAAGACAAGTGGAGGATGGGGGAGAAGTGTAAGTCTTGAGGAAAATGTCTAAAGAACGACTTTTTTTCCTGTCCTGTTTGATGTCGTTGCCGCACGAAGCAGCTTATTGCGTGTGTACTTGCAAAGGGTATCAGCATATAAATACTCAGTTGGGAATTAAATTTCCGAAAAGAAGCATTTTCCCCACTCAATTTTCTCTTAATTCAGAAAAATTACTTTTAAATTGATGAAGCACAGCAGCTTATAACAGTTACATTTTTCTCCCCCAGGAATAAATATAGGCTTCTCCCTGCTCCCTTTTCAACCTGGTAAACAAACCCTCTCTCTTCAGGCTTGACTTTCCGAAGAGGAAAACGAGCCTCTGTACTGGTTTGGGATTAAAGAGTCTGCACTACAATCGGCTGATGATTTATTAAACATTTCCTCATGTGGAAATCAGTACCGTCCATAATTAAATTACGAAGACCTATGCCAGGCCCTTTGGAGTTTAGAATCTTCCATGGTCTAAGCAGCTGGGTGAACTTGGCCTAGTGGCTGGTCATGATATCAATAGTAATTGTACCTTATAATTATGAGGCACTTTATTCAAAGTACTTCTGCCTGTGTGTCCTGGTTTAGTTTGAAACCTACCTCTGGGCCTCAGGGGAAGAATGGATTAGGCCACCTCTAAGTCCCCTATGGAGCTACTGCTGTGAGTTCTTTTTTTTTTTTTTCTTTTTTTTTTTTTTTTTTTGGAGTATCGCTCTGTCACCCAGGGTGGAGTGCAGCAGCATGATCTCGGCTCACTGCAACCTCCGCCTCCCGGGTTCAAGCAATTCTCCTGCCTCAGCCTCCGAGTCGCTGGAGCTACAGGCACACGCTGCCAGGCCCAGCTAATTTTTTTGTGTGTTTTAGTAGAGACAGGGTTTCACCATGTTGCCCAGGCTGGTTGCGAACTCCTGAGCTCAGGCAATCCACTCGCCTTGGCCTCCCAAAGTGCTGGGATTGCAGGCATGAGCCACTGCGCTCAGCCTGCTGTGAGTTCTATAAGGTATTGAAGTGGAGAAAAAGGGAGAGGGCTAGGCTAACGATAATGACATCAGATTTAAGTTTAATTTATATACTGGTGTGAACAAGTAGGAAATCCTGTGTGCAGTGACAAAACCAACGCTTGATCCCTGCTTTCCAATAAGCATTAGTATTTATAAAGCTTTGCACTTTGGCTTCCTGGACTGGTCATTTTATAAAGGAAATTCCTCCTACAGTTTATCTTATCCTCAGTATTTTACACCAAGTATTACTCTCAAAGCTCAAAGCATGCAATCTGAAATTCTTTGGAGAACTTTTTCCATTGCTGTAGGAAGTCTGAAGTCCTTCCTGCTACAATGGAAGAAGAAAGAAGTGCTCAAGGAGTGACTGAATCACCTAAGTTAGCATTAAATTCATAGCTACAGAAAAACCATGTCTCTCTATTCTCTTGTCTTCTCTGAGATGGAGGGCTGGCAAATGTTATTTTGTAATATCCAGTTTCAACTAAATGTTGCTTTTATTTAAACACAAGTGAGAAAAAAACATATTTTTATTTATTTATTTGTTTTTGAGATGGATTCTCGCTCTGTCGCCCAGGCTGGAGTGCAGTGGTACAATCTCGGCTCACTGCAACCTCCATCTCCAGGGTCCAAGTGATTCTCCTGTCTCAGCCTCCCAAGTAGTTGGGATTACAGGTGCCCACCACCATGCCCAGCTAATTTTTGTATTTTTAGTAAAGACGAGGTTTCGCCATGTTGGTCAGGCTGGTCTAGAATTCCTGCCCTCAGGTGATCCGCCCGACTTGGACTCCCAAAGTGCTGGGATTACAGGAGTGAGCCACCACACCTGGCTAAAAAAATTTTTTAATGTTTTATTTTGAAATAATTTTAGATTGCAGAAAAGTTTCAAAAATAATACAGTTTGCTTATATCCTAGTTTCTACTGATATTAACCTCTTAACATTACCACAGAACATTTGCCAAATCTAAGAAATCAAAATTGACTAAAGTCCAGACTGTATTCAGATTTCATCAGTTTTAGGAGAATATTTTTAAGTCCTAAATATCTGAGTGTATGCAGAAGGTTCAGCTCGGCTGTTTCAAACTCTATGAAACTGAGCTTATGGGATCAATCATATTATTGAATCACAGAATGGTATATAAGGAAAGAATTTTAGAGCCCATATAGTTAGTGCTACTTTTAAAAGAAATCCTCAGTTTTGTAAAGGAGGTGAATAAGTCCTTTGAGGAACCTGAAATTATTCAGGGCCAACATAACTTTAGTATTCTCTGCCCAAACAACTCTGAATAGTGGTGGCTTCGGTCTTGGCTGCCCTTTTCTTGTTGAGAAAGAATCCTTGTATGCACAAACACATTCATCCAGCATTGAAATGAAAACATCTCTTACATTGTCACGCGCAGAAACATCCCAATACTCACAGTCCTTTTAACCTACAAAAGGAGGAATTCTGTGGCATCAGCCACTGCAGAACAGAAAGGTGGAGTTTGTGGAGAGGGCGCGATAAGGTCTACTTCCAACTTGAAACACGACAACGGTGAAATGAGTCATGCTAAAACTCTTTGGGTTTCCTGGGAGAGGCATTTCATTAGGGCTGTCTGTGTGGATATGGGTTAATCCCAGGTACTTGTAAGGTGGTGTGATTCTGCATATCAACACAGCAAGGAGCACAGGAGACACTCTGTCAACATGCATAACCATTAGTCCATCTACAGCTGATGCCTCTGAGTCATCTTATTGAGAATCAGGGCAACCCGAATAAATTTCTCCCTAGCAGTACAGATGGATACCAGGAAACCAAGCAGATGCATTGTAGCTAATCAGGCAGAGGCACAGCAGGGTAACAAGAAGCTAAGATTCACATGCCTTCATGAACCTTAATTAAAGAGCTCAGTGCCTCCTTTTGTTTTATCTGTTGCCAGTGTTTTGTCTCCTATTGTGACAGGTTTTTTTTTGTTTGTTTGTTTTTTGTTTTTTTCAAGTAACCATCAATTTGCTGTGATAATCTAATGAGGAGACAGAACAGTCCTATCTATGTATGTGAAAGAGTAGGGATGGTTATGGCTGCCCAAGAGTTAAAGAGCCGCTGCTCCTGCAGCTGCAAACCAACCTCACAAGAGCCAACTAGAAGGGAGGCAGGAGAGAGGGTGGGAGGAATCCAGGATACCGCAGGACTCATCTCACATTGTCTTCTGCAATCACCAATAAAAACCCAAAACCAAATGTCTTTAAGGGAGAGAGAGCTAAATTATTGAGCAAGCTCTTAACAGCAGGCAAGTAGAAAAGGCATCTGCAGATCTGTGCTTCACACCCCAGTAATAAATACAGTGTTGAGAGAAGAAATCTGTCCAAGCAAACTCACAGGGATGGGGACAGACTCTGCTATCAGTCTCCTCTGACGCGCAAAGATTTGAGGCAAAGGTTGTTGGCTGGGCCCGATGCCCTTCCATGTGAGCTGGGAGGGGTGACCGGGGTGAGAAGATACCAAAGCCCATAAATAACTAGATTTCCTGTAGTTGAGGGATTAACCCCACAGCAGTTCAAGAGAAGCCAAGGAAAAACTGGTCCCTGCGGAGTATTACAAACATATCTCTGGGCAGAATTTCAGTTTTGCAAGATGGAAAGAGTTTTATGGACGGAGGGTGGTGATGGTTGTACAACCATGTGAACACATGTAATGCCACTTAACTGTACGCTTGAAAATTGGTGAAGATGGTCAATTTTATGTTAACGTGTATTTTACCACAATTTAAAAAAAGTATCTAGTATCTCCACGCGGTGTCTGCATTAAAGGGGTAAATGTGCCGCTCCTCAGAGCAAGTTCCTTGAGGGCAGGAATAACTATTTATTTGCCTTGCTCTCTCTAGTTCTGGGAATAGTCGTTGGCACATGGTACTCTGCTCAATAAAAGAGCATAGTTATCTGCTCTGTTTCTTGGGCTTAGTTTTGTGGATGCTTCTAAATGACACAATCTCACATGTGTGGCTGGAAGGCAATGGAAAGAGGCATTGCATCCTAACAATTTGCATGTCAAGGTAGTTGGGTAGTCTTGGAAAGAACATTGAATTATAAAGCAGAAGCCCTGAGTTCTATTTGTAGTCCATGTTTTAAATTCAAAGTTCATTGGCCAAGACATTTAAATTCAAAAGTTCATCGGCCAACTCTCTGGCCCAGTTTCTCAGGACAATCCTGTTTGATGGTGTACTCATGGGCTAGACAAGCTGCTATAGGCTATGTTGCCCCTTTACATCTTCATCATACTTAAATCTAGATAAATTCATATTTTTAGATGACAGCCTCATGCCCCTCCCTCTGTCATCCCCCCAAAGCAATGAACTCCAATTGTAGAGATTAAAGAGACCAGAGGTGTCAAGAAATGAAGATACCTAGTTTGGGCAGTGGGCCTAGGTGTGAGATCAGCCCTGTTTTAAAATCCAATAATTCACTGCCCCAACTGTGGCTGTTCAGAAGAGCTGTGCTCACTCACACATCACTAAGAGTGTGCAATCACAGTGGTCGAGGCTCAGTGACCTTATTCACTCATCCTGCAGGGCCTGCTTGACTTGCAACTCTCTGCTCCTTTCCCCCGGCTCTCGGGCCATCTGGCTTCATATTTTGGATCGTGATATTGATCTCAGGTCCGCCATGTTTTGGTGACCCATTGGACTCTTCCCTGCATGCTTCTCTGTAGAACACAATAGATCCAAAATGGTGATAAAAATGAGTCTTGACATGTGTGAGTTGATGCCTGGTGTTTAGTCAATTACAATTAGTAAGTTATTAAGTCAGGCCAGAAATAGAAGCATAGATTGGTTTTATTGTAATCTCAAATCTCACAAAAGACCAGCAGACAAACTATGAGGATTTCTGCAGCCCTCATTTGGAGAAGCCCACCATACATTTTCTTCTAAAAGTGATGGGATATCACTTTTGAGATTTTGCAGAGTGTGACTTCTGATGAAAAGAGACTTTGGAAGATGCCATTCCATGGCTCCCTTCTCTTCATTTGCTAGTAGGTTTTTCTTTAAAGTATACATCTTTCAAAAGGACAAAATGCTTTTTTATCATTAGCTTAGTTCCTTGTGAACCAGGGTATGGGACTCATAAAAGAAATGACATCATATATGAATGAAGATTGACTCCATTTTAAATCAAACTGGTTGAAGGCACCTTGATTTCCTTGAAAGTAAATCTTGAAACATATCCTTCTCCGTTCTTGACTTTTTGACCTATATTGCAGATCTGGAATCCCGAGTGGAAAGCATGAGTGTAGATCAGTCATTTTGACTGGAGATATCAGTTGGCTGGCCTGGAGACCCCTTAGGTTCTGGAAACCTTCGGCCTACAGCTCATGTGTTAATTTAGGTTTGTCATGCAAATATTCCTGTACTCCCAAACTACGTCAGATTTGCCAAAGTGCACTTTGGGCATCTGAGTGCAGGGTTGTTATACCCTGTACACACTATTGTGTATGTATCTCTAAAGGGCTGATGGTTTGCTTAATGATTCTCAGTAGAACACCTTGGAGAATTACACCCCTATATATTCTCATCAATCCTCCACTGGTATTGATAATGTTGGTTGGGATTTGTGTTCATCATCTACTAGTGACTCAGCATTTGAGGCTAAATGAGAGTATGCTGAATTTGCTCCAAGGACATAATAGAAAAGTGCTGGAGTTTAAGGAGCTGGTGTATAGCCCTTGCATTTTTTATTTCTTATCCTTATGATTCAGCCAAAGACAAAAATTGAAATTTCACTGGTTGGGTGCTGACCATCAGCCTGGAAGCTGGGGAAAACTGCACAGAAGGCAGAGGTCACCGCTCATTTCTGAGAATATAAATGTAAATGGCAGAGAAGGAAGTTAATAAGTGAGTGACAGAAACAAGTGAACACATCCACAATCAACGATCTTCCCATTGTATGGCTTAAAGATCACCTTTAAATGAGCAGACTGATTTAGGGGGCATTTTATCTGCTTCTAGGGTACTCCTGCTACAGTTTTCCATTTGAAACCCATGCCTATTTGAATCAATTTTTTTTTCTAATTCATCAGATGAAGTCGGTTAGTTTAGTCAGATTTTAGCCACACATACTCCAAGCTAGTGAATGATTTTACTGTTCACTCTTTTAGGCCTCGGGATGGAGTTCACAGAATTTTAGAAAACCCAGATGTATGGAGTGAGGAACAAGCTGATGATGTGTGTCCCATGACTCCTCCCTCTCCACCCCACCCGCATCTCCCACATGTACTCTGCCCTTCAGAAGTGTGTGGTGTGACAAGGAATATTAATGTGACCACTGAAATGGAATGAATAGAATCTGGGTGGGGCACAGGCCTCTGGCCCCTCTGGCCCTTCCCACTGCCTGTCTCTACCCCACTTTCATGCTTATCTAACCCCTCCCAACCAGTCACAACCCAGCCTCTTGGGAAATCAAGACCTTGGAAGCTTATTATGTGACCGTGTCCTCAGGCTTCTGGTCCTTTAGCTCTTCTCTTTCCTGATTGATTGGAAGTCCTTTCTCCACTTATCACCAGAGCTTTGTCACTGCTCCCTCCCCCTTTTACAGATAGCTCTGGGATGCATCAGAACCCAACTGTCCTTGTCAGCCTTCCTTTGAACCTTTGTAAGGACAGCGCAGTGCAGAGTTGTTTTAAGAATTTCCTATATGCACCGCAGAAGGGGTTTGGAAAACCCAGGATGGGGCTGATTAGGGGGATGGGCGTGGTACTTGCCTTCCCCTTACATACGTGGCCTGTGATATTTGTGATGTTGAGATTGCCTTAGGTGATTGTGTGAGAACTTCTCCTTGTAATAACTGTGTTCCGTTTCTCTTCCCAGAGCTCATCTCGTGAGCAAAATTCCCATTTCTAAACATCTCCTTTATAAATATCCTGAACTCAATGGTCTCTTAAGAGTTTCTGGGTATTTAGCAGAATCTCAAGGGGCCAGACCGTGGGTTAACTATTAGAACTACTTAAGTAGTTAGGGTTCTGAAATGGAATGAACTGGATGCCTCAGGAGGCAGTGAGTCTCCCCATGGCAGGAGAAGTTAAAGCAGAAACTGGTGAGGATGCTGTGGAGGAGACAGAAGTGTCAACTAGGTACAGGTGGCACAGGTGGCAAGCAGCCTCTGAGATGGCACCCAATGACCCCACTTCCTAGTATGCATGCCCTTATGGAATCCTTTCCTCTTAAGTGTGAGTTGCATCTAATGACCTTCTCTAAGTGAATAGACAGTGATGGGATATGACGTCTGAGCCTAGTTTGCATACGAGTGTAACTTCTGTTTTGCTCTCATTCTCTCTCTTGTCCTTTCCTTTGCTTACTTGATGAAGCTGTCAGAAGTGTTCAAACCAGAGTGACTCCATTTTGAGTGAGGGCTAGGAAAAATGAGGCTGGGACTTGCTGGGCTGCATTCCCAGAAAGTCAGGCATTCAGAGCCTCTAGATGTTTACAGTTAAGGGAACAGATTGATAATGTTTACTAAACAGACCCAGACTTGGGAGTGTCCTAATATCCTGATATCTTGAGAACGAAGGCATTCTAATTTTGCTTTAAAGATAATAATATTAATTCTTACAAAATGAGTAATTAAGAAAATTAATCCTTTGTCACAAACTCTTGTAGCAGAGCATATCTCCCCATAATCTTTTTTTATCCTATATACACGAACATTGTACCTAGGGTGGATGCATTCCTCCTCTTACTTTTGGGAACACCCTACTCTGTCTATGGAGTAGCTGTTCTTTCTCTACTTTACTTTTTTTTTTTTTCTTTTTTTTGAGATGGAGTCTTGCTCTGTTGCCCAGGCTGGAGTGCAGTGGCAGGATCTCAGCTCACTGCAACCTCTGTCTCATGGGTTCAAGAGATTCTCCAGCCTCAGCCTCCCAAGTAGCTGAGATTACAGGTGCCTGCCACCACACCCAGCTAATTTTTTTTTTTTTTTTTTTTTTTTTTAGTAGAGGCAGGGTTTCACCATGTTGGCCAGGCTGGTTTTAAATTCCTGATCTCAAGTGATCTGGCCACCTCATCCTCCCAAAGTGCCAGGATTACAGGTGTGGGCCACCATGCCCAGCCACTACTTTCTTTTTTTTTTTTTTTTGAGACGGTGTCTCGCTCCGTCGCCCAGGCTGGAATGCAGTGGTGTGATCTCGGCTCACTGCAAGCTCTGCCCCCCTGGGTTCACGCCATTCTCCTGCCTCAGCCTCCCGAGTAGCTGGGACTACAGGCACCCGCCACCATGCCCAGCTAATTTTTTGTATTTTTAGTAGAGATGGGATTTCACCGTGTTAGCCAGGATGGTCTCGCTCTCCTGACCTCATGATCCATCCACCTTGGCCTCCCAAAGTGCTGGGATTACAGGTGTGAGCCACCATGCCCGGCCCTACTTTACTTTCTCAATAAACGTGCTTTTGCTTTGCACTGCGGACTTGCCCTGAATTCTTTCTTGTGCAAGATCCAAGAACCCTCTCTTGGGGTCTAGATCAGGACCCCTTTTCTGTAACAAAGCCAGCCACCATATTACAAGCTGCCATTTGGAGAGGCTCTCATGAGAAGGAACAAAGGGAGGTCTCTGGCCATCAATTTGTGAGGAACTGAGACCCTCAATCTAACAGCCCAGGAGGATCTACTCCTGTCAACAGTCTCTTGAGCAAGCTGGGGAGCAGATCCTTCCCCAGTCAAGACTTCAGATGACCACAGCCCCTGTGATCTCACCAAGATTGCAACCTGTGAGAGACCTTAAAGCAGTGGACCCAGCTAAGTCACACCCAGATTCCTGACCTACAGAAACTGTGAGATGATAAACGCTGTTTCAAGCCACAAAATATTAGGGTAATTTGTTATGTAGCAATAGATAATTAATCTAGCATGTTGAATAGTTGACCTCTGGTATCCCTCCCACATTTAGGATTTTATGAGTTTTCAGGGATTAAAAATGATATTGGAAGGTATTGACTCTATTGATGTCCAAACCATTCTTTTTATTTCTCTTTTCTTCTAAGTTCAATAAATGGTTGTGCTTATCTGTGGGGATTCATTTTTCTTTGTGTTCAGGCATGTCAGCTAGCTGAAGCCTTATTGTGCTGGCTGGAGAAAGTGAACTAATTCGGGCAAGGATCTTTGAAAACCCTAGGAAGTCCACCAAGGAAAAGGAAGATACCATCTGCTCGCTAATGCAGTGTGCTTTGCATGTGAAATAAGAGCCATCGCAGCTCAAATAAGCAATTCCAGTGTCATTGATTGCTCTGGGTCTGAGCAGTTTTTTCTAATTTACCCTATTATTTTCACCTTTAGTGCAGGGCCCATCAGTGCTGGTTCTGAAGGGTTCCTTCAGTCATCAATTTGAGGAGCTGCCACAATTGCTTTCTGCATAGATATATTTGTGACTTAAATGCTCTTGGTTCAATAAAAGAATTATAGTGCTTTATTGTGACTTGAGGAAGCCCAGGCAGGCTTTGCCACCGCAGTTCCGAAGATCTATTACTCTGCCAGACCGGCCCACTGAGTTAATGTTTTGTATTAAGATTTCTAGTCTTCATTCCGAGAAACAGAGAGGCAAGTGACTTGCTAATGCTTGTTGCTGGAAGAAATAAAAGATGTAGTCTGAAATCTAAACGATTTAAATAAAAGAAAAATTTCTGCACGGTGAACCAAATTGCCCTTCTTTCCCCACCAGGCACACAGGCCGACTTCACAATGCTTGAGCAACGTTGTATTTTAAACCAATGAAATGGTCTAGAAGACAGGCCCTAAGGAGTTCAACCGTGTGAAAAAATTGTCCTGTGCTCTCAGCATATCAAGTACCTAGAATACATTAGGAACAAGCACAACTGCCTGTTTCTGTCTCTAAATAGTATTCCGATTGTAAATTGTGACTAGCAGTTTATCTTAAGAGCTGCTTCAGAGGTGGGGGTGGAGAGAGAATGAGAAAATTGAGGGATTGTGTGATCCATGGTGGGGGTGCAGCTGCCACCTTTAATATCTTGTCCCAGTGTCCTGGTGTCCTGGGTGGTTTTGGCCATTGAGTGTGTGCTTAGCACAGTGGTTCTTACATTCCACTTACATACACATTTCCATCTGCAAAGATTGTCACAAAGTAGTTTATTATATATTTCCTGTAACATATCAGAGAAGATAGATTCAAGAATGTAGTTGAGGAAACAGACACCCAGAGGTTAGATCCTTCCTTTAAAAACTTGTGGTAAAATGCATATAACATAAAGTTTACCATGTTAGCCATCTTAAGGTGTGTGATTTAGTGATATTAAGTATGTTTACAATGTTGTGCAACCATTGCCACTATCTAGTTTCAGAACTTTTCATTATCCCCAAAGGAAACGTACATCCATTAAGCAGCCACTCCTGCTTCCTTCCATCCCCAGCCCCTGGCAAACACTAATCTGCTTTGTCTCTCTGGATTTGCCTGATTTGGATATTTCATAATTTAGATATTACAGAATCATGTAATATATGTTCCTTTGCATCTGGCTTCTTTCACTTAGCATAATATTTTCAAGGTATCCATGTAGACACTGCATTAATGTATCAGTACTTCATTCCTTTTGGTGGTTGAATAATAGTCCATTGTATGGATATACTTCATTTTGTTTATCCATTTATCAGTTGATGGATGCAAGTTAAATGCTTTTAACATTAATTAATGGCAACATTAATTAAAAGTATTTTAAGTGTCCACAACCAATCAATAGATGGTTGCATTAATAATAATTATCATTGAGAACTAAACTTCAAACACGGAGTCCTTTTCTTAGCCAATTTATCACAGGACTGGACTCCTTTCACTGAAAGCAAGATTTAGGACTCATCATTATCTTCTAAAATGCTGAGACGGACAGCAAGATATGTGAAAGATGTGACTCTTCTGAGAAAATGGATCCACTGAATGCTGTCAGAGATTTTTACTGGTTCTGGCATTGGCAGGCTGGAGTTACTATGGGGGAAAGTTCATCCCAGTAGCATGCTTGTGGAGAGATTTTGAGGAGGTTCCAGGAGAGAAGTCTGGAAGGTTTCTCTTAGGTTACATGTGTCTGGCCAGTCTAGCTAGTGTGTTTTCAATGTTCGTAAGTAGTTCTGTTTTGGGCATTCACAGGGTCATCCTCCATCAGAGACATTCCACGGGGTTGGGGTTTCTGGGACTCCAGTTTCTCACCACCTCCCCCAGTATTACTGCTGCACCATGATGGTACTGAGCTTGGAGAATGGGGTGGACTATGCAATGGAAGAGCGCATTGGCAGTAAGTCAGAGATGGGAAGGCTGGGTTTGCATGGACAGGGGAGTCTCACTCCTGAGGATAACACGAGGTCCTCTGGCACATAGTCAGAAATATTATGTTTAAAAATGAGCTGACTTGGGAACTTTTGAAGGTAGGTGGGTGTCCTATGACAAGAGGAATGGGGGCACCTCAGACACATTTTTTTCTGAAGTTTACACAGATCATGGCCAGTTTTAACTGACTACACCTTGTATTTAGAGACTCTGAGATGAGAGTTGTCTTTCATACTTCTTAGAATCTGCCAGTTACATCAGAGGAGATAATAACATGCCAGCTTCTTAAACTGGGAAGGTGGGAACATGGGTGCTAGCTATAGCACGATTCTTTATACCTTCTATAAATTGTATTTAAAAATCACACAGATTCCGATTTTGTAATACATTCTTAAGATATCCTACCACAAGCCAAGCAGTTACAATTCAAATGGATAATAACTGCTTTTCCTTTTGGAAAAATAGCCCATGCCCCTAATTGGATCACTGTGCATTCAGCACAGCATCTGTTGGCATGGCACTTGCTGGGAAGGCTGAATGAGAGATATTGAATAATCATGCCCTGTGTCTCCCACCGCTGCAGTTCCCCAGATATGGTCTGCCACTTCTACTCCAGTTTCTGGTATTGGAACTTCTCCCCGGCCCACTGCTGCAGTGATTAGGACAAGATCTCAGATTGGCTAGTGTCTGCAAGTGAGCATCATACGGGTTGAAGTGATTCACAAACCATGAACGTGATTTATCTCCCTAGGAAGGATGGTCTTCATAGCGAAGTTGCACTGTTTTTCTAGAAGGTTGTTATCATAGTACCTTACTCATGATAGTGCAGCCCATCGTGAAGTAAATGCACGTGATTAAATTTAACTCGAATGCACACACACGCACACGCAAAACCACCCTAACATATAATCTGGAACATAGTAGCTGCTCAATACATCATCCTTAATTTTGAAAGCATTGGCAAAAGTCTATGTCTGGGGGCCTAGAATGTTTTCCAGGTGGAAAGGATATAAACGAGCAAGGCATATGCCAGCTTTTTAGGCTCAATTTACCAAACACTTGTGTTTTTCTTTAAAACATGGCCAAAACAACTTAGTCTGAATCCAGGTGGATTCTGCACACCCCTCATGAGGGAGCTTCTGGGCTGAGACATAGACTTGGTGAGACCCCGCCAGGTGTTTCTAGAAGCCAGCTCTTCATATAGAAAGCTTACATTGGTTCCAGCCTTTCTGCTAAGTGAACATCATCTATGTTTGAACATTTTCACCAGCAGGAATCTCACTACCCTCATATCTGGAAATGAAACATTTGCCTCATTTGTACTTTATGCATGAGAAACCCACCGACTGCTGTGATTCTTCATAATTCTCAACCAGATGGATTGTATGATGGGATTGATGGCATTGACTACAAATTGTTGGAGGAAGGGTGCCCCTACATTTCCTAGGGCTGCCACAACACAAACCGGGTGGCTTAAAACAAGAGAAGTTTATTCTCTTACAGTTCTGGAATCTAGAAGTCTGAAATTAAAGTGTCAGCAGGGCCATGCTCTCTTTCTGAAGGCTCTAGGGGAGGATTCTTTCTTGGCTTCTGGTAGACGCTGGTGTTCCTTGGCTTGGAGATACATCACTTCAGCCTCTGCTTCCGATGTCATGTGGCATTCTCCCCTCATGTGTCTATGTGTCTGTGTTCCTTCTCCTCTTTGGTCTTATTAGATTAAGGGTCCATGATACTCTGGTATGACCTCATCCTAATTTAAGTAATATATCTGCGATGACACTGTTTTCTTTTCTTTTCTTTCTTTTTTTTTTTTGAGACAGGGTCTCTGTCTGTCACCTAGGCTGGAGTGCAGTGGCGCGATCTTGGCTGACTGCAACCTCTGCCTCCCAGGTTCAAGAGATTCTCCTACCTCAGCCTCCTGAGTAACTGGGATTATAGGCATGTGCTATCACATCTGGCTAATTTTTGTCTTTTTAGTAGAGACAGAGTTTCGCCATGTTGGTCAGGCTGGTCTTGAACTCCTAACCTCAAGTGATCAGCCTACCTTGGTCTCCCAAACTGCTGGGATTATAGGCATGAGCCACCACACCAGGCCTGACCCTATTTTCAAATAAGATTGTATTTTGAATTACTGGGGGTTAGGACTTCAACATATCTTTTGGGCCAGGCATAGTTCAAACAATAAAAAGCACTTGATCTATTTTTACCATGCTCAAAAACTTAAACCCAGCCCTGCTGAATCCCTGTAGAGAAGATGTCTCAGGAATTCTTAAGAACTAGGGAGTTGTGAGGTTGTCACCTCATGTTGTTATACCCAGTGATGTTTTAGGAGGTTCTGCATGAAGATGCAGCATTGCTGATGAAATGATTGCTTGCTGAGTGGGGAAGGCTGCAGTCCACTGTTTTGATTTATTCCCTATGACTTCTTTTTAGATTTTCTTTTGTTCAGTTTGAGTTGCAATGCTGCTGTGCTTCTCAATCCAACTTTATTCTCTGTGTAGCCCCATCAGACAAGCTGATTTCATTGGACTTACTTTTTGTAGTTTTTGTTAATAAAGATTTGATCAATTCAATGGGCTTTGGCCAACTGCACATGTCCAGTCCCAGTGTTCTTATGCCTTCTTCTGAGAGGGGGCACCCTCCTCCCCTCCCCCTTGAGAATCACTGCAATAATATATGCTGCTGGAATTTAGGGTGGTGTGAGTTCAGAGATCTTGTTGAAGATTCCCCCCATATCCCTTTTACTGCCATGTGACAGGTATTCCATCCCACGCCTGAGGACAGGTGCTCCGTTACACCTGTCCTAATTAAGGTTATCTAATTAAGGTAACCTAATGAAGGTTACCGCTTTGGAAGGGGTGGATTGAGGGTGGGAGAGGAAGAGAGAGAGTTGAGGAGAAAATGGTGGCGAGAGAGGGAAGACCACCTTGGTCATCTGGGTTATCTGAACAACTCCTGGAGGTACCTAAGGTGAAGGACACTGACCATTTCCACATCTGGATTGCCTGAACTATTTGCCAGGCAGTTCCATCGTGGGGTTCCTGGTCTTTGGGTGGAGTGGAAAGAGAAAATCTCAGATGGAAGTGGAAGGGAGGTACTGGTAAGTAAGAGGGTCTAGAAACAGACATTATTCATTTGATGTTTTATGCAGAAGCTTTAGGGTAACACTGATGATAGTACCTCCACTTTTCTTATTTGTTTGATAAATATACCACTTCCAGCTGACTGCAGGCTTATCAGTTGTTGTCTACAATTATAAATACCGTCCTTTCTTCATAAGGCTAAATGGTTAATATTTTTATAGCAATTTTGTGAATTAATGAACTAAATCTGTGGTTACTCATGTAATTTCAGTTACCACTGGCAAGGGAAATTTTAAAACAAATAGATTATTACTACTACAGTTCCACAATTTTGCCAACTCCTGGACACGTCTGCTTCCTTGAAGAGGGCTCTGTCACTCAACTCTTGGCTTTACACTTCCAGGCAGTTTACTGCTCCTTGGAGAGCGGGCTGTCTCCCTCTATCAGTGCAGTGAGTCCTTTGCTATAAGAAAAAAGAAAGAGAGTGGGAGAGTGAGACTGGAAGGCTGGGAGAGCTGGGGTGGCACATGGATACTTTCTCTTCTCCTTTGGGAATTCCACTTAAAGCCTGAGGAGAAGGCATTGCCCAAACCCTGAGGGTTCCTGGAAAAACGGAGGAAGTTTCCACCAGAAGAATTTGCTATATTCTTAACAGAGTGCACAGCAGGGTGGTCAGCATGGGCGCCCCAGTATGGCAGAGCCTGCAAAGTCCCCAGATAGGTTCAGACCCTTTCCATTGCACTGTTTGTGGCCAGCAAGATTTAGAGCCCAGCCAGGCATGATGGCTCATGCCTGTAATCCCAGCCCTTTGGGAGGCCGAGGTGAGCGGATCATGAGGTCAAGAGATTGAGACCATCCTGGCCACCATGGTGAAATCCTATCTCTACTAAAAATACAAAAATTAGCTGGGCATGGTGGTGCGCACCTGTAATCCCAGCTACTTGGGAGGCTGAGGCAGGAGAACCTGTGGGGCAGAGGTTGCAGTGAGCCGAGGTTATACCACTGCACTGCAGCCTGGTGACAGAGCAAGACGCCATCTCAAAAAAAAAAAAAAAAAAAAAAAAAAAAAGCCGGCTCTGCGCAGTGGCTCACGCCTGTAATCCCAGCACTTTGGGAGGCTGAGGAGGGCGGATCACGTGGTCAGGAGATAGAGACTATCCTGGCAAACACGGTGAAACCTCGTCTCTACTAAAAATACAAAAAAGAAAATTAGCCGGGCGTGGTGGCGGGCGCCTGTAGTCCCAGCTACTAGGGAGGCTGAGGTAGGAGAATGGCGTGAACCTGGGAGGCGGAGCTTGCAGTGAGCTGAGATCGTGCCACTGCACTCCAGCCCTGGTGACAGAGCAAGACTCCGTCTGAAAAAATAAATAAAAATAAATAAATAAATAAAATATATACACATATATTATAAAATATGAAATGTTTATTTTTGAATATTTAGAAAGTAGAGAAAAGCTCCCCAAAGAAAAGAAAACTACTTTTTTTTTTTTTTTTTGAGACAGAGTCTTGCTCCGTTGCCCAGGCTAGAGTGCAGTGGTGCGATCTCGGCTCACTGCAACCTCCATCTCCTGGGTTCAAGCAATTCTCTGCCTCAGCCTCCCGAGTAGCTGGGATTACAGGTGCCCACCACGCCCAGCTAATTTTTTTGTATTTTTAATAGAGATGATGGGGTTTCACCATCTTGGCCAGGCTGATCTTGAACTCCTGACCTCGTGATCCACCTGCTTCGGCCTCCCAAAGTGCTGGGATTATAGGTGTGAGCCACCGTGCCCGGCCAAACTACTTTTAATCTGACCTGCTAGTGATAACTCTTGGCATTTTGACATATTTCATTCATAAACACACACGCATTCCCCATTTGGACTGCATTGCTCATGGTGTTTTGTACCATTTTCTCCTTAATGATATTGTTAATATTTTCTTAAGGTGTTAATTGTTCCTTTAAAACTGATTTTAAATGACTGCATAATATTTTATTTAAATGACTGCATAATATTTCATTGTATGGCTGTGACATAATTTATCTAACTAACCTTCTAATTATTGGCCATTTAGGTTGTTTCCAGTTTTTCACTATGATAAATAATGCTATAATAAGCATCCTCATATGAAACTGTTAGTGCACATCCTTATCAGATCATTGGTTTGTTGTGGTATTTTCCCTGTTTTTGCTATTTTCTTGATATAGATGCAGTCACTTAACAGTAGCAATTTTAAGTTGTACTTATGTACTATATTAAGGGAGCTCTTGTTTAATTTGCTCCCATCCATGGAGCAAATCTATTTTCTATTTTAAAAACACTCCTTAAATTTAAATAATTAGAATGAACTTGAAATCGTTATATTTAGCTACAAAACACACTGGAGCATTAGACTGTATACTAGTCAGCTTGGGGCTGCCGTAACAAAATATCACAGACTTGGTGGCTGAAACAACAGACATTTTATTTCCTCACTGTTCTGGAGGCCAGAAGTCCAAGATTAAGGTTCTGGATGATTGGTTTCTGGTGAGGGCTCTCCTTCTGGCTTGCAGATGGCCACCTTCTCCATATGTGCTCATATGACCAGTCTTTGTTTGTTTTCTGTTGCTTATAACAGAATACTTGAAACCGGGTAATTTGTAGAGAAACAAAATATATTTCTTACAGTTCTGGAGACTGGGCAGTCTAAGGTCAAAGGACCCATCTGATAAATGCCTTCATGTTAGTGGAGACTCTGCAGAGTCCTGAGGTGGTGTAGAGCATCACAGGACGAGGGGCTGAGCATGCTGGCTCAGGCCTCTCTTCCTCTTATGAAGCCACCAGTCCCACTCCCACAATAACTCATCCATCTATTAACCCATTAATCCATGAATGGATTAATCCATTCATGAGAACACAGCCCTTGTGATCCAATCACATCTTAAGGGCCCCACATTTCAATACTGCCACAATGGGGATTAAGTTTTAACATGAGTTTCCGAGAGGACAAACATTCAAACCATAGCATGGCCTTTCCTTGGTGAATGTGTTTAGAGACAGCAAGAATGGCTTCTGGTGTCAATTCTTATAAGGACGCTAATGCTATTAAATCAGGGCCCCACCCATATGATCTCAGTTAAGATTAATTACTTCTAAGTGGTCCCATCTCCAAATACAGCCACACTGGGGGTTAAGGCTTCAGCATGTGAATTCTGGGGGACACAAACATTCAGTCCATACGAGTCTGAGATTTTAAAACTTAATTACACGGCCCTATCTTTGTATAGTATGTTTTATTTTTTAAGCATTTTTACATGTATTATCCCATTTCATCTGAAACAAGTTGGATCATCTTTAAATTTTCCTCAGGTTACCTTCTGGAAAAGTTAATTTTTTTTTTCAAAATAGTACATGGATATAGTTTACAAAGTCAAATAATATTATAATAATAAATGCCTTATAACAACCACAACTAAAATAGTCCTACGGCCCCTGTGTTCTTGCTGGCTGGGGGTGTGGACTGCTGTCAGCTCTTCAAGGCCACCTGATGTTACTTGCCTCATGGCTCTGTCACAGGCAGTTGATTTCTTCAAGGCCAGCAGGAAATCTGTCTTTCAAAGTGTTCAAGTTGCCTGATTGAGCCAGGTCCACCAAAGATACTCCATTTGGTTTACCTTGAAATCCGCTAATTTGGAAACTTAATTGCATCTACTCAATCCTTTCACAGCTAGAAGCATGTCACAGGTTCCACCCAAACTTAAGGGGAGGGGAGTACACAAGGGCATGGCACATCAGGGATTAGCTGCTATAACCTATAAAGCTATATGATAACCATTCGATTTTATATTCCTAAGTTCCTATTTTGATACGTATGCATTTTAACTATTACACCTTCCTTCCCCTCCCATCTTCCCCTCCCAACTTAGTTATAGCACTTTTTAAAAACTTAAATCCATGTATTATGTTACATTCTGTTTTATTATTATGTTATATAAATTTGTGGTAGATATTTATCACATTTTGTAGCTGCACAGTCCTTTTGGAACATGTTGCTGTGTTTGAGGAATTATCCACCTAATGGTTCCCACCTGCATGTCTCTGCGATCTTCTAGCTTCTAATGTTGCTGGGGAGACACCCAGTGCTGTTCTGATCCCAGGTCCTGTGCATGTAGCCTAGTTTTTTCCTTTCTAGAAGTGTTTAGGGTCTGTTCTTTGTTTCAAATGTTCTGAAATAAGATAATGTGTCTTGTCCACTTTTCTTTTAGGATTCACTCAATGGACATTTTAAATTTGGAGCTTCAGCTTTATTTACTTCAGTTCTAGAATTTTTTTCTTTTAGTATTATGTTCTCCTTAATGTTTTCTATTGTATTTTTCTGGAACTCCTATTATTTGGACATTGGACATTCTTATATAACCCTTCATTTTCTTGCCTTTTGTCTCCGATTGTCCTCTGTAATATATATTTTTACAAATTCTGCATTATCTTCCAATTGCTTTATTGAATTTGTAAGTTTGAGTCTTATATTTTAATCTTTCAGGAGCTCTTGACTGCTGAGCAGTCTTATTATTTTAAAGTAGCATTGATATAGCAGTTAAGAAGAAATCACTTAGGCAGATAGCAAGGGCATGGGAGTCCTCAGTAAGGCTTTTCTTTTTAATAAAAAGCAGCCCCAAATCATTTTCTAACAAAGAGCCGCCTGCAAGCTGGGAGCTTGCACGGGTGAATGCCAGCAGGAACTAGGGACTAGACATGTTCAAAATGGCGGCTCCATCTTCCCTTCTCTGCCTGCCACGTGTACAGTAAGAAGCAGGCAAGATGGGGCTGATCAACTGGAAAGTCTGTTTGCATAAGAAGATTAGGGTGGGGCAACCTGCCTTCCTTAGCGCTATGTAAACGTCATACCTGATCGAATCAATCTGTGAGCCCTGTGTAAATCAGACACCGCCTCCTCAAACTGGACTATAAAATGTGATGCATTCATCACCAGGTCCTTTCTGCTAGGAGACCCCTTCATCTATAGAGGAAGCTGTTTCTCTTTCTCTTCTACCTATTAAACTTCCACTCCTAATCTCCTGGTGTGTGTCCGTGTCCTAAATTTTCCTGGCACACAATGACAAACCCCAGGGTATATACTCCAGCCAATGTAGCTACTTCAGCGTCTCATTTTTATTTCATAAATGTAATATCTTGAGGTTTTCTTTTTCTCTTTGCATTGTTTTTATTTCCTCTGAGTTTTCTTGAGGCCGGGGGGCGTTGGTGCTAGTAGGAGGGGGAAGTTATTTGTTAACAGTTTTCTCCATTTTGGAGATTTTCCTCAGTAACGGTAGAGGAGGAGAACAGGGCCAACTTGTTTTCTATAGAGAATTCTGAACAATTTCCCCATGCTTATCTCCTGTCTCACATATACCTTCATTGTGCTGAAATGGATGCCACCAATACCTGTGCCTTTCTGAATTTCTGAGGCAGCAACCCAGCTTATTTTTCAGCACATCATCCCTACCAACACTTAAGGTTGAGCCCTCCCTCCTCTGTGAAGTGTTTGCCATTCTTCCCTTTGCTTTCTATCTTCATACACTGTTGGTGCGGTTACTAATATCTTCTGGCTTCATTAAAGACCAGCTTTGTGTTTCCATATCTTTGCTATCTTTCCATATTTAGGCGTGTTTGAAGGATTATTGTCAAAAGAAGGAGGTATAAAACCATGTTTACTGTGCTTTCTTAAACCTCAAAGCACCAAAGGTCTCTTTCCAATGACTTTCTACTTGCTGGTACTGGGGCAGGCGTAATGATTCCTTTGTCAAGACAATGGGATTTAAAGCGAGGAGAGGGACTTTGTATGTCATACAATGGATCCATGGAGGCAGAAGAAAACGGGAAAAACTCAAATCCCATTGAGGTTTTTGAAATGCAGAAAATGGACACATGGCCTATTTGAATTATGGAATTCCTGTTTGATAATGCCCATTGCTTGTAACTAGTTGGTCAAAATTAGATTTCACAGAAACATTATGTCTTGATTACAATATTAGAATTCTACAGCAAGACACACAATGTGATTTGAAGTCCACAAACTCCCTGACTGTCAGACTGAATTTCTGTAAGCCATACTTATTTAGCTTTTAGAAAAACAGAAAACTTGGCAGAACTCTTCTGGCCGGGATGAAGCAGAGTGGGAATAACCATATCAGATTTAAATTGGAGATGGTAGAATGCTGCCACTTTTTTCAAACTAATCAAGGTGAAAGGCCAACATACACCAGTGACTAACAGGAAGGATTTGGGACATGGCTTTGGGCTCCTCCAGCGTTCAACATGGTATTCTGATTCCTGCTCTCAAGATTGGTGAAGAAACAATATTTTTAAAAAAGTCGTCGTCATTTTATGTTTGCTACTTACTGAACTCAAAACAGTATGGTTTGCATTAGCAGGACTTCTACAAATTGTGTGGAAGGGATTTAAAACAGTTCTGTAGTCTGTATGAAAAATGAGCCTGCGATTCCTGACTCCTCAGAGTTCCTTGTAGGAGTCCTGGTGTAAAGTGATCTTTCACATGCCTGATTGGAACTGTGAGCCAAGCAACATCTGCATTTTTAAAAATAAACATTTTGCATGTAGAAACTGAAGTTTGCTTCTTTAGCCTTTTTTTTGTGTGTGTGTGCTAAGTAAATTGATTCGTCATAAATACACACTGGTACTTAGAGAGGAATTGTGAACAGATTTAAAGTACATATTTGGGGAGATTCTGTGGTGATGACTGTGTTACCATTTTGGAGTCAGGATTGCCCACCTTCTTTCCAAACATTGTTTTTTGTTCCAGGAAAATTCCTAGTAGTCCAGTTTCTGGTTATGTATAGATAAAGAGGCTTTTCTCCTCCACCTCTCCAAATTGTTTACTGACAATATTACCCCCTGATAAAGCCTTTTATTCTACAACTAGAGATATATTCTATAGTTTTAGCACCTTTGGGAGAGGTAACACATTGATTTAAATTTCCAAATGCACAAATATCCCAGATCTGATTGTGAGATCTGCTTCCCAGCATGGAAATGGCAGAGAGGAGGAGATAGAGATGTCAATAACGCGGGAGGAAAGGGCTGGGGGCAAAGGAGGATTTCGAGTGAGATGGGCAACATGATTTGAAAACCACAAGCTCCTTGGCTGTCAGACTCAGTTTTTAGACAGCCAAAGCCAGAATATAGCAGAGACTAATGAAGGCAAACTTCTCCTACGTGACAATTTCGCTGAGGGCTAGCCCCGCAAATGGGCTAGGAACAGAAAACCATCCTGTCGTACATTACATCATGAAAAGATGAAGAGGAAGTAGCAAACCAGAGCCTGGATGTGATTTCCCAAATCATCACATGGATCCTTGGTTAGGGAGGCTAATGCTCCTTCCCGCCCTGCTTTCCGTGCTCAGAGTAAGTTCTGCAGCACAGTTGGGCCTACGGACAGGATTCCTCATCGTGACAGTGTGACTTCAGTCGGGAAAGATGTGAGTTATGTTCCTGGAGGTATTTGATCACAATGGGTTTCTAACACCTAGTAAGGTAATATTTATTTCTTTGAGATGGTAAAAGCAATAGAAAAAAAATCTTAATTTCTTTAAAACTAAGTAAGGATAGTTGTTAAAAGTAATAATTTAGAATTTACAACTTCTTTGCAATCCAAGAGAAAAGATTCTGGGGTCATGACATTCTCCCCCTTAAAAATGTTTTTGGGCCAGGCATTGTGGCTCAACGCCTGTAATCCCAGCACTTTGGGAGGCCGAAGCAGGCGGATCACCTGAAGTCAGGAGTTTGAGACCAGCCTGGCCAGCATGATGAAACCCCATCTCTACTACAAATACATAAAAATTAGCCGGGCATGGTGGCACGCACCTGTAATCCCAGCTACTCGGGAGGCTGAGGCAGGAGAATCACTTGAACCCGGGAGGCAGAGGTTGCAGTGAGCCAAGATAGCAACACTGCACTCCAACCTAGGTGACAGAGCAAGACTCTGTCTAAAAAAAAAAAAAAAAAAAAAAAAAAGGTTTTTACCCCTTCCTTACCTACAACAGTGGTTCCTTAGCTATATGAGAATTTTTTTTAAAAAGCTCTTCTCAGGAATACGTGTGTTTGCAAACTCATTCTCTCTCTCTCTCTCTCTCTCTCTTTACTTATAATTTCAGATCTTTAAACATTTTCACATGAAAAATCTTGACCTAAAAGAAAAACTCAAATTCCATAAGCTTGCATTCAGGTCTTCCATAATTTGGCTCCGATGTACTTCTTCATTAAGAAATCATTTCTTTGAGATGAGAGAGTACCTGCAGAGTATGTGCAGATCTGAGCTAAATTCATGTGTAACCATGGAAACTCTAGGCATCGGTAAAGGAAGATATTACAGGATAGTGTGAAAAGCACGGAAGTGAGCATTAAGTTTTGTAACTTAACTAGTTTTGAAACCCTTAATGGTGTAACTTTGGTAGAGAAATATCATTTAGTCTTTTGGGGACTCAATTTCCTTTCTGTGTATAACTAAAGTAAAATGATCTCTTCGATTGCTCTTAGCCCTGAGTTTCTAGACTTTATGATTCCAGGCTGAGGACAACCATCCCTTCATAGGGCATCTCTCTTCCTGACCATAACTGAAAGGGAATAAGAAGTGACTTCCAAAGAAAAAGAGAGAATTTGGAGATGGGGGTAAAAGATGAAGAGAAATAGGAGCCTGGGGTGTTTGAATTTGCATTCACCTATTATTTCCACTGTTCTCATTTTAGCTTTAGAGAACCTCTCTTGAACCACATCTAAGGACCCTGCTGAACACATAACTTTCATACTGAAACATCTTCTATGTTGAAAGGGGAGGTTTTCTAGGAAAATGTTAGACTTCATTTTGAAACAAATGGAGTGGGGACATGGCAGCAGTAATTGAAATAGAAATTCTTCAATTATCCTCCTCCAGATTCTGTAGACCTCCTTTTCCCTCAAAGGATCACATACGAATTTCATGCAACCTCTGGCAATATTCTGGCTGGAGACAAGTGTCTGTCATGGGCGACAAGAATGTAATCTCTAAATAATTCCATCCTGGGCCTCAACAGAGAAGAGTGTTTCCATGTGGTCGCCTTTCCGACGGACTAGATGAGCAGAGACCACCAAGCACATTTCAAGAAGGACATTAGATGCCCCTAGGGCCAGGAGCTCAGAAGTGAGTTATTAGAGTTTTGTTTACTATGCCCTCTGGATATGGTCCTAATTAGGTGGAACTGATAAGCTTGACAAATTTTGAACTATTGCTTTCTGTTTGCCAATAACAAAATATTACTGTGTAGGATGTTAGTTATTTTCCGCATCAAACCCTTTCTGTTTTCCTGAAGATATCATTGGTTTCCATTTCAATGCGCCTTTTGTTTAGAGGGAGAATAATGTCCTTTTTACCTTTTTTTAATTAAAGCACCTTGGTGACTAATGTACAATTTCTGTAGACTTGCCTCTGAACCCCAACCTCTATACTTCCTTCACTTCCGGGCTCCGTGATTTTACTTTCTCAGGTAGTAATTAGATCAAGCAGAGGACTCAGGCACAGAATACATCTTCCCAAATCTCATTAGCATTTCTTAGCTAATATTCCCTCCCTTCCTTCCTTCTTCCCTTTCTCTTTTCTTTTCCTTCCTTCCTTCCTTTCTTCCTCCCTCCCTCCCTTCCTTCCTTTTTTCTTTCCCTCTCTTTTTTCTTTCTAACTGTGACTTATGCAGACCCTACTGTCAAGGATATACCTATAAACATTAGATTCCTATTTTTAACTGGTGGGAAGCTGTATGGAGAGTATTTTTAGAAACCCCAAACAACCAGCAGTAATAGCAACAACAGAAAAACATAGAAAGCACACATGTATTTACGCTGATGAAGCAATTACATACATAGGTTTATATACGTGCTTAAACAGCTATGACATGTTGGAATATTTTCTTAGTGATGTCCTCAAACCATAATTATATATCAATGAAATATTTAGTCAAGTTTTATCAGGCCCAGGAATAATTATTTTACAATTCTTTTTGGAATGCAAACTTAGAAGTCTAAGAGTTAAAGTAATTATCCCAGAGTTGAAATAATTGGAATGCAGAAGGATGTTTTCCAGGGTGGTGTTTATAATAGATTTAAGTCTGGTTTAGTCGCCGTACTCCAGAAAGATATCCTTCTGCTAACTCCCTCATTCAAAAATATCTAGGAAGAATATTCCAGCTAATCAGATCTAGGAACTGAACCAGCTCACTGAGAGGTAAAGGGAAACACCTGCATGTTAGAAACGCACAGCAAATGAGGCTGCCCAGAATATATGCTGGAAGAAGGAAAATAGCAACTACTCAAGCGCGTTACCCTCGGAACAGAAGAATGTGAATGATAGGCTGCAATGCTCTTTAATTTTATGCAGGAAGATCATTTCTAGGAAGTGGCTATTTTGAAAGGTGTACTTGAAACATTTTTGAAAGACTTTCTTCCTTTTGGAATTCATACCAGAAATCTGACTTCTCTACAGCCTTTAATGTCAGGATGTTTTCTGTGGCTATCGCTGCATCTTCTGGCTGGTCCACTTTAAGGGAAGTAGAAGAGAAGGTTGAGGTAGAGAATGTGTAGGGAGAAAATAAAACTAAGGGTTAGAAATGGCAAATATGTGGGTAAATATAAGACAGTATAAATTTATTCTTCTCATTTCTTCTCTTAAGTTCTTTAAAAGATATTTAAAGTTGCATAAATAATTATAACATTGCATCGTTGAGTTTATGATGTATACATGTAATAAGTGACAATTATAGCACAAAGGAGGAGGGAGAAAATTGAGCTATACTGAAGCAAAGTTGGTATATTTTACCGGAATTAAGTTAGAATTAAACTAAAATTGATTGTTATAAGTTAAGATGCATATAATAATTTCTAAAACATCATTAAGAAAATAACTTTAAAAAATTGAAATAAAAAAGGAATTAAAATGGCACACCAGAAAAAATTTATTTAACACAAATGAAAGTAGTAAAGGAGGATCAAAGGAACAAAAAAGACTTGCGATCTATTGAAAACAAATAGCAAAATGACCAATGTAAATCCACCCGTCAAAAATTATATTAAATGAGAATGGACTAAATACTTCAATCAAAAGGCAGAGGCTATATTAATATCAGAAAAAACATACTTTCAGTAGAAATCATTACTAGAGACCCAGAAATTCTACTTGTAAGTATATATCCAAAGGAATTAAAATCAGTACGCCAAAGAGATTCTCATATTAATTGCAGCATTATTCAAAATAATTAAGATATGGAAGCAACCTTGGTGTCCATCATCAGATAAATAGATTTTAAAAATGTGATATGTATACGAATTGAATATATTCAGCCCTGAAGAAGAAGAAAATTCTGCTGGGCACGGTGGCTCACGCCTGTAATCCCAGCACTCTGGGAGGCCGAGGTGGGAGGATCACGAGGTCAGGAGATCAAGACCATCCTGGTTAATATGGCGAAACCCCGTCTCTACTAAAAATACAAAAGCATTAGCCAGGCGTGGTGGTGGGTGCCTGTAGTCCCAGCTACTCGGGAGGCTGAGGCGGGAGAATGGTGTGAACACAGGAGGTGGAGCTTGCAGTGAGCGGAGATGGTGCCACAGCACTCCAGCCTGGGCGACAGACCAAGACTCTCTCTCAAGAAAAAAAAAGAAGAAGAAGAAAATTCAATCATTTGCAACAATGTGGGTGAACCTGGAGGATATTATGCTAAGTGAAATAAACAAGTCATACAAAGGCAAATACTGTATGATCTCACATGTAGAATCTAAAAAAAGGTGAACTCATAGAAGTAAAGGGTAGAGGCCGGGCGCGGTGGCTCACACCTGTAGTCCCAGCACTTTGGGAGGCCGAGGCGGGTGGATCACGAGGTCAGGAGATCGAGACCATCCTGGCTAACATGGTGAAACCCCGTCTCTACTAAAAATACAAAAAATTAGCCGGGCGAGGTGGCGGGCGGGCGCCTGTAGTCCCAGCTACTCAGGAGGCTGAGGCAGGAGAATGGCGTGAACTCGGGAGGTGGAGCTTGCAGTGAGCCGAGATAGGGCCACTGCAGTCCAGCCTGGGTGAAAGAGCAAGACTCTGTCTCAAAAAAAAAAAAAAAAAAGGAAAAAAAGAGTAGAATGGTGGTTACTACAGGTTAGGGGAGGGGAGTGAATGGGGAAAGAGATGTTGGTCAAAGAGTACAAAGTTTTGGTTAGACAAGAGGAGTAAGCTTTAGTGATCTATTGCACAGAATGGTGACTATAACAAAAAATAATGCATCAATATTTCAAAATTACTAAAAGAGTAGATTTTAAATGTTTTCGCCTAAAAAAAGTATGTGAGGTGATGGATATGTTAATTAGCTTGATTTAATCACAATGTAAACAGATATCAAAACATTACATTGCTATCCCAAAATATATACCATTATTATTTGTCAATTAAAAATAAAACTTAAAAAATATTGCTAGAGACAAAGAGCAGTACTTAGAGAGAAATTTATAGCTTTAAACACCTATATTAGAAAAGACCTCAAATCAGTCATCTAAACTTTCACTATAAACTACATAAAGAAGAGGAAATTAAGCCCAAAGCAAGCAGAAAGAAGGAAAGAAGAAAGATAGGTAAGAAATAATGAAATAGGAAGTAAAAGCACAGTAGAGAAGGGCAATGAAACCAAAGCTAGTTATTTGAATAAATCAAGACAATTAATAAACTTTTAGCTGAACTGGCTAAGATAAAAAGAGAAAAGACACAAATCATCAAAATCAGAAATTAAAGCAGATATATTATTACTTATCTTACAGAAAAGAAAAGACTTACAAGGGAATGTGCTATAATTTTATGCCAATAAATTAGACAACTTAGATGAGAAGGACAAACTGCTATAGAGGCATTAATTTCCAAAATTAACTCAAGTAAAAATAGGACATTTGAATAGAAGTATAACAAGCAAAAAGATTGAAATACAGGTTGAGTATTCCTTATTCAAAATACTTGGGACCAGAAGTGTTTCAGATTTTTTTTTAAATTTTGGAATATTTGCACATACATAATGAGATATCCTGGGGATGGGACCCAAGTCCAAACATGAAATTCATCATGTTTCATATACACCTTATACACATAGCTTGGAGGTAATTTTATACAGTATTTTAAATAATATATGTGACTCATCACATGAGTTCAGGCATGAAATTTTCCACTGGTGACATCAGGTTGGTGCTCAAGATGTTTCCGATTTTGGAGCATTTCAGATTTTGGGTTTTCAGATTAGGATTGCTCAACCTGTAGTAGCTAAAAACCTTTCAGCAAAGAAAATCCCAATTCCAAATGTATTTACTGGTAAATTCTACCAACTATTTAAACAAGAAATAATACAAATTTTAGACAAATTCTTCCAGAAAATAGAGAAGAACACTTCCTAACTCATTCTGAAGCTGGTATTACCCTGATACCAAAGCTAAGTAAATCATCACAAGAAAAGAAAACAACAGGCCGATACTCCTCATGAATATATATGCAAAAATGTTTCAAAAATTTAGCAAACTGAACTTAGCTGAATCTATAAAGAAATGGAATTTATAAAGAAACATAATACATCATGACCAAATGGGATTTATTACAGGAAAGCAAGGTTGGTTTAACATCCAAAAATAAATTAATGTAACATAACATATTTATAATAAAGGCAAAACCCACATGCTTAATTAATGATAATCTTGTGAAATGCAGAAAAAAAAATTTTTGACAAAATCCAACACTCATTCATTATGAAAGCTCACAGTAAACAAGGAATAAAAAGGGGATTCTTCAACTTGATAAAGGGCATATATGAAAAATCTGGAACTAACATAATACTTAATAGTGAACTGAATGCTTTCACCATTCCTAGACTACATCACACTGGAATTTTAGCTAGTTAAATAAAGTAAAAAGAAATTAAAGACATCTAGATTGGAAAGTAAGAAGTATACTTTTCTATACTTAAGAAATATACTTATACTTATGTTGTCTGCTTTTGTTTGCAGACAACATAATCCTACATGTAGAAAACTCTACTAAAGAATCTACCAGAAAGAATCTCTGGTAAAGAGCTACCAGAACTAATAATGTTTAACAATGTTCCTAGATAAAATATCACTATACACAAATCAATTATTTTTCTATAATTGCAACAAAAATCCAAAAATGAAACTGGGAAACAATTCTATTCATAGTAGTTTCCAAAAGAAGATGTTACTTAGAAAAAAATTAACAAAAAAAGCATGTCTTTTACACTGAAAATTAAAGACATTATTGACAGAAATGTAAGATCTAAACAAATGGAGACACATTCCATGTTCATTTATTGGAACACTCAATTGTTAAGATGACAATGCTCCCTAAGTTGATCTATAGATTCAACACCCTCCTGTCAAAATCTCATCGGGCTTTTTTTGTAGGAACTGGCAAACTGATCTTAAAGTGTATATGAAAATGCAAAGGACCTAAAATTGTCAAAACAATGTTTTAAAAGAAGAGCCAAGTTGAATAACTTAACCCAATTTTCATTTTTACTATAAAGGCACAGCAGCTAAGACTGTAGGATTAGCATAGGATTAACATATAGATTAATGGAACTTAGAGTACAGAATGGAATGTAGAATACAGAAACAAATTCTTACATTTATGATCTACTGATTTTAGATCATAGTGCAAAGCCAGTTCAGTGAGAGAAAGAACAATCTTTTCAATTTGAACAATTGCCAATTTCCTTCATAGGAAAAAAAATAACAGCAAACCTCCACCTAAACCTTACACCATATGCAAAAATCAACTCCAAATGGATCATAGACTTAAATGAAAGAGCTAACATTCTAAAATTTTGAGATGAAAACAAAGAAGAAAATGTTTGTGACTTTGGGTTAGCCAACGGTTTCTTAAAGAGACACCAAAGTCACAATCAATTTAAAAAAATAATAATTTGGGCTTCATCAAAATTAAAAACCTTTGCTCTTCAAAAGACCCAATTAAGAAAATAAAAAGACAAACCACGGAATGAGAAAATATTTGCAAATCTGATCTGATAATTTATACTCAGTCTCTCTCTCTCTCTCTCTCTCTCTCATTGCAAATCCTGTATTTGCCTATATTTGTATATCTGATAGAGGGCTTTTATCTAGAACATATTTTTTAAAACTCTCTTACAACACAATAAGAAGACAACAACCCTAGAAAGTTGGCAGAAAATTTAAATGGTCATTTCACTAAAGAAGATATACTAATAGCTAACAAGTAATTAGAAAATTTGACAATAGTGTGTCGGTGAGGATGCATAGACACTGGAAAGTTGATACACTGGCGGGTATGTAAAACGGTACAGCCACTTGTGAAAATAATTTGACATTTTCTTTAAAGGTTAAACATAGGCTTGACATACAACTCAGTGATTATACCCTAGAGTACTTATTTACCAAAGAGAAATGAAAACATATGTTCACACAAAGACTTGAATGTGAATGTTCATAACATCATTATTTATAATAACTCCAAACTGAAAACATCCCAAATGTTCATCAACTGGGACAGATAAAATGGATGGCTAGACAAAATGTCATATATGAATACAATGAAATCTTATTTGGCAATTTACAAATTTTTAAATTCCTTTTTTTAAATTCAGCTATTTAAAAAATGAACTATTGATACACATTACATGAACCTTAAAAACATTATGCTAAGTAAAAAAAGGCAATCAGGAAAGACATGATTCAATTTATGTGAGATGTCCAGAAAAGGCAATTCCATAGAGATAGAAAACATGCCAGTGTTTGCCTGCAACTGGTATAGGGAATGAAGATTGACTGCAACTAGGCACTGCAAAACTTCTTGGAAATATTCTAGAATTGGGTCATGGTGGTGGTGTAATAATTACACACCTACATAAATTTACCAAAAATAATTGAATTTTACACTTACACTGGGTGAATTTTGTGTACATTATACCTCAATAAAGCTATTTTTATTATTATTTTATTTATTATTTATTTATTTATTGAGACAGAGTCTTGCTCTGTTGCCCAGGCTGGAATGCAGTGGCGCAATCTCAGATCACTGCAACCTCTGCCTCCTGGGTTCCAGTGATTCTCATGTCTCAGCCTCCCAAGTAGCTGGGATTGCAGGTATGCATCACCACACCAAGTTAATTTTTTTGTATTTTTAGTAGAGATAGGGTTTTGCCATGTTGAGCAGGCTGGTCTCGAACTCCTGGCCTCAACTGATCCACTTGCCTCAGCCTCCCAAAGTACTGAGGGTTACAGGTGTGAGCCACTACACCTGACCTTAATACAGGTATTTTTAAAAAACGTTTTCAGGTTAGATATTCATTGAGGAAGATCAAGACATTTTCTATTCCCCTTTGTCTCTTGGCTGGTTTTTTCAATGCTGGACATAGCTGAACTTTATTCTGGTGTCAGCACAGCCCTCACACTGCAGTAAGTGGTATTACTGGCAAACAGTGTTTCAAAGTGTATTGCGTAATTGGGTAATTGGTACAGATGCTGATGCAATGTATTTAATTCTAACAGTAAGTTTTCTTGCAGAATATTTATCACCTACTCCCAATATTTTATGTTTCACTGTTGGCTTTTATAAATGACCTTTTGCAATTTTGTAGGAGAATATATTTAGTGGACCATAGGAGACTCAGCACTATAGACTGGAACTATTATCTTGCTTTTTTTCTGATGTGGTTGAAACCATTATGGGCTAGCTAGGAAAAGATGTGTTGTCAGAAACAAAAGTAATTGGTCTTTCTCTATGACTTTTTAATGGGATCTTGCATTAATATATATTAATGTATCCAAATTGGTGTCATTTTTTAAGCAGCAGAAGTTTAGAAACCAAACCAAAGGAATACTATCACTTTCTTTATGTTTTATAAAAGTGAAACCAGAGTGGTTGATTATATTGTGGCTAGTTTGCATGTATTATAATTACATTTTGTTTGACTGATAACCTCAAGAATAATGAAATTCTAGGAGCATTGCATTAGAATTTTGACAATGTCTCTAGTGCATGAAATATATACATAAATCTCTGCCTTGCCCCACCATCATCCAATGCATACAAATATATATTATGATATAAAATCACAAGTCTGATTTTTTAAAAATATGCATGTTAGAAATTATATCCCAAGGACCTCTGCCAACTCATCACGTTCTGAGACTATAATCTTATTAAAACAATGTTGCTCAAATGTTTCTGTAGCTTAAGCCAGTTTTGACTGTTTTTTAAAAAATGCTGTCAGAATGAGTCTCATACTGTCGCCCAGGCTGGAGTGCAATGGCGTGATCTCAGCTCACTGCAACCTCCACCTCCCGGGTTCAAGTGATTCTTCTGCCTCAGCTTCCCGAGTAGCTGGGATTACAGGTACCTGCCACCACGCCCAGCTAATTTTTTTTTTTTTTTAGCAGAGATGGGATTTCACTATGTTGGCCAGGCTGGTCTCAATCTCCTTACCTCATAATCTGCCCATCTCGGCCTCCCGAAGTGGTGGGATTACAGTGTGATCAGATTTTTTTAAGTTGTAAAACTGAAATATCTTTGCCCTTTAAAGTTAACTTGATGTTTGGAAACAACTGAGATTCCTTCAGGGCCAAACTGATGATTAAGAGAGTTTATCAGGCTGGAGAATATAATTTTAAACTATAAACAGAATATCCCTTTTAAGTATTGAGATATTTACTTATAAGATTTTATATGATTTACAATCTGTTACTTTATTTTTTTGAGATAGAGTTTGGCTTTGTTGCCCAGGCTAGAGTGCAATGGTGCAATCATGGTTCACTGCAGCCTCAAACTCCTGGGTTCAAGCCATCCTCCTGCCTCAGCCTCCCAAGTAGCTGGGACAACAGGCATGTGCCATAATGCCCAGCTATTTTTTTTTTTTTTTCAGTAGAGACAAGGTCTTGCTATGTTGCCCAGGATGGTCTTGAATTCCTGAGCTCAAGCAATCCTCTCGCCTCGGCCTCTGTAAATGCTGGAATTACAGGCGTGAATCACAGTGCTCAGCCTACAAACTGTTTTAAGGAATGGCAGTATTTATAGATATCAGAGCACTGAGTTTTCTTCTTTTTGAAATGGAGATGGATTTTCAATTGATGTTAAATGGTGGAAATCTTTTAGTTTAGTAGTTAATTACCATGTAAGTCTTGGCGATCATAAAAATCATATAGTCAAACTGAATTGGAATTCACACAATGTGATGATTTTTCAGAATTCTTGGGGAGTTGGAGAGGATCAGAGCTCTCCGTCCACATGGGGATGAAGTTCTGGCTTCTCTTCCTTTAGGTCTATCTTCTATTTCTCCTCAAGGATGATATAGATATATATTTAATTACATGGATTTTATATATATATATATATATAAAATAATTTCAACTTTGATTTTAGGTTCAGGGGATACATGTGCAGGTTTGTTACATGGGTATGTTGTGCGACCCTGAGGTTTGGGATATGAATGATCCCGTCACCCAGGTAGTGGGCACAATACCCAATAGGTAGTTTTTTAGCCCTTGTCCCCTACCTCTCTCCCCAACTAGGAGTCCCCAGCATCTATTGTTCTCATCTTTATGTCCATCTGTACCCATTGTTTAGCTCCCACTTATACGTGAGAGCATGCAGTCTTTGGTTTTCTGTTTTGGGGTTAGTTTGCTTGGGATAATGGTCTCCAGTGGCATTCATGTTGCTGCAAAGGACATGAGCTACCACCCGACCCAGAAATGTCATGATTGCATATATACCAAAAGGAATATAAACTGTTCTACCAAAAAGACATATACAGTCGTTCATTCATCTCAGCACGATTCACAATAGTAAAGACACAGAATCAACCTAGGTGTGACCGTCAATGATGAGTTTGACAAAAAAAAATGTGGTACATACACCGTTCACCTCTTTTCAATGTTGACTGTGGCTATGCCTTTTAAGGTTTGGTGTTGTCAGCTGAGAGGTGTGTTTATCTAAGACAGCAACGTCTGGGAGGTCCGAATGAGCAGGACAAACTGCGATTACTGCCACATCTCAGATTCCAGATGCTTTAAAGGCTTCTGAAGTCCCCATGTGGGCTGTATTGGTTTAGCAAGATTTCCAAACATTTTCTCAACTTTATTAGGGTTTTGCAAGTACATTACTTTCATTTGTTTTCACAAATACGACATGCAACGTAAGAAACGCTCTTGTGACTTCTCTTCAAATAGTGCCTCTCTTAACTTCCTCTGAGTTACTTATTGCAATGCTAAATGACTGCAGCATTCTGCAGACAGCAGAGACCCGAAGAAGAGTGAGCTTTTCTCTTGGCCCACACAGATTTTATGCAGGGAACGTGCAGATATATGTACCAACATGCAGACACACTACTACTTGGGGGCTGAGCTATAGGATGCTGACAGCAAGGCTCCAAACCAGAGAATCTGTCCTCAGTTACCAGAAAGCAAATCAAAAGCTATCAGAAACGCTTCTGATGTACACCTCCGGGATGTACAAAAGCCCCTCCATGGGGGTCTCTCTTCTCTGTGCTTTCTCCTTCGCCCCACTCCCCTTTCCACACTGCCTTTCCCCCTTATAGTCCCTCCTCATCTTTTCGTTTCATTTTTTTATTTTTTGAAACAGAGTCTCACTCTGTCACCCAGGCTGGAGTGTGGTGGCGCGATCTCAACTCACAGCAACCTCTACCTCCCGGGTTCAAGCAATTCTCGTGCCTCAGCCTCCCAAGTAGCTGGGATTACAGGTGCGTGCCACCATGCCGGGCTAATTGTGTATTTTTAGTAGAGACAGGGTTTCACCACATTGGCCAGGCTGGTCTCGAACTCCTGACCTCAAGTGATCCACCGGCCTCAGCCTCCCAAAGTGCCGAGATTATAGGCGTGAGCCACTGTGCCCAGCCTATCTCCTTACCTCTTCTCACCTCTTCTTTCTCTGCTCCCTTGCTGTCTCTCATCTATCCCTGTTGGGGAAAAACCTGAGGACGTAATTACTATACATGTAATGTATCATCTATGTGGTACCTACTGTTTGCTGTTTGGACATACATGAAAATTATATATATCGCTTGATTGTATGGTGAAAAGCTTCCTAGTTCTGGTTTTTAATTTTAAAATAGGTGAGCTAAATATTTTCTATTTCCCACTCTCTCAAAAGCCTGTTTCCCCATTTTGCTTTGATTTTAATTTGTATGCAAGTCTTCCTATTTTTTTTTCTTTCTGAGAATCAATGCCCCTGCCCTCTCCCCGCTGCCTTTCAGCTTCCAGTCTGAGCGGGAGGAGGGGGCACATTGAGATGAATGTGCAGAGGGTGCATCTGGGGAGCAGGGAAACTGGGTCACAAAGAGCAGGGTCCTTTCACCTTTGCACTTTTCCCAGCTTGGGCTTTGGACCAAAAGCTTTATTGAAAACAGAAGCTGCATTTTTCCCCGACAAATTTCGAAAGCGATCTTTCCGCTTTACTGAGGTGCTTTGCTGTCAGCCACACTCATTTTTCAGGGGCAGCCTGAGTTGCTAGCTCAGGGCACGGTGCCGGGGAGCCTTCCCCGAGCTGTACTCAGTCTCTCTTGTCACTGCAAATGAACCAGAAAATTCTCTGAAGCGACGGGACCCAGCAGATAGAGGCTTGATTTCTTTTGTGTGCCCATGTGTGCTATGCATAAGAAATCATTATCTTTCCTTAGACTGAGGTCATTTTCTACCCTCTTTTACTACGGAGCTATCAATTTAATTATTTGGTCACTGCTGCTTTAATTAAAAAGCCTTTACTTATCTTTAGAGGTTTCCTCTTTAAATTTCTAGAGATTAGGATTATCCACAGCATGTCATCTCTTTTTATGTCCATATACTATATGGTTTCTATAATAATATAAAAATGAATTACCAAGATACTAGAAGCTAATCATATTCTTCATTTCTCTCCTAATAATCCCAGATTACATTAATCATAAATGTCAGCAGCGTCTCTAGATGACTTCTTGACTTTTGACAAAAAGCCTTCATTTTGGCCCTTTAAATTCCAAGGTCAAGGAGAATGTAACATTCAGAATAATTATTAGCATTATTTTACCTTGACATTTCATCCCTGCTTCCAGTTTAACATTCCACCCAGGCAAGGAAGACGAACGTCACCTTTCGTTCAATTCACTGGAGGGAATTGCCCCAATTAAACCTGACTTAGAGGCTGTTGGAAACGCTGTATTAATTTGCTGCTCTTCTTTAAAATAGAAAATATTTCATGAAGGAGAAGAATTTTCATTAAAAGCATTAAGGATTTACCATGACATGAACAAGCAATTTTTGAACTGACTTTTTTCTCCCTGGGCTAGAATAATAATCAACCGTCTGCCTCGGCCGGGCCATGGTCTCGCTGTCGGTGGCCCTTCCATCGGGACGAGCCTCCTTATTTTCCTTTTAGCTCAAAGGTCATCGTTACAGTTTTGTCACATCAAAAACGATTAGAAGTGTCTTTTAGAAATCTTGGCCTTTCCATGTCACAGGGCCTCCTGCAGATACAACCTTTTGATTACACCTTCTTCCCCTGCAATCTCCACACACACTTCTTTTTTTTTTAAGACAGGATCTTACTCTGTCACCCAGGCTGGAGTGCAGTGATGTGATCACAGCTCACTGCAGCCTCAAACTTCTGGGCTCAAGCCATCCTCCCGCCTTGCCTCCTGAAGTACCTGGGAATACAGGCCCATGCCACCATGCCTGGGTAACTTTTGTTATTTTTTATAGGGTTGGGATTTCACTATGTTGCCAGGCTGATCTTGAACCCCTGGGCTCAAGCAAGCCTCCTGCCTCGGCCTCCCAAAGTACTGGGATTGCAGGCATGAGCCACTGTGCCCGGCCCCCACACACACTTTTAAAAACAATGTCAAGCTAAGCTTATGGGAGCACGTTCTAAAAATCCTCTAATCCTACATTTGCTATAGTATTTAGGATGGGAATGGTGAGCTGCTTTCTAGAACACAGGAAGATGGAGACCTTATCAGACTTGTTCATTGTATCTCTGGCTCCTGAAACAGAAGCAGGTTGACACTCAATATATGTATTTCCTCATTGTTTAAGGAGTGATCAACAAATATTTTTTATGTGAATGTAAAGGGGCCATAAAACACAGGGACTGAGATTGTGGGCCCTGGAATCAAACAGGCTGGGGTTTGATCTCAGTTTTGCCAACTACGGGCTTTGTGTTATTGGCAAGTTATCTTACCTTTTTACACCTGTTTCTTTGTCTTTAACATGGGGGTTATAGTACTGATGTCACTGGGTTGTTGCAAGGACTAGATGAGATAATGCATGTAAGTAAAGTGCTTTGTTCTGGGCCTGACAACTGTTAAGGCCTCTCCAACTAGTCAGAGATGGCTCAGGGCTAATCCCACCTCCCTACTCCCCTTCTGCCTTCTCCAGGTAGTTGCCCTTGGATGCAAGGAAAACTGTGAACACCCATGGCCCAGTTGGTTTGGGACCTCTACTAAATTGCAGTCATTCATTTTCCAAGTATCAGTTGTGAAGTTGTAGGAATTCAGCCTCCTCCCTAGAATTCTAAGGCAAAATTCCTCACCCAGTCCTTCTTGACAGAATGGAATTCCTATTCTGGCAACCACTCTTGGCTTATTCCAGGAGCAAGTTTGAACCTTGGATGCCTGTCTGTTTGGACTGCATTTCCAGACCTAGCTCACCTGAGTCTCACCTACACCACGCCTTGCCTTTCCGCTGACCTTGGCAGTGTCCCCTCCACTCACAACATTGTTGTCCTCTTTGCCTGTATTAACCTGCCTGATCTCCCAATTCCTGTGACTGGCGGCCTGACGTGGGATACATCCATTCCCCTGCAGTCTGGCCTGGCTCTTGGTTTCAACCCTTTATAGTTGTCCTTTCTTACTGCCACCTGCCTCTTGGCACTCTTTGATGTCTTTACCTGAACAAAATTAATGTCACCTTGTATTTGAGCATGTCCTAATGTGGAGTGTTCTTTACAGCATGGAGCATTTCTTCCCTAATGCTATTTTCTCAGATAAATAAACAACCTGAAAAAAGCAGAGAATAAAATAGTCCTCGCCAAGGGCACTTAACAAATGTTGACATTTAGCTGTATTTGCTTCGTATTGTAAAAGAACTGAATGTAAAAAATACAGTTGAATCTCCTTTCTGGGTCTCTTCTTGATACCATTTCCCTCCTTTTCTCCCTCCTTGGAAGGAAGCTATATGCTAAAGTGGGCCTTTTTCTTCCCATTCACGTTTTTGTGCTCTCACTATGCATTTATATGTCTTCAGAATTTGTATATAATTTGAAATGTTACCTGTGATACTGTATGTATCTGTTATGGGTTGAATTGTATCATTCTCTCCCCCAACCACAAATTCATATGTTGGATCCATATGTTCACAAATTCATATGTTGAAATCCTAACCCCCAGGGCATCAAAATATAAGCTTATTTGGAAAAAGGACCATTGCAAATGTAATCAGGTAGGTTATGATGTGGTGATACTGGAATGGGGTGGGGGGGTCCCTGTGACTGGTATCCTTATATAAAGAATGCCCCGTGAAGAGACAGAGATGTACAGAGGGAAGATGATGTGGAGACACAGGGAGAAGACAGCCTTTGATGAGCCAAGGAACGCCTGCGAAGTTGCTTTCTTTTTCTCACAGTTATGCTTTCTAGATTTAGCCATGTTGGGCGTAGCAGCCCACCACCCTCATTTTAAATAGCAAATGTAGGGTGAGAAGCTTTTTTTAAGAACGTACCTCAACAACACACACAGCTCTACTTTATGCTTTCATTCAGTAAAAATGCATTGAGCACCGGCGATGTGCCAGGCCCTGGGGGGAGAGCAGAGAGGGCCAGTGAGCCAAGGGGAAAGCCTAGCTAGGAATTAGGAAGGTGACCAGGGGATTTGAACACCATGCCAGTGAGGAAGGGGAGAGGATAGTGTTTGATGGCATGAGCATCTAAGCTGGTAGCTTCCGGGGAGGAGGGAGGAACTATCGTTTGGAGGTGTCAGGATCTGCAGTTGCTGGGAAGCAAATTCCTTTATTGCAATGCTTCTCACATTTCTGCAACCATCACAATCCCCTGGAGGGCCTCTTGAAACACAAGCCCCATTGGGCTTAACTCCCAGGGTTTCTGATTCAGGAGGTCTGGGATGGGGCCTGAGAATGTGCATTTTTAACAATTGCTTAGATAATGCTGATTGCTGGTCCAGGGAACACACTTTGAAAACCATCAGTCTATTGCATTCAATGACTCTATTGTCTTTTTTTTTTTTTTTTTTTTTGAGATGGGATGATCTCTAAATCTGTCTAAATCTCTTCTAGAGACAGTTGGAGTGCGGTGGTGTGTCATAGCTCACTGCAGTCTTGAATTCCTGGGCTCAAGTGCTACTGTCACCTTGGCCTTAAAAGTAGCTAGGATTACAGGTGCTCACCACCATGCCTGGCTAATTTTTTCTCTAGAAACAGGGTCTCACTATGTTGCCTAGGCTGGTCTTGAACTCCTGAGCTCAAGCCATCCTCCCGCCTCAGCTTCCCAAAGTGCTGGGATTATAGGCGTGAGCCACTGTGCCTGGCCATCCCACCTAAGACTTGATAAGTGGTAAGATTTCTTATGCTTTGGTGCTGCCTCTCTAGGCCTATGTCTAGGGTTTTTGTTGGCCCCTGATATGGAATGAATTGTATCCTCCCGAAAATTTGTTTGTGGGAGTCCTAACCCTGACTACCTCAGAATATGTGGCTGTATTTGGAAATAGGGTATAAAGGTAGGCCCTAATCCGATGTGACTGATGTCCTTACATGAAGAAAAAGAGCCACCAGGGATGTGCAGGTGCACAGGAAAGGCTGTGTTTTGTGAGGACACCTCGAGAAGGTGGCCATCGGCAAGCCAAGGACTGAGGCCGCAGGAGAAACCAAACCTGCCCACACCTTGATCTCAGACTTTCAGCCTCCCGAACTGTGAGAAAATAAATTTCTGTCATCTGAGCCACCCAGTCTGTGGTATTTTTTTATGGCAGCCCTAGCAAACCAATACAGCTCCTTTTTGGAACTTCACCCTTCCATCACCTTCCATAGGCAAAGGCTTGGCCTCCATGAGCTCCGGAAACTCGTTGCTCTGCGTCTAAGAACTCTGGAAACCCAGTGGAAACCCAAAGGGCGGCTTCTCCACTCACTTCTGCTCACTCTTCTGGCTTTAGTTTCTTTCATTTCTGGCACCTTCAGTTTCCCTTATTTTCTTTCAAACTAAGCTCTCCCTCTATATTTTTAAATGTTATATTTTATCCCCTGTGTGGGTGTCTTTGGAACTGGAAGAAGCCAGCCCACATCAGGTTCATTTGCCATGTTGCTGGGGGTTCCACACTACATTCTTAAATCTATCGAGCACTTTCTTGCATCCAGTTTGATTCACATTCCTTCTGATGATTTTTATAAGACAGTATGACCTCCCTCACATTACAGATGGAAAACGAAAGCTCAGAGTGTTCAAGTGATTTGCCCAGTGTTGCATAGCTAATAAATAATGAAACTTGTCCTGGAACCTAACACCAGTTCTTCCTCCACTCCACCGTGGCACCTATTACAACCCAAGTACAATGACAATATAAGAAAGAGGCCGGGCGTGGTGGCTCATGCCTGTAATCCCAGCACTTTGGGAGGCCGAGATAGGTGGATCACTTGAGCCCAGGAGTTCAAGACCAGCCTGGGCAACATGGTGAAATCCCTGTCTCTACCAAAAAAAATTAAAATTAGCCAAGCATGGTGGTGCGTGCCTGTAGTCCCAGATACTCAGGAGGCTGAGGTGGGAGGATCGCTTGAAGGCAGGAGGCAGAGGTTGCAGTGAGCCAAGATCATGCCACTGTACTCCAGCCTAGGCAAAGGAGTGAGACCCTGCCTAAAACAAAAGAAAAATTTTTTTTTTTTAAAAAAAAAAAGGTCTAAGAAAGAGTAATATTATAGCTCTATAGGATATAACTTTATAAAAATGCCATAGAATATGCTTGAAAACTCTCCAAATTTCAGGAAACACTGCTAAAATTCTTCCAAGTAAAGCTGTGAGATGCTGTCAGGAACATCCACATTTGACTGTTTCTCTTCCCTGGATCTAAAAGCACCTTATGAGAACCCATGAAAAGTTTCTCTTCCACACCATCCATGCCATCAATCCTAAAAGACAGATTTTCATCTCTGTTTATGCCTGAATTTAGCAGACATTCTCTCTATTTTCTTCTAGTAGATTCTAGTGCCAGCATCCAAAGGGTTTTCCTCCTTAGAATATAATCTTGGAGACTTTAAAGTGCCATGTGTATTATGGAATGAAGACTATGGAAATATAACTTATCCTTTTGGATGTAGATTTCAGGTACTTAGCTTAGAGATAGATTTGAAGGTGAGTTTGCTTCTCCTCACTAGCTTGGATATCAGGAAAGTTCTTTCTGGAGATGAACTGTGCCTCTTTGATGCATCATTTTCTCATGACCTAACTCCAATTTAGAATCAGAGTTTTAGAATCTAGAGTGACTTGCTGCTCTAGAATCTATCATCAAGATCTTTTGTCTTGTCTTCATCCCCGCTCCCAAGCCTGGGTCAAGGAAGTTGCATACACTCTTTCCATCTGTGAGTTCTAGAAGGACCCTCTAATTTCCCTTAGACTCCTGTCCTGAGTCCATACCATTCCCATTCACCCCCAGCTCTTTTTGTCTTAATTCAGGTGTGCTCACCTCTTGCCAACACCCTTCAGTCACTGCCTTTCCTGAAACTCATTTTTTTCTTGGTCTCCAGAGAGCAGTAGCCAATTCACTTTTGACTCTCAGTAGCTGCTTGTCTTTCTCCCTTCACGTCAGCTGTCAGAGGGCCTTCAGGAAAATGTGTGGCCCAGCCCTTGCAATGTACTGGACCTTATCATATGTGTTTTATATACTAAAGTTACAGACTTTATTCTACTGTTGACTACGGGCCTTTTTTATTCTGTCCAAAGCAATTGTCAGATTGACTTGGAAAATTTTCCAATTCAAAAGCCTGCTTTAAAGAATAGCTAAGGTCATTACATTTTGCTTAATTTTTTGAAGTACTTTTTAATTTTCATTTAGTAATACACAAACTTATTTTAAGAAACAACTTGTTGCCTGTAATCCCAGCACTTTGGGAGGCTGAGGTGGGCGGATCACTTGAGGCCAGGAGTTCGAGACCAGCCTGGCCAATATGTTGAAACCCCATCTCTACTAAAATTACAAAAAATAAAATAAAATAGCTGGGCATGGTTGCAGATGCCTGTAGTCCCAGCTACTCAGGAGGCTGAGGCATGAGAATTGCTTGAACCCAGGAGGTGGAGGTTGAGATGAACCAAGATCATGCTACTGCATTCCAGCCTGGGCAACAGATCGAGATTCTGTCGCAAAACAACAACAACAACAACAACAACAACAACAACAACAACAACTTGTTAATGGGGAGTCATTTCACGGGCATAGTTTTTACTCTGCAAGATGAAAAAGTTGTAGAGATTGTTTGCACAATAGTGTGAAGATACCTGACAGTATTGAACTGTACACTTAAGAATGGTTAAGGTAGTACATTTTATGTTATGTGTATTTTACCACAATTTTAAAAACAGACGTGCTTCAGATTTTATATGTTTGTAAGAGCTGTCCAACTAATTTCTGAAACCAGCCTACTTACAAATATATATACATATATATATATGGTGTATATATACATATATATATGGTGCCCACATTTCCACCATTTCATTGCATCCTTCTGATATTGGCATAGAAATTCCACCTTTGCTTCTAGATGCAGAAGTAGTTTTTGTGGACACAAAGGTAAAATTACAGTGTGTTTTTCAGACAGAAGAGTTCTTACTGTCACACATTTGAGCACTGCTTCATAGTTGACCTTTCAGTGACCCGAAGTTACCTGTCCAGACAGACGTCTGTGCTCAGAGCCCGACGGCTCCTGGGTACCCAGATGATCACATTACAGTAGTAACCCCCTGTCCATGTTCTCAGGGATGTTACACTGTAGATAATCATGGAAAAGAAAGTTTACTTCTTTGGAGTATCCTCCAGCTCTGTTTTCTTGTAATTTATTAACTGTGAGAAAACAAGGTTGGGGTGAAAGCCCACGTGGTCTTGTCAGCACAAAAGGCATTTTTCAACAAAACTGTGCTGGAAGCATCACGCTGACAAGAAGTCGTGGGGATATTATCAAAGCAACTTTGAGATGTGGTCTCTTCTAGGGGGCAAAAGGATATACTTCCTCCTGTCGAGCGCTCTCCGATTACTACCTCTGGCTTCACTGTGTTGCTTATAGGCTACTCAGACACACAGATGGCCTCAGCGATGCCAGGAATCTGTTTAATTGTCTAACACGGTTTAAAGTTTTTCGGGAGATTCAGGTGATTATTTCAAACAGCAGGAATTACTTTTAAAATGGTTGGCGGCGGGGGCACCGTGGTGAAAAAAAAAGTCAGAAACGTACAACACTTGGATCATTTTTGAAGTGCATCTATTTTTGTTTTCTGTCTGAGACCAAAATGCTCCCGGCATAGTCTGTCCCTGAAACGATAAATATCTTAAGTCACGAAGTCTAAAAGGAGGCAGGGGGCCCAGTGCACTAGGAACCAAGGCGGGAAACAGAAAGCCCAGTTAGAATATTTGCCCGGGACGACTTCAGTAAATGAAGCCTTGGACAAAAGAGAACTTTTTTTCATATGGGAAAAAACCTGGGTATCTATCGATTTCCCTTTCTTCACAGTAATGTTTGGCTCTGACAGTAGCTTTGCAGCTTTGAGACGCTGTGAGTTTTCTGCATCTGCACATTAATGTTCTCAGAGTTTTGTCTAAGAACAGCAAAAACATCTGAGTAATTGCTCTGAAGGACTTCAGCTTCTCAAATGGACTTTAAAGGTCTATCGAGGTCGGGCATAGTGGCTCGCACCTGTAATCCCAGCACTTTGGAAGGCTGAAGCCAGCGGATCACTTGAGGTCAGGAGTTCAAGACCAGCCTGGCCAACATGGTGAAACCCCATCTCTACAGAAAATACAAAAATTAGCCGGGCATGGTGGCGTGTGCCTGTAATCCCAGCTACTCAGGAGGCTGAGGCAGAATTGCTTGGAGGCAGAGGTTGCAGAGAGCCAAGATTGCACCACTGTATTCCAGCCTGGATGACTAAGATTCCATCAAATAATAATAATAATAATAATAATAATAATAAAGGTCTATCAGGTAACTAGGATTTCTTGTGTTTCCATCCTTACTTATGTGCATTGGGGCGGAATCAGCAGATGAAGCCACTATACCCAAGATGCGTTTTCAAATTTACCTCTTCTCTCAACCGGATTTCTTTTACACCTATTTGGTGAATCCTTGTTTTTGTGTTTCTGCTCATTTTTGTGGCTCACTTTGAAAAGTTCTAGCACCTAGATGTCTTCAGTTTGCCACATCCATCTGAAGCTACTGTATTAAGCATACAGGGGTTTTGGGTTTTGTTTTGTTTTTTAAAAATCAGTGCTTCTCAGACCTCTTCAAGAAGAACTACAAACCACTGCTCAAGGAAATAAGAGAGGACACAAACAAATGGAAAAACATTCCATGCTCATGGATAGGAAGAATCAATATCGTGAAAATGGCCATACTGCCCAAAGCAATTTATAGATGCAATGCTATCCCCATCAAGCTACTGCTGACTTTCTTCACAGAACTGGAAAAAAACTACTTTAAATTTCGTATGGAACAAAAAAGAACCCACATAGCCAAGACAATCCTGGGCAAGAAGAACGAAGCTGGAGGCATCACGTTACCTGACTTCAAACTATACTACAAGGCTACAGTAATCAAAACAGCATGGTACTGGTACCAAAACAGATATATAGACCAATGGAACAGAACAGAGGCCTCAGAAATAACACCACACAGCTACAACCATCTGATCTTTGACAAATCTGACACACACAAGCAATGGGGAAAAGATTCCCTATTTAATAAATGGTATTGGGAAAACTGGCTAGCCATACGCAGAAAATTGAATCTGGACCCCTTCCTTAAACCTTTTAGAAAAATCAACGCAAGATGGATCAAAGACTTAAACGTAAGACCCAGGACCATAGAAATCCAAGAAGAAAACCTGGGCAATATCATTCAGGACATAGGCATGGGCAAAGACTTCATGTCCAAAACACCAAAAACAATGGCAACAAAAGCCAAAACTGACAAATGGGATCTAATTAAACTAAAGAGCTTCTGCACAGCAAAAGAAACTATCATCAGAGTGAACAGGAAACCTACAGAATGGGAGAAAATGTTTGCAATCTATCCATCTGACAAAGGGCTAATATCCAGAATCTACAAAGAACTTAAACAAATTTACAAGAAAAAAACAAACAACCCCATCAAAAAATGGGCAAATGATATGAACAGACACTTCTCAAAAGAAGACATTTATGCAGCCAACAGACATATGAAAAAATGCTCATCATCACTGGTCATTAGAGAAATGCAAATAAAAACCACAATGAGATACCATCTCATGCCAGTTAGAATGGCGATCATTAAAAAGTCAGGAAAAAACAGATGCTGGAGAGGTTGTGGAAAAAGAGGAATGCTTTTACACTGTTGGTGGGAGTGTAAATTAGTTCAACCATAGTGGAAGACAGCGTGGTGATTCCTGAAGGATCTAGAACTGGAAATACAATTTGATACAGCAATCCCATTACTGGGCATATACCCAAAGGATTATAAATCATTCTAAGATAAAGAGACATGTACACGTATGTTTATTGCGGCACTATTCACAATAGCAAAGACTTGGAACCAACCCAAATGTCCATCAGTGATAGATTGGATAAAGAAAATGTGGCACATATACACCATGGAATACTATGCAGCCATAAATAATGATGAGTTCATGTCCTTTGCAGGGACATGGATGAAGCTGGAAACCATCATTCTCAGCAAACTATCACAAGATCAGAAAACCAAACACCGCATATTCTCACTCATAAGTGAGAGTTGAACAATGAGAACACATGGACACAGGGAGGGGAACATCACATACTGGGGCTTGCCGGGTGGTGGGGGGCTCGGGGAGGGATAACATGGAGGAGAAATACCTAATGTAGATGATGGGTTGATGGGTGCAGCAAACCACCAGGCACGTGTATACCTATGTAACAAAACTGCACGTTCTGCACATGTAACCCAGAACTTAAAGTATATTAAAAAAAAAAAAATCAGTGCTTCTCAATCTCTTTTGCATCCTAGTGTATTAAAAGCAGATAATAATGGGAAATACATTGTCCCATGCACATTTAAGTAGATTAACTCATTTAGTTCTCCTTTAGGTATTATCATCCTGCAGAGAAAGAAACACAGCCAAAGAGGTGTTAAGGAACCTCCCTACAGTCTTATAGCTGGTGAGTGCAAGGCTGGGAGGGGAACCCAGGCCTCACCTTACCCAGCACTATTGGACTCACTATTGTGGCCAGATTAGCAAGAGGCTCTCAAACAAACAAACAAACAAACAAAGAGTCCTATTTGTAGCCATGTCAGCTGATTTCCACAACACTCCCTCTAGGGCTGCTTTTAAGACTCCAGTGAGAGTTCAACTGGCTCCCACACTTCCTGAAAACGAATCATCTGCTTTCAGGGGTGGAGATGAGCTGGCTCCAACACCGTGTCTCTGTATTTTCAGTAGCAACAACTGAGAAGCGTGTGCTGGGTCCAGCTGACTTGACAGATATTCCCGCTTCTGGGTGTCTGGGAGGCTTTCCAGGGATAGCTGGCCGCTTCTGCACCTGTCTCCCTGGTTCCATCACTGGCTCCTGTGTCACTTCTCCTTTGTGGCGGGGATGGATCTTTCATGTCTTTGCAACACTGTGCCAGGGGAGTCAGGAGGGGCCCACTCTCAGGTCCGGTGGAGGACAGGTGGCCATGATGAGGTTCAGAACATACTACCCTAAAATATGACATCTTGGCATTTGAGAAAGTAGCAGAATCAGGAAGGTCTCTCTGACCCTCTCCTGCCCTCCTCCCCTGAAGCAGGCCACAAAAGAATTCTCTGACCTTCTCCTGAAGTGGGTCAGAAGACTGTCATGTAAGAGGTGCGCTTCCTATACCCAGAGGAAAGGAGTGTCCTTATCTCTGAAGACACAAAGCCACAGAGAAACTGAACAAACAGGGCTTGCTAGGTTCACCCCAGTTGATTTCCATTGGATCGTACCCCCTTTTTGTCCAATCTCACTTCTACACAATTGTCCATTCTTCATCAAACATAAAAATGCACAGGTTTCTCTGTTTCTTTGAGTTTCCATTTCTGAAGGCTCCTGTGTCATGTAAAATGTATACAGTATTGAATAAATTTGGTTATGCTTTTATCTTATTAATCTGTCTTGTTTTAGGGATCTCAGCCTGAACCTAGAAAGAAGAAATGTTTTCTCCCCTACAACAGCTTGCTTTGGCAAATAAACAAACACAAGAAAATGGATGGGATATTTTTATTTTCATTTCATTTATTTATTTTTTTGAGACAGAGTCTCACTCTGTCACCCAGGCTGCAGTACAGTGGCATGATCTCAGCTCACTGCAACCTCTGCCTCCCGGGTTCAAGTGATTCTCCTGCATCAGCCTTCCAAGTAGCTGGGATTACAGACGTGCACCACCACACCTGGCTAATTTTTGTATTTTTAGTAGAGATGGGTTTCACCCTGTTGACCAGGCTGGTCTTGAACTCCTGGCCTCAAGTGATCTGCTACCTCAGCCTCCCAAAGTGTTGGGATTATGTTGGGATTACAGGTGTGAGCCACTGTGCCTGGCCAATGGTCTTTTTGAAGGAAGGATGAGCAGAAGGGCTGCATTGATAAAAAGAGGAGGCAATTGAGAACAAATGAGGACCTAGCACCCGACAGTACTAGATTCCCACTTCTCTAGCCGAGGACCTGGACACAATGGGATAACACCCCCACCAAGGGAGGTACAGACAGTTATGGCAAACCAAGTTCCCATACCTAGGTCTCTTGAGAGAGGGAAATTTAATTTTAACACTATTAATAGCAAAATGTATATATACTCCCAAGGCCAAGCTTATTTTCATTGGTTCCTGACCTTGGCTCACAGCAGGGGCCTGGTGGTGCCCTGGCACTGGGCTGCCAGAAAGGTGCAGAGCAGGAAGGGGCACTGGGCTCCCTCTACCAAGGGTCCAGGGAGATCGGCAGGGCTTGGCCTTTTCCATATTTGCACTCAGGCTTCTAGGTTGATTCTCTGGGGACTGATCTTGTGGCATTCACACTGTGCCTCAATACAGCGTTCCTCGAGTTCCCGGCCTGGCTGTGAATTTTGCTTGATGTCCTCGAGTGCCTTAGAAAGAAATTAAATCAACGCTAATGAAATCAGCCCATGAGTTTTCTGAGGAGGAGGAGGGAGGTGACTTGCTTGTGACCACTTCTGTTGAGGTTGCTGTCACGCAGAAAGAGAATTTGGGGGTAAAACATAGGAGAACCAGAGTAGGATGTGCGGATTTTATTATTTTTAATTTAATTTAATTTTATTTTGAAACAGAGTCTCACTCTGTCGCCCAGGCTGGAGTACAATGGCATGATCTCGGCTCACTGCAACCTCTGCCTCCCGGGTTCAAGCAATTCTCCTGCCTCAGCCTCCCGAGTGGCTGGGAATACAGGCACCCGCCACAATGCCAGGCTAATTTTTGTATTTTTAGTAGAGACGGGGTTTCACCATGTCGGCCAGGCTGGTCTCGAACCCCTGACCTCAGATGATCCACCCGCCCCAGCCTCCCAAATTGCTGGGATTACAGGCGTGAGCCACTGCGCCCAGCCAGATGTGTGGATTTTAAATTTCAGTTTTTGTTTTATTGATTCAGGTGGGTTTTCTCGGGGAGTAGGGTTGCTGCGAAGGGGAAGTCTTTCCTGCGCTCTGCCCTCGTCTGCTGCTTCTGTGTTTGCTTGTGAAACTGCTCAAGGTCCCCCTTTCAATTCCGCTCTCTGGATTCCAGTGCTTTTCCAGTTTCAATTTCCACTGAGAAAAAAACCTCATTCCGTGTCATATTACATTAGGGGCAAGAACTGCTTTGGGGGTGTAAGGGGACAAGGCGGGGGGCCTCACCTGAGGCGCAGGCCAGTGAGGCGGGAAATGGCGCTCTCCATCCCAAGACAGGGTCTGCGCCTGCTTCCGGCCTGGTGGACAGCACCTTCATCATCGCCGCCATCGCAGAGCCGCTCGCTGCACTTTCCCCTCTTTCCTGAGGGTTCTCTCCCGGCTCCAGACAGAGTGATTAATGGCCCCTTGGGCCAACTCTAAAAGACTGAGGAGACAAATATACCTCATCCATGGGGAAACAAGCCCCGGGACATATATTATCTAGGAAAAATGAGGTAGCCAATGAGCTATATTGCATTGGGTATTACCAGCTTTATTGTAGAACTTTATTTGGTTAAAAAAAAAGTATGAATATATTCATACATACACACACACATATATACACACACATATATATGGAGACAGGGAAAGAGAGGTCTCTAAATGTGTACTTATAGATTCTTTTTTTTTTTTTTTTTTTTTTTTTTTTTTGAGACAGAGTTTCACTCTTGTTGCCCAGGCTGGAGTGCGGTGGCGCTATCTCAGCTCACGGCAACCTCCGCCTCCCGGGTTCAAGTGATTCTCCTGCCTCAGCCTCCGGAGTAGCTGAGATTACAGTCATGCGCCACCACGCCCGGCTAATTTTGTATTTTTCGTAGAGACGGGGTTTCTCCATGTTAGTCAGGCTGGTCTCAAACTCCCGACTTCAGGTGATCCGCCCGCCTCAGACTCCCAAAGTGCTGGGATTACAGGCGAGAGCCACCACACCCAGCCTTACATATAGATTCTTATATATATGTAATATATATACATATTTATTAAAAACAACAGGAAGCAACCACAAGATATGAGGATATTATTAAGGGATAGCTTTTCTTAGATTCTTTTTCTTTTCTTTTCTTTTTAAGATGGAGTCTCGCTGTGTTGCTCAGGCTGTAGTGCAGTGGCGCGTTCTCGGCTCACTGCAACCTCCATCTCCCGGGTTCAAGCAATTCTCGTGGCTCAGCCTCCTGAGTAGCTGGGATTACAGGCACGCGGCACCACACCGGGCTAATTTTTGTATTTTTAGTAGAGGTGGGGTTTCACCATGTTAGCCAGGCTGGTCTCAAACTCCTGACCTCAAATGATCCACCTACCTAGGCTTCCCAGAGTGCTGGGTGTGAGCCACTGTGCCGGCCTCTTTTTCTTGTTACAAAATGTGGAGAAGACTTAATACAAGTAGGTATAAGCAAAAAAGAAAATAAAAATGATCTGTACTTTTTTATTCACACAAATAAACCACCACGGACAATTTGGTGTGTATCTTTCCAGTTATTTATCTAGGCTTCCAGAAGGGTTTCTTGAAGTGATTAGGATTATATTGTGCATACAGAGTTATAATTGCTTTTTAAAACTTAATATATTGTGAGGATTAAATAAGAAAAAATTACTAAAAAGCTTTTAACACACTTCCTAAAAGTATCTATGAAATTAAAGTTAGCCATTATAGTCCTTATTATTTTCTTTCTGCATCAAATATCATTATTTTATTTTATAACTTCATTTATTAAAACTTCTAGTTTGTTTCCAGTTACCATGTTATAATGAACATTCTTGTGAATAAATTCTCGCACACAATCATTATTATTTCTTTAATATACTGTCATGTATCACTTAATGACAGGGATACCTCCTGAGAAATGCATCATTAGGCAATTTCGTCATTGTGTAAACATCATAGAACGTACTTACACAAACCTCTGGCAGAGCCTACCACACACCTAAGCTGTACAGTACAGTCTATTGCTCCCAGGCTACAAGTCTGCACAGCATGTTACCATACTGAATATTCCAAGCAATTGTAACACATAGGAAGTATTTGTATAGCTAAACATAGAAAAAGTACAGTAAAAATATGATATAAAAGATTAAAAAAAGGTACACCTGTCTAGCATGCTTACCATGAACGGAGCTTGCAGGACGGGAAGTTGCTCTGGGTGAGTTGGTGAGTGGTGAGTGAATGTGAAAGCCTGGGATATTACTGTACACTACTGTAGACTTTAGAAACACTGTACACTTAGGCTACACAAAATTTGTAAAAACAAAAAATTCTTTCTTTCTTCATTCTTTCTCTTCCTTTCTCTCTCTCTTTCCCTTTCTTTCTTTCCTTCCTTCCTTTTCCTTCTTTATTTTTGCGATGGAATCTTGCTTTGTCACCGAATCTTGCTCTGTCACCCAGGCTGGAGTGCAATGGAGCGATCTCAGCTCACTGCCACCTCCACCTCCCAGGTTCAAGCCATTCTCCTACCTCAGCCTCCCGAGTAGCTGGGACTACAGGCGCAAGCCACCACACCTGGCTAATTTTTCTGTATTTTTAGTAGAGACGGGGTTTCACCATGTTGGCCAGGCTGGTGTTGAACTCCTGACCTCAGGTGATCCACCTGCTTTGGCCTCCCAAAGTGCTGGGATTATAGGCGTGAGCCACCGCGCCTGGCCTTCTTTCTTTAGTAATACGTTAACCTTAGCTTACTGTAACTTATTTATTTTATAATCTTTTTAATTTTTTAAACTTTTTGACTCTTTTGTAGTAACACTTAGCTTAAAACACAAACACATTATAAGAAAAATATTTTCTTTCTGTATAACTTTATTCTAGAAGCATTTTTCTATTTTTAAATTTTTTTATTTTTATTTTTTTTTACTTTTTAATCTTTTTTGTTAAAAACGAAGACACATACACATGAGCCTAGTCCTGGACAGAGTCAGGATCATCAATATCACTGTCTTCCTCCTCCACATCTTGTTCATCTGGAATGTCTTCAGGGGCAATAACACACAGGGAGCTGTCATTTACTATAATGACAATGACTTCTTCTAGAATACCTCCTATAGGACCTGCCTAAGGCTGTTTTACAGTTAACTTTTTTTTTTTTTTTTCGAGACAGAGTCTTGCCCTGTTGCCAGGCTGGGGTACAGTGGCATGATCTTAGTTCACGGCAACCTCTGCCTTCCGGGTTCAAGCAATTCCCCTGCCTTAGCCTCCTGAGTAGCTGGGACTACAGTTACGCGCCACCACGCCCAGCTAATTTTTTGTATTTTAGTAGAGACAGGATTTCAACATGTTGGCCAGGATGATCTCGATCTCCCAACCTCGCGATCCACCGGCCTCAGCCTCCCAAAGTGCTGGGATTACAGGCGTGAGCCACCGCGACCGGCCAACTTTTTTTTGTATAAGTAGGAGTACTCTCTAAAATAATAATAAAAAGTATGGTAAATACATAAACCAGCAACATCATCATTTATTCTCATTATCAATTATGTACTGTGCATAATTGTATGTGCTATACTTTTACATGACTGGTGGCACAGTAGGTTTCTTTACATCAGCATCACCACAAACACGTGAGTTATGTCTGTGCTATGACGTTATGATGGCTACGATGTCACTGGGTGGCAGGAATTTTTCAACTGCATTATAATCTTATGGGACCACGGTAGTATATATGGTCCGTTGTTGACTGAAATATTATGTGGAACATGGCTGTAGCTCCTGGAGGAGGATTGCTGTGTTGAAGGATATTCACTCATTTGTTGAAAAACTTTTTATTGAGCATTTACTATTTGCTGCCAACTATCATAGGAACCAGAAATAACAACCAGAGTAGTAAGACACACTTGGTACCTGCCCTGGTGAGTTTATATTCCAGGGAGACAGAAAAGCAAGCAATTGCAGGGAATTCAACACAAAGCAACTTAAAATGGTAAAGAAACATGAAAAGGTGTTCAACGACTCCAGTAGTGAAGGAAATGCAATTAAAATAACAATGAGGTGTCGCTTTACACCTAGTAGGCAGACTAAACAAAGAAGCAACAAATACCAAATGCCAGCCACAGTGTGGATGAGAAGGGTGCTCACGTATTCATCTTGCCGGCTGAAATGTGAAGTGTTGTTACAGCCTTTCAGGAAAGTAATTTGGCCACGTCCATAAAAAATAAAATGCACATATACTTTAACTCAGCACTCCAGGGAATCTATCCCACAGAAATGGTATTTAAGGACATACATTCAACAGTGTTTATTGCAGCTTTGTTCACAGTGGCAAAAAACTGGAAACAAAGAGATCAAAAGATGAATTAGGATACAGCCACACCATGGGAATGTTTATGCATTCATTATTTCTTGTATGATATTATCCCATATATGTGATGAGAAAAGGAAAATAGCTCAAAGCAATCTAAGCTATGTGAGGTATGCAGGCCCAGAGAGATGTGAGTACGGGATATCAGTCAAGCCCCCAACCCCATACCTGGGGGCAATTGTTTAAAGTCATTTTGTTCACGACTAGCTACCTCACCATTATCTTTATGTTTCTGGAATCTGTGGTACAAAGAACGATGCATAGCCAATCAACAGCTTATGTGATTTTAATGTAAATTTTTGGTAAACATCTCGGGAACTGTCTCTTCTTTCCCTTTATGGCTTTTCTTTTTTTAAGACTGAGTTTAGCTCTATCGCCCAGGCTACAGTGCAGTGGCGCAATATCGGCTCACTGCAACCTCCACCTCCCAGGTTCAAGTGATTCTTGTGCCTCAGCCTCCCGAGTAGCTGGGATTACAGGTGTGTGCCACCTTGCCCGGCTAATTTTTTTGTATTTTTAGTAGAGATGGGGTTTCACCATGTTGGCCAGGTGGGTCTCAAACTCCTGACCTCAAGTGATCTGCCCGCCTTAGCCTCCCAAAGTGCTGGCACTTCAGGCATGAGCCACCGTGCCCAGCTGTCTTCTTTCCCTTTAAAAACTCACTTTTGGAGGCTAGGTGCAGTGGCTCACACCTGTAATCCCAGCACTTTGGGAGGCCAAGGCTGGCAGATCACCTGAGGTCGAGAGTTCAAGACCAGCCTGACCAACATGGAGAAACCCCATCTCTACTAAAAATACAAAACTAGCCAGGCATGGTGACACAGGCCTGTAATCCCAGCTACTCGGGAGGCTGAGGCAGGAGAATCACTTGAACCCGGGAGGCAGAGATTGCGGTGAGCCGAGATTGCTCCATTGCACTCCAGCCTGGGCAACAAGAGGGAAACTCTGTCAAAACAAAACAAAACAAAACCAAAACTCACTTTTGGGCTGGGCACAGTGGCTAACACCTGTAATCCCAGCACTTTGGGAGGCCAAGGTGGGCGGATCACCTGAGGTCAGCAGTTCGAGACTAGCCTGGCCAACATGGTGACACCCCCGTGTCTCTACTAAAAATACAAAAATTAGCTGGGCGTAGTGGCAGGCACCTGTAGTCCCAGCTACTTGGGAGGCTGAGGCAGGAGAATCCCTTGAACCCGGGAGGCAGAGGTTGCAGTGAGCTGAGATTGTGCCATACACTCCAGCCTGGGTAACAGAGTGAGACCCTGTCTCAAAAAGAAAAAAGAAAAAAAAAACCTCAATTTTAACTGCTGCTGATGGGAGTGTATAGCAAGGGCGACTTGAATCTATGGTCCCAGGCTGCAATCCTAAAAGGTTGGCCCAAATAAACTCTCTGCTTATATTAATTTTGCCTCAGCTTCTTCCTTATATATGCATAAAGAAATTAGGGAAAAATTAGACTCAGGAATATCCTAATGATGGGTGCAGGAAATACTACCCCGAAATATGGCACCGGGGCATTTGCAAAAACAGCAGAAGCAGGAAGATGTCTCTGACCTTTTCCCTCCCTTTTCCCCTGAAGACCCTCATGTGGCAGATATCCTGTCCTGTGCCTGAAGGAAAAGAATGAACACACAGAGAAGAATCTGAACCAACAAGTCTTACTAAGTTTCCCCCAGTTTATTACCGTTAGGTCACATCCCTTTTTATCCAGCTGTGGCTGCTCATTCAGCTAACCTAAGTATCAAAAAACAGTTTTCTCTGGGTCTTTGGGTCTTCATTTCTGAAGGTTCCTAAGTCAATGTACAAATGCATTTCAATAAATGTGTTATGCTTTTCCCTTCTTAATCTGTTTGTTGTTGTTGTTGTTGTAGTTGTTACAGGGGTCTCAGCCATAAACCTTGCAATGAGTGAGAAAAATATATTACTTTTTCTCTCCTACACTAAATCATCTAATAACATGATACATTATTGAGCAAAAATAAGTAAATAAAGTTAGAGTAATAAAAGTGATATGATTCTCTTTTAGTGGAAAAGAAGCCAGCAAACTCATAAATATATGCATAAGCGTGTATGTTTTTATAAGATCAAGGAGAAATATGTGTAGAGACACGTAGCACAATGTTAATCTAGTTACCATAGGGAGATGGGATCGGGTAGATAATTACCTATTTTCCCCTACACCTTGTATTGTATTACTTCTGTAAAATATCAAATACAGTTAATTTTCACAATCAGCAGTTTTAATAGAGCATGACAAAGACTACAGGGAAGTTGGAGGGTGCTCAAGGAGCTCATAGCAGAAGCACCCAGCATCCTCCCTCTAGTTTCAATCTATATTATCCAACTGAAAGGCTGGATATAGGCCAGACTCTTGTCCAGGAATAAAGAGACCATGCATGGGCATAGGTATGACTAGTCATTGTTTTTATTTATTTATTTATTTTGAGATGGAGTTTCACTCTTGTCGCCCAGGCTGGAGTGCAGTGGCGCGATCTTGGCTGACTGCAACCTCCGCCTCCCGGATTCAAGCAATTCTCCTTCCTTAGCCTCCTGAGTAGCTGGGATTACAGGTGCCCACCACCATGCCCAGCTAATTTTTTGTATTTTTAGTAGAGACGGGGTTTCACCATGTTGGCCAGACTGGTGTTGAACCCCTGACCTCAGGTGATCCGCCATCCTTGGCCTCCCAAAGTGCTGGGATTATAGGCGTGAGCCATGGAGCCCGGCCTAGTCATTGTTTTTAAACTGTGAGGTATTATTCACATCTTGCAGTACTCTGTTGGGCTCACTCCAGTCAATTAAATAATTATAACTTGACCAGGCAAGGTGGCTCACACCTGTAATCCCAGCACTTTGGGAGGCTGAGGTGGGCAGATCACAAGGTCAAGAGATTGAGACCATCCTGGCCAACATGGTGAAATCCCGTCTCTATTAAAAATATAAAAATTAGCTGGGCATGGTGGTGGGCGCCTGTAGTCCCAGCTACCGGGGAGGCTGAGGCAGGAGAATCGCTTGAATCCAGGAGGTGGAGGTTGCAGTGAGCCGAGATCACGCCATTGCATTCCAGCCTGGGCGACAGAGTGAGACGCCCTCTCAAAAAAACAAATAATAATTATAATAATAATTATAACTGGAGCACAGAATTTAACATAGGTTATATGTACTCCAGAAAAAGGTCAACTTTGAACTCTGGAACATTCCACTCTCTGATCTTCAAGTTTTTCATCCATACGGTGTGTACCTTCCCATAATCCACTCATAGAATAGTCAGTAGGATCACATGAGATAAAATCTAGGAAAATGCCTAGCACAAAACCTGGCACAAGGCAAACATTCAAAACATAAAGAACAAAGCAAGGCCAGGTATGAGGGCGCTTTGGGAAGTGAGGGGCATGATACCAAAGCGAGGCCTTACAAAAGGCAGTGCCAGTGTTAGAACCCTCAGGACTCGGCATCCTCATCAGTTCCTGGGTGTGCTTTGTGCATACTAATACTGCAAAAGTTTAACCAAGTTCAAGAAAATGGTATTCATCAGACGGCCAGGAGAATGAGGAACTGGATGAAGTGAAGCTCTTGCTCCAAAGGAATGTCTGGCACAGAGTCCTTGTTTCCAGAACTTTCCAGCGCTGGCAGGTGTGAGATTGTGCAGTCACTGAGCGCCTTGCCAAGGAGATTCGGTGCTAACTGCTGAACATGAAGGGGAAAGTCCCTTGGTGGGCCGTGTGTGCTGTTAAAGGCAAGTCACAGAAGAGGGTACAATAAATACCAGTTCCAAAAACACTTTGCAGGCTTTGGGTCTTGGCCAATTACAGAGGCGGAGTGTTTTGGCCCGCTTCAAAGTATGGGAGAAAAGAGTGATGAGACAAAGCTCATCTCCTAGCATTCCTTTTATAACGTTCTGCGTGCACCAGGGGTCTCATAGCACAAGGTGAAAATATTTGAAAAGAAAGGAAAAGAAAAAAAAAGGACTGGTTTATATTCATAAAGCTGAAGCCTTTGAATATCATCTTTTCCTCCCTGTACCCACCTTAAACACAGTGAGGGTTCCAGCCTTCTTTGGAGTCCAGCTTTAATTATGCTGCACAATTATTCTTGTTGTATGCTTTGACCTTGAGTTAGAGATCTGCTTCCAAACAACTCCCAGTCTCAATTCTTCCTAGTGACAAAATGGAGCTACTGCAGTGGATGATGAATGCATTCACAGGTACCCCACTTACGGAAGGGGAATGAGACAGGGGTGCCCTTGGGTCTGCAGGTCGGCCAAGGTGAAGCGCAAAGGATGTGACTGTGGCCAAACAAATGCAGGCATTTTGGTTCTGAGTTTCGTTTTTCCTGGTCAGCCTCTTTTCCTACCCCTCTTTAATCTGCCCCAATGCTTGATGGCATAATTATTTCAAGGTAGGTAATGATGGAAAGCCCGGTAAACAACTGACCTCAAACAAAACCCTCTCCTGTTCTTACATCCTGTGGTCAGCAGAGGTAGCAAGGTAGCAATTAATTAAACTTTTAATGCTTGCTGTTTCTGTTGGCCACAAACCCACAAAGGCTTTGGTGTAAAAACAGTGGCCACTAATCACAGCTCTCTGTTTCCCTGGGTTTAAGTGAATAAATAGGAGAATTGAAAGTACTGCGTATTAAACAGCTTTAAAAAAATCAGCCACGAAACATGGTGAAAACCCGTCTCTACTAAAAAATACGAAAAATTAGCCGGGCGTGGTGGCGGGCGCCTGTAGTCCCAGCTACTCGGGAGGCTGAGGCAGGAGAATGGCCTGAACCTGGGAGGCGGGGCTTGCAGTGAGCCGAGATCGCGCCACTGCACTCCAGCCTGGGCGACAGAGCAAGACTCCGTCTCAAAAAAAAAAAAAAGAAAAAAAGAAAAGAAAAGATTGAGAGGAGATTAGCTACTCTTGGCTCTGTCCCCTAGCCAAGGAGCAAGGGGGGACAAGGAGAATGGGGCCTCTGCACTTCCGGATCTGTGTCCTCCCGCAGCGGAGCAGCAAAAGACTCCACCATCCCAGCTTCTCTCCCGTTGATAGATACAGCAAACTAAATCCTCTCCAGCTCTTTCTGGGCAGAATAGCTCACATTTATATCTGATGTGGCCTCATTTTCCATTAGCATTTTTTAAAACTCCCTTTCACTACAGAGAGACAGTTCTTTTTCTTTCCTGTGGAATTAAGTTCTAACACATGACCGAGGAGGTAGATCGCTCCTCAACAGAAAGTCTGGGCGTTGTATACATTGGAATAAAATTAGCTCTGTGAGGGTGACGTATCCAGCACCTCAGTGAAAATAAGAACACTCTGAATCGAAAACCAGGATTGGCCTTAAAAAGGAAAAGGAAGAAAATCACATCTATAAAGCATTTGATAGCTTATACAATTTTTTAAGTGAAAATTTTGGGGTTTTTCTTTGGTTTGGTGTAAGTTTTACAAACAATCCATCGAAGGAGGTATTGTATGAGTTTCATTTTACAGTTAAGGAACTTGGCTTAGAAATATTAAGTGATTTACCCCACTCTCACAGCTAATAAATAGTGACTTACGCCACCCACCTAACTAGTAAATAGTGGCTTATCCAACTCACTCAGCTAGTAAATAGTGACTTACCTAACTCACCCAGCTGGCCAATGGAAGAACCAGGACTGGAATCCAAGCCCTTAACCAAACTTAGCTTGTTCCTTTCACCCCTGCCACTGCTGTTTACGGGGTCTCTGTGGGCTTTGATGCTTTCAGCAGAATGGGAGCCTGTCTGTCTCTACCATCTCTACTCAGACAGTTGACTTTGTACGTTCCTATTATTTTAGGGCTTTCCAGAAAGGCACAACCCAGAGGCATTTGGAACTCGCTGGTAAAAATCAACCAGCGTGATTAGCGTTATTTCAACAGGTGAGGAGACTGCCCTTCCGATTGTTGAAGCCGGAGTCCAGACATTTAGGGAAGCCACTGCTTGAGTCCTCTCTCACCAGTGATTAGGCTGTGCTCAGCCCAGGCAGCTCAGGAAATAGTATGAGAAAAGCTTGAACTCAGAATACATAGTGAAGGACGTACACATTTCCTAGAAATTCTGTAGGGAAAACAGCACATGCTGTTCTTTCCCTCTTCTGTTGCTGATATGGGGACACACTCTGTGAGTGTTTCATCAGTGACTAGTAATAACTCGATGGCCACTGGTCAAATTCCACCCTGTGGTCTCTAGCTAGATAGCCTAGGTGGCTTACAGGGGTTGCTGGTGCCAGAAGCTAGAAAACTGACCAGGACTCACATTATATATGTTTCACCATAATGCTCTGAAAATGATCAACTAGTGTTAAGGATTTGATTACTAAATAGCATTCTTTTCTTTTACATGGATAGCCTAAAATGGTTTTTATTTGCATTCAAAAGTATGTGATACTGATTTTATACCTTAGTTTAATTAATTTTTTTTTTTTTTGAGACAAGGTCTCACTCTGTCACCCAGGCTGGAGTGCAGTGGCATGCTCACGGCTCACTGTAGCCTCAGCCTCCTGGGCTCAAGCAAGCCTCCCACCTCAGCCTCCCTAGTAGCTGGAACTACAGGTGTGCGCCACCACACCCAGCTAATTTTTGTATTTTTGGTAGAGATGGGGTTTTGCCATGTTAGTTTAATTCTTATGTATTTATTTAGCACCTATGAAATAAATTACTCTCATTCCCTGTATCCTGTGTGTCTAATATTGGTATGTGTTCATTTATATTGGTTTATATATGTATATACATTTGGATCACTTGTGGGGAAGAAGAATACAAACTACTGAATCTACACTGGACGAATAAGAAAATATCTACTAGCTGGGATTATGGGTGATTTTGTTTCTTTCAGTCTCATAAATACAAAATCCATTAAAAAACATGAAAGAAAAAATTCATTACTGCCCAAACATCCATCTCGAAACAAATCTCCCCAACTGCCTCACAATCTCTTGCTGGCTATTGACAAACAACATACATTAACATAATCGAGATAATTAAGTGCGGTACCAGGTACTGTTACCCTGCAGTCTTCTGCAGTTCAGAGACTGCCAATTTCCACTCCGTCCTAACCGCCTGAAGGCGTGGAGATTAACACCTACAAAGTGTGGTGGCTTGAATATAGATGAGGGGAGAGAGACAGGCTGCTCCTTTTGATGAAAACATTAGAAGAATAATTATTACAATAGTGAAATGGCCTAAGCTGTCTGTTAAGGTTTTTTTTTTTTCTCCTCCAGTTCACTACGTTATCTCTGAAACTTTTTTTTTATTCTTCCATATGGCAAATTACTGTCATTGGAAATCTTATATACTTCAAGTTGAGAACATTTTGTATGGATTGAGTTAGTGGCCCCCAAGACAGGGTAATTTTCATTGTTGCTGAGGGGAGGAGAATATTACTTCTGGAGACCCAGCAGGCATTTTATTAAACAATTGCACCAGCTGGAAACAAATTATTGCCTTTATTCCAAGCTACCATTTAGGAGTTCGATGCTTTCATTTCAGTGGGAAGTAAGTGTTCGGACAGCTAGGGTTTGTCAACAGCTAGGGCTCGTCTGTTGGTGGATTTCTTAGCAGGCCAACCTCGACCTAGTCAGGACCAGCTTTGAGGCCATTGGCTGCTGTTTTTACAATAAGGCTGTGATTACATTTAACTTAGAAACTGATTTCACTGTGTCTCCTTTCCCTGTCTAAGGCTCTAAAATATTTATGAAGGCACAGAGGGAGGGAGACACATATATTGGACAAGATTCAAATACAATATTAATGCACGCCTACTTCAGCTGCGGTTTCTACAAAACTATTACATATATAGACTAATGCTATAGCCTCTGGGGCCCACCTCTGGTATGAGGTAAGGGAAGAAGCAGATACTACATTTTTGCAAAGGACAAAGAAATGCTGGTCATTATTTCCAAAGGCCTTGTGATCCAATACTTGGTTCTGTTCAAAAACATGCATCAGCCAAAAGTAGCATAGACCATGTTATCAGCTAATATCTTCATTCTGTATTTTAGTAGGAAAATAAAGTATATCAGGACAGTGTAATTTGGAAGGGTGGAGATAGCCACATAATTTCCAGGGCAGGGAAAAGAGTGCTCTTTGGTGCATTTTTGGTGGAACTGATCTGTTCTGGCAGTGACTTCTAGCTTCCTTTTTTTTTTTTTCTATGTATAGTCATTTTTTTTTTTTTGTATTGGAAAAATACAGCCCAAGACCCTGAAAGCTGAGAATGACTAATGGGAACACTGCCTATTGCTTTCTTATTAGAATTTGCTTACTGCTAGCTTCTTGCTGGATACCTGCTTATTAGAAAAATTAAATGCTGGCCGGGTGCAGTGGCTCACGCCTGTAATCCCAGCACTTTGGGAGGCGGAGATGGGCGGATCACGAGGTCAGGAGATTGAGACCATCCTGGCTAACACAGTGAAACCCCGTCTCTACTAAAAATACAAAAAAATTAGCCAGGCGTGGTGGCGGGCGCCTATAGTCCCAGCTACTGGAGAGGCTGAGGCAGGACAATCGCATGAACCCCGGAGGCGGAGCTTGTAGTGAGCGGAGATCGACCCACTGCACTCCAGCCTGGGCGACAGAGCGAGACTCTGTCTAAAAAAAAAAAAAAAAAAAAAAAATCTGGGGGTGGAGAGGGTCTTTTGGTCATTTCATTTCTTCAAAATCTGTCAAAATCTGCTGTGCCTTTGACCTGATTGATTAAATTTAAAAAAAACCCTCTGTGTAATTGTGTGAGTCAGGAACCCAGATAATTTTCTCAACCAAATCATCCTCCTCAATCCTCTCCTAGGTCCACCCTCGTCTTATAATTTCTCAAGGGAGACAGAAGTCAATTCTCGGTAAACCAGCAGCTTTTTCTAAGATGATAAAACTGAGACAAAACTAAAACCTTGGACTAGATTAAGTGGGAAGGTGGAAAGGGAGAGCCTTGCTCTTTAGATTGCAGTTTCAGGAAATCAGCTAGATGGAATCCCATTCCAGAGGCTCAGAAGCTAGCTGTCAGTAAAGGTGTTCCCACTGTTTTGAGCATAGTGGGAGGATAGAGCTGAGTTTGGTGGCAGTCCCTTAATTCTTTCTCTGTGAAACACAAGTCAAGTCCCTGGTGAGAGGTTGTGACCACCTCTCCTATGGTTTGAATGTGTCCCTGAAATTGTATGTGTGGAAAAACTTCAACCCCAAATGTATATATTGGTGGTATTCAGAGATGGAACTTTGGGGAGGTTATAAGAGTTCAATAAGATCATCATGGTGGGGGACCCATGATGAGACTGGTGGCTTTATAAAAAGAAGAGAGACCTGAGCTGGCATGCATGCTCTTGCCCTTGCACCATGTGATGCCCTTTACCTCTGCATTATGATTCAGCTGAAGGCCCTCTTCAGATGCCAGTGCCATGCTCTTGGATTTCCCAGCCTCCACAACTGTAAGAAATAAACTAGAAATGCATTTATTTTTTCTTTCTTCTTATTCTTCTTCCTCTTCCTCCTCCTCTTCCTCTTCTCTTTCCTCTTCTCCTTCCTTTTCTCCTCCTCCTCTTCCTCCTTTCTCTTCCTCCTCCTCCTTCTCTTCTTCTCCTTCTTCTTTTTCCTCTTCTCTTTCCTCTTCTCCTTCCTCTCCTTTTCCTTCTTCTTTTCCTCTTTCTCTTCCCTCTTCTCCTTCCTCCACTATTATTTCTCCTTCTCCTCCTCCTCCTTCTTCTTCTTCTTCCTCTTCCTGTTCCTCCTCTTCCTCTTCTTCATCATCATTGCCATCATTGTCATCGTTGTCGTTGTCATCCTCCTCTTCTTCTTTTTCTGAGACAGTGTCTTACTCTGTCACCCAGGCTGGAGTGCAATCATGGCTCACTGTACCTCGAACTTCTGGGCTCAGGAAATACTCCTGCCTCAGCCTCCTGAGTAGCTGGGATCACAGGTGTGTGCCACTGTCCCCAGCTTATTTTTTAAGTTTTTTGTAGGGATGGGGTCTTGCTATGTTGCCCAGGCTGGTCTCAAACTCCTGAGATCCAACCGATCTTCCCACCTTAGCCTCCCAAGCTATTGGGATTACAGGTGTGGCCAATAAATTTCTTTTCTTTATAAATTATCCAGTCTCAGGTATTCAGCTATAGCAATGGCAAACATAATAAAATAACCTCCTACTCTATTTAATTTGGCTGGTTTGTTGGTCCCATGAAGATATTCCCTTCCTCTCCGCCTGCAGTCCCTCTTCCTAGGCAAACAACACTTCCTCAGGAAGCCAAGAGAGATGCTTCTTGCCTTTTCCAGAACCAAAAGAGGAGCTGACATCAGGTTTGTGTGGTGGGGCCGGTGTGAGATCTTGTATGTGAGGAATAGAATTGCAGAAGCTCAATACAAGTGAGCATCTGTATGTGTGGTGGTGTTTGAAATTTAACAAAAAATCAGTTTAAAAAATTGATTACCTGTGTCTGTTTTGTGTGGCTGCTATAACTGATGACCACTAACTGGTGGCTTAAAACAACAGAAACTTATTCTCACAGCTCTGGAGGCTAGAAGTTTAAAATCAAAGTGTCAACAGAGCTGTGAAGGCCCCAGGGAAGAATCTGTGTTTGGCTCTTCCAGTTTTTGGTGTATGTTGACATTCTTTGGCTTGTAGCTGCATCACTCCGGTCTCTGCCTCTGTCTTTCTATCACGTTTTTCTCTTTATGTCTCTATTAAGGATACTTGTCATTGGATTTAGGGCCTATCTGGATAATCCAGAATGATCTTCTCCTCTCAAGGTCCTTAACTTAATTGTACATGCAAAGACCCTTTACCCAAATAGGTAACATTCACAGGTTCTGGAGATTAAAACGTGGACATATCTTTTTTGGAGCCACCATTTAGCCCACTATAGAACCCCCAAACTGATGTTCGCTCATATAAGAACGTACTTGGAAGAGATGTACTATTATAAATTGGTTGATTGATCTGCATAAATTTATTTCTTTACTTATATGTTTCAATTTGTTCCAGAAAGGTTTTTTAAAAATGTTTTTTAATTTTTAAACTTATTTCAATAATTTTGGGGGAACAGGTGGTTTTTGGTTACATGGATAAGTTCTTTAGTGGTGATTTCTGAGATTTTGGTGCACTCGTCACCTGAGCCATGTACACCGTACCCAATGTGTAGTCTTTTATTCCTCACCCTCCTCCCACCCTTTCCCTCAAGTCCCCGAAGTCCATTATATCATTCTTATGGCTTTGCATCCTCATAGCTTAGCTCCCACTTATAAGTGAAAACATGGAATATTTGATTTTCCATTCCTGAGTTGCTGCAAATGCCATTATTTTGTTCCTTTTTATGGCTGAGTAGTATTCCATGGTGGATATATACCACATTTTCCCTATTTACTCATTGGTTGATGGGCATTTAGGTTGGTTCCATATTTTTGCAATTGCAAATTATGCTGCTATAAACGTGCATGTGCAAGTGTCTTTTTCATATAACTACTTATTTTCCTTTGGATAGATACTCCATAGTGGGATTGCTGGATCAAATGCTAGTTCTACTTTTAGTTCTTTAAGAAATCTCCACATTGTTTTTCATATGGTTGTACCAGTTTTCATTCCCACCAGCAGTATAAAGTGTTCTCTTTTCACCACATCCACACCAATATCTATTTTTTTTTTTATTATGTCCATTCTTGAAGGAGTAAGGTGATATGTCATTGTGGTTTTAATCTGCATTTCCCTGATAATTAGTGATGTGGAGCATTTTTTTCATGTGTTTCTTGGCCATTTGTATAACTTCTTTTTGTAATTGTTTATTAATGTCCTTTGCCCACTTTTTGATGAGATTTTTTTTTCCTTGCTGATTTGTTTGAGTTCATTGTAGATTCTGGATATTAGTCTTTTGTTGGATGAAAAAGGTTTTAAGATAAATACACAGAATGTACATTGTTTATGAAGAGAAATGATTTGTCATCTAGGTTTAGTATTATTCTTGCAGATACACTCTATGCTTTTTGGGGAATTGTAAGCCCTTATGGGGTTCTGCAAGCACAAAGAGCACCCATTCACAAAAAGAGGGAAAGGATATTTCTGCTATTGCCTTGTCCATATTCTACCACGAACCTCATCATTCCAGTTGTGCCTCACCTCCTGGTAAGATTCCCCCACAAGCCCTTTCAAAGACAATGATTCTCTACTCTCTTGCAATTGTAGATACTTGTTTACTGTTTTTTGACTTGTGTTAATTTAAAGGAGGTTAAGGGGAGAAAAGTCCTCAATATTCCAGAATACTCACTGGCAAGGTGGCCACAGATGAAGAGACAGAGGGTCTTAAGTGACTAGCATACACTTCTTTGTCTTACAACAGACAGTGCAGCCAACAAGCTCAAATGGCCATAGTGACGAGGCCTTAAAACGAAAGCCATGTCCCCTCTTCCATGTGCTTCTTCTTCTCTCTGTTCCCTGAAGGTCACAAGCCATTCCTGTCTTGTACATCTTCTATTCTGCGTGGCACTATGAGTAAACTGAGTCAGGATCCCTTGTAGGGCCCAGCCATGTGTTAAATGCAAGCTCCCACAAACATGTCAAGTGTGCCAGTCCTGATTCTTGGGTTTAGTGGTAAAGGGTAAGTGGAGTTCTCACTTAGACCTGGAGCCTGCAATCCTGGTTTCATCAGAGAAGCCAGCATTGGGAGTTTCAGAATACTTCTGCCATTATTAGGAATGATAATTTTGATTTTTATCCTGGCATTGTTCTTTGAGTATCACTTCCTCCAGAATCCTTTTGGAAGATGGGGTGTTTGCAGTAAGGGCTCAGATGTTCCTGGGTTCCCAGTCATAATGCCTTCAAAACAGTATCAAAACCTCTCTTAGGAGATACTCATTTCTTTGATTGGCTCGATGAAATATTTTACTAATTTTAATTGACATCTTGCATCATAAAAAGGAGTGCTTCTTGAGAAACTATGAATGCTAAACCAAGCCCCATGCTGCACCTTCACCAGGGCCTGTGCCAAGTACTTAATAGACTGCAAAGGGAAAGAGGCCCAAATATCAACTTGGACTGTGACCAATCAGATCAGCATTTCCTCCTAGGAAGGCAAAAAAAAAAAAAAAAAAAAAAAAAAAGCAAAGGCAATTATGTTCTGGAATGAGCAAAAAACATTTTCCATTTCCCTCCGTACTTCTTTCAGTTACCTTGGTCAGATTGAACTTGGGTGTGGGGTGTGACGGTCCCTATCTCATTCTGATATCACTCTGTTGGGTCAAGATGTGATCGAAATCTGTGGTCTGACTTAGGTGGGCTGCCATGGGGACCTTAACCTGTCTGGGATCTTAGTCTGACATTTCTTTCCTGAAGTGTCATTTTCTCTGTAGCTTGTGTTTATGCTTAGTGAAGAGTTTCCCTGTACTGATCCAAGAAGCACCAGTCCTAAGAGCTTCTTCGACAAGAAGAAGAAAGAGTCTGGCATCCCACACGTTTGAAAACTCAGAATACTATAATCCTCCCTCAGACAGTCATATAAGAATAAAAAGCCTCCTTAACCTTGCTTAATGTGAGTTCCCCAAACTTATTTATAGGAAGAGTCACGTTCTGTAAAATACTGGAATGGTAGAAGACATATTGGACTTTGAAATAAAAGGCCTGTGTCTGGTCTCTACTCTGTGATTTTCTGACTGTTTGCACCAGATAAGTTATTAGGGAGCCTCAGTTTCCTTATATACAAAATGGGTATACAAAACACTGGCCCTACCTGCATACCATGGTTGTGAGAAACAAAAATGTCTATGAAACCATTTATAAAAACAATAATAAGCTATTCAAAAATATTCTTAAGTATATGTACCTCTATAACAGAAGTTGGCCTAACTATGGCCCACAGACTAAATTTGGTTCATTGCCTGATTTTATAAATAAAGGTTTATTGGAACACGGCCATGCTCATTTGTTTACTCATCATCTATGGCTGATGATGAGCAACAATGGCAGAATAGAGTAGCTGAGACAGAGACCATATGGCTCACAAAGCCCAAAATATTTACTATTTGGCCTTTCACAGAAAAAAAATTACTGATCCTGATCTACAATAAGAAATGATTTATATTCAAGGACATGTCATGTCTGTAGGAGGAGAAATGACATAGATATGGTCAGCTCCACCTGAGGGCAAGCCGTGAAGTGGGAACAGGGCCTAGGTTCTTGTCTCAGGATGCCCAGGTGGCTCTGTGTCCCCCACCAGGTAGAGCAGGTGGTTAAGGTCTCAAAGCCTAGCAGGAAGGTGCTGAAATACCAGACACAGACTTTCTCCAGATAATAACTTGGGTGACGAACATGGCCGGACACTTACAGCAAATCCTGGAAGAGTGCCCAGGCCACCCCGAGTAGAAGGAGGAGCTCAAGAGTACAGCTCTAGGCCTTTGGAAGGGGCAGAGTGACAGTTTGTCACAAATGTATTATTGCAAGTTGCAGCTCAGAGCATAATATTTCTATGAGCTTCTACAAACCTTGGGGACCAGAGACAGGTAATCACTCTCAAAAGATCAATCCAACATTGAAACGTCATGGTGACACTTGCAAACGTTTCATCCTTAGGTCCCCCCTGGTGTGGTGGCTGACATTTATGACCACTGAGTACCCACTTTCAGGGTGGTTCTGCATTCTGAAAATTCATCTCAACAACTTTCTAGAGCTCGGCACCCTAAACTCAGCGGCCTCATGTTCACAGACTAAGAAGCAAACAGCAAAGCACAGAAACAAGGGATTTCTTCCCGGAAAGAAGAATGTTCCCCACTTAGTAGATGGATGAGTAGTGGGATAAGAGCCCTAACTCCAGGAGCCAGATTATGGTGTATCGCTAAGGTCTGTGTTTCAGTCGCTCCAGTCATGAACTGCTAACAGCATCTGGCGTCCATAACCCTTAGTAGAGGAATGTTTGCCGGCCTATTTGTGGAGCGTATCTCTGAGTGCACACTTAAGACACCTCATACATTTCTAGCCTTCCTCCCCACCCAGCCCGGGAGTAGAGGCTGTGATTATGTTTATGACCAGGAATGAAGAAATGTTCCGGAGAGTCACCATGACATTTCAATGCTCTGTTAATCTTTTGAGAATTGCTCTTGCAAGGGAATACTTAGCTCTGGTCCCTAGGGATTTTAGAAACCTATAGAAACAGAATCTAAATCACAACTTGGGGGTCAGACCGGCTAATTCTCATTCTGCCTGTCCCACCCTGCACAGCAGTCAACTTCTCTCAGCAATTTAGAGGCAAAGGGACTTTCCTCCTGCTTGATTTCGAGGTTCCTCTGCAGTCTGGGAGCAGTTTTATTCCCTGTGACCCCCCAGCTTTCACCTGCAGGCAGGTGTCCTTTACTGTCCTACATGCAATAGTCCAGCCTCAAGCCCTGGTTGTCACTTTACTCCCAGTGTTTGCTTCACCTCCCACCCCAACCCCATCTTCATGAACTGTTCCTGACATCTCTGAGCACTTTTCTTGAAACTTGCTCCAAATCTAAGCTCCATTCTGCATTTCAGCATTTGATTACATACTGTTATTCACAGTGCTCTTTAAAAATTCATATTTCACTCTGTTCTCCCCAGCAAGAACATCAGCTCCTAGAAGGCAGAGACCATGTCTTTCATTCGAAGCCCCACACCAATCTAAAGTAGTCATTAGTGTGTAGTAGTTTGTGAGTAAATGCTGTTGAAATGAGACTTTTGAAGGTAGGTATTTAGGGGGGCTCTCTTTGCCTGTAACATTTTAAAAATTATGTGTTTCACAGCAATATAGTGGAAGTTCCAGGTTAAGCGTGTTGGCCATGTTCATTCTAGGACTCAGACATAACTGGTAGGGGCAGGCCTACCAAAATCTGTTAGCATTGACCCCCAAAGCAGCCTTTGCAGGAAGAGAAAGGAAAGGGGTGTGATACTGGGACAAGACTCATGGACCAGTGAGAAATGAAAGGGATATATTGCTTTTCGAGGGCTAAAAAAACAAAGTGCCATAACTTGGGTGGCTTAAAGCAACAGTTCTGGAGACTAAAAGTCTGAAATCAAGATGTTGGTAAAGCAGAGTTGGCAAAGCTCAAAGAGCTAAAAGCAGAACTACCATTCAACTCAGCAATCCCATTACTGGGTATATATCCAGAAAGATATAAAGTATTCTGCCATAAAGACACATGCATGTGAATGTTCGCTGCAGCACTATTCACCACAGCAAAGACATGGAATCAGCCTACATGCTCATCAATGACAGACTGGATAAAGAAAATGTGGTACATATACACCGTGGAATATTACACAGTCATAACAAAGAACAAGATCACATCTTGTGTGGGAACATGGATGGAGCTGGAGGCTATCATCCTTAGCAAACTAATGCAGGAGCAGAAAACCAAATACCACATGTTCTTACTTATAAGTGGGAGCTAAATGATATACACGACAAGAACTTATAAACACAAAGAAGGGAACAACAGACACTGGGATCTACCTGAGGGGCAAGGCTGGGAAAGGGAGAGGAGCAGAAAAAATAACTATGGGGTACTGAGCTCAATACCTGGATGATGTAATAATATGTACAACAAACCCCTGGGACACATGTTTCTCTATGTAACAACCCCTCCCATGCACCCCCAAACCTAAAATAAAAATTAAAAACAAAAAAAAGAAAAGCACATTTCTATTTAAATGAAAACATGTGATCTCATAATGAAATTCAAAAAGACAAATTATTTCACTTCTTTGACTGAAAGATGACTATAGAATGATCTTCACAAATTGGCATGAGCAGATCAGTTACATACAATTTGGCACTTTTAAACTTGAATCTCTCATGGTGGGTAGCATTCAACTTTTGGCTGTAAATTTCCCAAAGGTAGAATCTTTGTCTCCTTTTTAAAAGTAATAATAAATATATTTAGCATTGATGCTATCCCCATCAAGCTACCACTGACTTTCTTCACAGAATTGGAAAAAATTACTTTAAATTTCATATGGAACCTTAAAAGAGCCCGCATAGCCAAGTCAATCCTAAGAAAAAAGAACAAAGCCAGAGTCATCACACTACCTGACCTCAAACTATACTACAAGGCTACAGTAACCAAAAGAGCATGGTGCTGGTACCAAAACAGATATATAGACCAGTGGAACAGAACAGAGGCCTCAGAAATAACACCACATGTCTACAACCATCTGATCTTTGACAAACCTGACAAAAACAAGCAATGGGGAGAGGATTCCCTATTTAATAAACGGTGCTGGGAAAACTGGCTAGCCATATGCAGAAAACTGAAACTGGATCCCTTCCTTACAACTTATACAAAAATTAACTCAAGATGGATTAAAGACTTAAATTAAGACCTAAAACCTTAAAAACCCTAGAAGAAAACCTAGGCAATACCATTCAGGACATAGGCATAGGCAAAGACTTCATGAATAAAACACCAAAAGCAATGGCAACAAAAGCCAAAATTGACAAATGGGATCTAATTAAACTAAAGAGCTTCCGCACAGCAAAAGAAGCTATCATCAGAGTGAACAAGCAGCCTACAGAATGGAAGACAATTTTTTGCAATCTATACATCTGAAAAAGGGCTAATATCCAGAATCTACAAAGAAGTTACATAAATTTACAAGAAAAAAACAAACAACCCCGTCAAAAAGAGAGCAAAGGGTAGGAACAGACACTTCTCAAAACAAGACATTTATGCGGCCAACAAACACATGAAAAAAAGCTCATCATCACTGGTCATTAGAGAAATGCAAATGAAAACCACAATGAGATACCATCTCATGCCAGTTAGAATGGGGATCATTAAAAATTCAGGAAACAACACATGCTGGAGAGGATGTGGAGAAATAGGAACACTTTTACACTGTTGGTGGGAGTGTAAATTAGTTCAACCATTGTGGAAGACAGTGTGGCGATTCCTTAAGGATCTAGAACCAGAAATACCATTTGACCCAGCCATCCCATTACTGGGTATATACCCAAAGGATTATGAATCATGCTATAATAAAAATGCATGCACATGTATGTTTACTGCAGCACTATTCACAATAGCAAAGACTTGGAACCAACCCAAATGTCCATCAGTGATAGACTGGATTATGAAAATGTGGCACATATACACCATGGAATACTATGCAGCCATAAAAAAGGATGAGTTGAGTTTATGTCCTTTTCAAGGACATGGATGAAGGTGGAAACCATCATTCTCAGCAAAATATCACAAGGACAGAAAACCAAACACTGCATGTTCTCGCTCATAAGTGGGAGTTGAACAATGAGAACACATGGACACAGGGAGGGGAATATCATACACTGGGGCCTGTTAGGGGGTTGGGGGCTAGGGGAGGGATAGCATCAGGAGAAATACCTAATGTAAATGATGAGTTGATGGGTGCAGCACACCAACATGGCACATGTATACCTATGTAACAAACCTGCACACTGTGCACATATACCCTGGAACTTAAAGTATAATTTTAAAAAAGTTTATGATTAATATAATGAATTGCTAATATGATTCATGACATTCAATAAATAGTTGAGTTAATGAATTGTTCAAAAATAGTTATTTAACTAATAGTTGTGTCTGGTGTATTTCTAAAATAATAATATTTGTTCAAAAAAAAAAAAAGAGCCGGGCGCGGTGGCTCACGCCTGCAATCTCAGCACTTTGGGAGACTGAGGCTGACCGATCACAAGGTCTAGAGTTTGAGACCAGCCTGGCCAACATGGTGAAGCCCCGTCTGTACTAAAAATACAAAAAAATTAGCCAGGCATGGTGATGCACGCCTGTAATCCCAGCTACTCGGGAGGCTGAGGCAGGAGAATCGCTTGAACCCGGGAGGCGGAGGTTGCAGTGAGCCCAGATCGTGCCACTCCATTCCAGCCTGGGCAAAAGAGCGAAACTCCGTCTCAAAAAAAAAAAAAAAAAAAAAAAGGAAGAAAGAAAGAAAGATGTTAGCTGAGCTATGCTCCCTCCAAATCCTCTAGGGGAGGATCCCTTTTTGCCTTTTCTAGCTTCTGATAGCCCCAGGCATTCCTTGGCTTGTGGCAGGACGACTCCGATCTCCGCTTCCGTCTCTACGTGGCCATCTGCCCTCGTGTGTGTCTCCGCCTTCACATGGTATTTTCTCTTATAAAGATATCGTCATACTGGATTACCCCTATTGACCTTAATTTGATTATAGTTGCAAAGCTCTTATTTCCAAATAAGGTCACATTCACAGATATTGAGAGTTAGGATTTCTATGTATCTTTTTGGGGGACATAATTTAACGAATAATGAGAAGCATTTTCAATTAGAGAGTTATATGTTATTCTTTAATAGCATTCTTAACCAGACTTCAAGGACTGAGCTAAAACTCTTAAGAAGTCAGTACAAATAGAAGACCTTTAGAAAGCATTGGTTTGGTATACTTTTATTGTACAGTTATAGGCTTATAACACTGTCTTGGGGCTGTGAGGAAAGTACAAGCGAGGTTAGAGGGCATTTTCTCTCCTACAGACTGGAACCTGGTGGAACCTGACTGCACGACGTGTTCTCAGCAGTGAACCAGGCCCCCCTGCCCTTGCCTGGAACAGGAAGACAGCAGGAAACCAGGCTTTGAGAGGAGAGAAGGAGGCCAAGAGGACTGTCCCTAGGTATCTTGGAGGTAAGTCAGTCCACAGCAAAGACTGTGAGGAACATTCCCTTTCTACCTGCTTCAAAATTTCCCTCCCACAAATCCCTATTTCATTTCTGCTGTAGTGTCTTTCTCATTTCCTCACCTTTCTCAGTCCCATGCTGTCTGCACTCCACTTCCTACCCTTCTTCCCCATCCCAAAAGCTGACCAAGGCATTTTATTTAAGAGGAAAATAGAAATTATTTTCTCGACTGGGAGCGGTGGCTCACGCCTGTAATCCCAGCACTTTGGGAGGCCCAGGCAGGTGGATCACCTGAGGTCAGGAGTTTGAGACTAGCCTGGCCAACATAGTGACACCCTTGTCTCTACTAAAAATACAAAAACTAGCTGTGTGTGGTGGCACACGCCTATAATCCCAGCTCAGGAGGCTGAGGCAGGAGAATCACTTGAACACAGGAGGCAGAGGTTGCAGTGAGCTGAGATCGTGCCATTGCACTACACCTGGGTGACAAGAGTGAAACTCCATCTCAAAAAAAGAAAAAAAAAGAAACAATTTTTAACTTTGGAGAGTGCCAAAGACAGGTAGATAGATAGATAATAGATGATAGAAAGATAGATAGATAGATAGATAGATAGATAGATAGATAGATAGATAGATGATAGATAGATAAATATTTTACTCTTTGTATTTTTATAGCTCTGTTGACTTTGTCTTTCACTGTGTACCTCTCAAGGAGGGTATCCTTGTCTCTAAAAATGAACAACTATCTCTTTTGCTTAGGAACAGAATCACTTGCCCGATGCTGTGGTCTCTGCGACTCTATATTCAGAGCATTTTCTTCTCTGCTCTGCCCAGTGCCATCAAAGGGGTACACACCCTGGTGGAGCTTTAGGCAGAAAAGTCCATTTCCAGAGTAAGTACGAACACCCCCTCCCTGCCCTCTCTCTTTCCCTCTCCCGACTACCGGGTAGAGGGTGGAGATTCTTAGATGCTTCTAGGTACTATCTGATGCTTCTAGAGTATTATCTGCCTCTCGGTTTTGGTGGCCTAATTTGGGGTCCTGCGGCCCTACTTTGATGTCTTGGGGTAAAACCTGGGGTGGAAAGCTGATCCCTGGTATGTGCCAGGGAGGTGCTTCTGGAGAAGGCTGCAAAGGCAAGGTTGCCTCTGCAGAAACCACAGCCCTGGTGGATTCTGCAGAGCCAGACCTCTGGGGATCTTGTGACTGGAAACCCGAGCTTCTGCTGGTCTCACAGCCCTTCTCATAAGGGGCGGAGGGAGCAGGGAAGGAATGAGCTCACCCTTCCTCTCTCCGGCCGTCTTGGCCATGCCTGTGCCCTCGCTCACCTCCTTGTCACCCAGGCCCTTGGCAGGCTGGTGCTGTCAGGGTAGGAGGGTGCTGCAGTCACAAGCCTGCCAGATCCTACTTGTTGCTTTTGCAGAGTGTATAATCAGAGAATCAGGGGGAACTAGACAAACAGAAAGAACAAAGAAAGTCCTGAGATTTGGGCCAGTTTCTAGGAACTGAAAAATCTTTGCTAAAGTGAGGGTGTCTATGGATGATATGTTCTTGCATATGTTTGTGCTGACGTGTTTACTTATAGAGGCTTAACCATTAAATCATTTTACCCCCTGAGGATGCTCTCAGAGGCAACAAATCTCTGGGAATGAAATATATCATGGCAATAAAAACTACTCATGACAGGGAGGATGCTGCTGGAGCGTGTAAAATAAATTTTAAAAACTGGGTTAAAACAGTAGGAGGCATGATAGTCTAGCAGAAATAAAAATGACAGTTGGAGATTGTCAAATCTAGATCCTTTTTTCCTGAACAATCAATGAACTATTTTTAGCCTTTATTTTTCTAGTGGGTAAAAATGATGATAACCATGCTCTCTCTCCCAGTTCTTTCCCAGAGCTTCCTCATACTCCTCAAGTCTGGAATCAATACAATGTTAAAAAGAAAAAAGAGGTCATTAGTTGAGAATTGATAAATTGATTCAACAAACTGGGTTAAGAAGAAATGATAGGGCCAGGGGAGGGGGAAGGAGGAAATTTTAGGGAAATAGAGTGTACTTTCGTGGTCTTAAAGTTTCTTGTCATACGAAATCAGCTCTGATTTTTAGCCTGATATCAGTTAGTCAAGATTAATAATAATATTGACAATTTGAGTGACCTGTAATGTACCTGGCAGCATGCTGGAGGCTCTTTCTCATTAACTACTCAGTAATCACACTATCTCCCCAAGGAAAGTGTAACACTCCTTGTATTATAGATGATGGAATGGAGACTCAAAAGACCAGATAACTGCCTCAAAGTCTCATGCTAGTGTGTATTGGAGATTGGCCAGTATACCATGCAGTGGGTTAGTGGAAATACTGGGTATCTTCAGTGTTGATGTTCAAGCCTAGGTGTTCTGTGGGCCGTTCAGCTAGTTTCTTCCTTTCTTTCTTTTAGAGACAGGGTCTTGCTCTGCCACCTAGACTGGAGTGCAGTGGTGCAATCATAGCGTATTGCAGCCTCAACTTCCTGAGCTCAAGGGATCCTCCTGCCTCAGCCTCTTAAGTAGCTAGGGCTACAGGTATGCACCACCATGCCCAGTTATTTAAAAACAAATTTTTTGTTAGAGATGGGGATCTTGCTATGTTGCCCAGGCTGGTCTTGAACTCCTGGCCTTAAACAGTCCCCCAGGCTTGGCCTCCCAAAGCACTGGGATTATAGGTGTGAACGACTGTGCCCAGCCAACTCAGCTATTTTCTATCATCTACCACGTTTTCTTCTCCCAAAAAAGCCCTCCCATGTGCCTTCTATGCTTTCAAATCCTTAGCCACTTACCTAAGTCCATTGACAAAGACTCAGAACAGAGACTTGTCGTATGGGCAAATCCAGAGACCAGACTAGGTAAGTGTGGCGGCTGGCCCAATCTGTGGACTTGAGGGCCTTCTGGCTCCTGGATCTTCCTTTCCATACAGAGACAGGCCCCAAAGGGGACAGGAGGGGTGCTGCCCCAGAGGGCAGATCCTGGCAAGTGTGCGTGATGAGGATAAAACCACCTTGGCTTAGTTCTAGGGCCTTACGTGCTCACCAGGGACAGACTGTGAGGTACACAAATGTTAGTTTTAATCTCTCCTGTGAAGTGGTTATTATGTGACCTGATCAGAAACACCCTCTACTCCAACCCTAGATGGTTGGTTTGCATTCACAGTCCTTTGGTCCACAGTCCAGAGGGAGCTCCTTCAAGGCATCGTCTCCTGGCTGTCTCTATCAGCAGTACAGGCTTTGTGCTTTAGCATAAAAGGTGTTAAAAAATACTTTTTTTGTTGAGATGAATGGTGTTCAAGATGTTTGGGCTGGCTAGCAGTAGTCTACAGGCACCTCTGCCCTAGCACAAGCAGGCTGTAGGAATGCAGTGATCCTAGTAGCTTACACTCTTCAGAATCTCATTTGGTTTGGCCCTGATTCTGTTACCTGAAACCCACAGGAAAGTAAACTGAATCCTGCTGCTAGGATTTGGGAATATATGCCTTAAGTGAGTCTTTTCCAGAAATCTCTTGTTGGGCTGCTTAAAAGGGCAGAGACCTAGGACTTTATTCACCTTCCAGACAACCTGATGTGACTGTGCGTGTGCCTGTTTACTAATAAATATTTGCAGAATCAGTCCACGATTTGCTTTCATTGTAACATATCCCTAGTGACGAGTGTGTGTGCCCATGTGTACGCATGCACATACGTGTGTATGTGTGAGTAAGAGGTGATTATGCACATTTCTTCTCAACTCTGTGCTCAGTGACATCATGAGTTAGCTTGAAATAGACAAATGCTACAAATCAGGGCTTTTTCTTTTTTTTCCCCCTGGGAAACTGGTCATTAAACATTTATCTGTGCACTGCTGCCTCAAGCCTCTGGAGACTAATTGTGAGTGGACAAATTGTTTTAGGACAGTTTGTAGCATCATTAAAATAAATCAACCTGCTTGTCCCTACCTTTAGTCCATAAGGAGGTTAAAAACAGTTTTCAATTTGTCTTATAAGAACCCTAGGGTTTTTCAATATATATGTATTAATATTTGCAAACAAGATTTAAAAATGATAAAAGGAGGCCGGGCGCGGTGGCTCATGCCTGTAATCCCAGCACTTTGGGAGGCTGAGGTGGACAGATCACCTGAGGCCAGGAGTTTGAGGCCAGCCCGACCAACAAGGTGAAACCCTGTCTCTACCAAAAAATACGAAAATCAGCCAGGCATGGTGGTGTACGCCTGTAGTACTAGCTACTAGGGAGGCTGAGGTGGGAGAATCTCTTGAACCGGGGAGGCAGAGGTTGCAGTGAGCCAAGATTCCATCTTTGCACTCCAGGCTGGGCAACTGAGTGAGACACTATCTCAAAAAAAAAAAAAAAAAAAAAAAGATAAAAGCACCACACACCTATTACAGACTACTTAGATATTAGAAAGAAGTGAAAATGCCGAAATATATCACCCTTAGTTCTACCAGCCAAAGATAATAATTTTTAAAATCGCATTTTACAAAGTTAAGTTGTGTGACCAAGCTTTATTTTTAAGAAAGCAAAACTAAGGAAGCACTCTCCTTAATTGTGTTGAAATGAGTTTTATTCATTGTGGAAAGCCAAGTGGAAAGAATAATTTTCAGTCTTTTGATCACTTAAGTTAGCCATGATTCCAAAAAGAAAACCTGCTTTTCCACAAACTTACAACAAGTGCCAGTTGCCTCCTTCTTGTCTTGGATTTCGATGTCCCCAGAAGCTATATTTTCTGTCTTCAGCGTGTTAGCAAGAGTGTCAGGGGTTATGAAGTAATAAGCTGAACTGTTCCCCAAATTCTCACAGTTTACTACCCATGAGCTTCCTGAGAAAGTCAACTAAAGTGAGTTCAGTCTTTGGAGTCATTTAAACACAAAGGGCTCTTCCAACTGCACAGTGAGAAACTCAACAATAGCTGTTGTCTTCAAGTGTCCACAGAGCTCAGCTGTCAAGGACTGGTTGGTTAAGAAACACATCTCAGGGCACATTAACTGGAGTGTGTTTGCTTTGGAACTAAGACTATTTTAGAAATAAATTGAGGATCCAGATGTAATGAAAGAAGCAGGGACAAGACTCTCTTTTTTTGTGAACAGCACTTGTAACTTGTTACCCTGCATTTCGATGCTATCACAATGCAGTTTGAGTTGAACGGCCTGCATCTGGTATTGCTTAAGTAATATCAGTGTTTCCCACTGGCTAGCCTTGTAGGGCAAGACAATCCCTCTCCTGAAAGTTCACCCACATAATGTCAAGAAAACAGCCCCTAATGATTTATTTAAAGTCATGTCGGCCAGGCACGGTGGCTCACGCCTGTAATTTCAGCACTTTGGGAGGCTGAGGCTAGTGGATCACAAGGTCAAGAGATCGAGACCATCCTGGCCAACATGGTGAAACCCCGTCTCTACTAAAAATACAAAAATTAGCCAGGCATGGTGACATGTGCCTGTAGTCCCAGCTACTTGGGAGGCTGAGGCAGGAGAATCGCTTGAACCTGGGAGGCGAAGGTTGCAGTGAGCCAAGATTGTGCCACTGCACTCCAGCCTGGCAACAGAGCGAGACTCCATCTCAAAATAAATAAATTAAAAAAAATAATGAAGTCAAGTCAGCAGAGGATTTTGTATATTCCAGAACTTCGGGATAAATGCATCACAGTGGCTATGCAGAATATTGAAGGCTGTCAGAATTACAACGAATTTGTAATTGAGGCCTTTACCTTCGTGTTGTATGTCTTCTGATGGGGGAAGGAAGGCGAGCATCAATTCATAAGCTATGGCAGAGCCCACATCACAGATGTCACAGAACACTTTGCTAAAAATGCTTCCATTCACCAAGAGAGAATTCTCATGTAAACCATGGACTTTCGGTGATGATGATGTGTCAGTGTAGGCTCATCAATTGCAATGAATGTACCAGTTTAGTGGGATGTTGATAATGACAGAGTCTGTGCATGAATGGGGGTAGGCACAGAGGGTCTATGGGAAGTCTCTGTACCTTCCGCTCAATTTTAACTTTGAACTTTAAACTGCTCTAAAACATAAAGTCTATTTTTTTTTTTTTAGATGGAGTCTCGCTCTGTCACTCAGGCTGGAATGCAGTGGTGTGATCTCGGCTCACTGCAACTTCCGCCTCCTGGGTTCAAGTCTGTCTCAGCCTCCCAAGTAGCTGGGACTACAGGCGCCCACCACCATGCCTGGCTAATTTTTTGTATTTTTAGTAGAGACCGGGTTTCACTGTGTTAGCCAGGATGGTCTCGATCTCCTGACCTCGTGATCTGCCCATCTCGGCCTCCCAAAGTGTTGGGATTACAGGCGTGAGTCACAGCACTTAGCCATAAAGTCTATTTAAAAAAACACAATCGTTTTTATTTTTTGGAGAAACCATTCCCAGGGTGAGAAGAGTCAACTGCCAGAGCTGTGGCACTTTGGGCCCATACCATGCAAGCAGAGCCTGAGTGTGTGTTTGGGTCTGCTCTGGACATTGAGTCATTAAAGAGTGGAGTTTTTTTTAAAGATCAGAAAGAAAAAATAAAGAGAGAAACTCATCTGAAAGGGGTTTTTTTCTTTTCTTTTCTCTCTCTTTTTTTTTTTTTTTTTTTTGACAGAGTCTTGCTCTGTCACCTGGGCTGGAGTGCAGTGGCACAATCTTGGCTCACTGCAACCTCAACCTCCCGGGTTCAAGTGATTCTCCTGCCTCAGCCTCCCAAATAGCTGGGATTACAGGTGCCCGCCACCACACCTGGCTAATTTTTTTTTTTTTTTTTTTTTTTTTTTTTTTTTTTTTTGTATTTTTAGTAGAGACAGGCTTTTGCCATGTTGGCCACGCTGTTCTTGAACTCCTGACCTCAGGTGATCCGCCCACCTTGGCCTTTCAAAATGCTGGGATTACAGGCATGAGCCACCGCACCCGGCCTGAAAGTCTTTGTTTTCATTAAGCATGGGAACCATTGATTTGTGAAGGTTTCCAGTTAAAAGTGACATGAGAGAAATGATGCATTTTCGTGATGGTTCCTTTGAGATCATTATTTTCTGAAGATTTAATTCATTATTTTCAATGTGGTACATACGGGTGGGGATAAAAAGGAGAAAGGAATATAGTTGAAGGCTGTGTGATCTGCCATGTGCCATGTGATCCTCCCTGCAAAACCACAAATCTCCAGTAAAATCTGTAAAGAAAAAAAAAATGGTCAGATGTCTGCCTCAAGTAGATTTATTAAAGGAATTGGAGAAGGGGCTAAGTTTTGTCTTCTGGGTGTCTCTGGGTATAACAGGGACGACCCCTGAGGGTTTATAAGAGTGAAGGCAAAAGAGAGCATGAAAGAGAATATGACTGCCGGAGGGAAAATAATTCTATTCATGCTGGCTTTCTTAACTGCAATGGTCAATTTTAGAAATATTGTTACAACCAGGAGGATCCCTCTGCTAGACACATTATACCTCTGACCTAGAAATGGCTGACATCAACACTAAAAATAGATGGGGGTTTCTTAAACAGGTTTAGTAATAGAATTTGGTTATCACAGAGCTTCAACTACCAGACCAGTTTAATCCAAAGTGAGGCCCAGAAAGTGGAACAGTGACAAGCAGGATCGCTCCAGTCATGTGGGAAAGTACAATGTATTCATCCTAGGAGATTATGACAGAAACAGAGAGATCACCTGGGGACTGACTGTGTTTACTGTGAGAAAATAGATGGAGCCCTGCAGGGAGGAAGTCATGGGATCTGCTCGGGACTTTGAACTTGGCCAGAAAATCCTGTTTTCTCTTGGCGACTGACTTCTCCACACACTACTTTTCAACATATTCATAATCACACAAGGAAGAAGGCAAGACTCTAGTACTTTTGGGTGCTCAAAGACACTTTTGGGAGAAACATATATATTAACTTCCTCTTGTGGTAGAGAGAAAGATATGGAACAGATCTGAAGACCATCTTTATGTTGGATCCATGGAAACTGGGGGGATAATGGGGTTCTGTGCTAGACCCCCGCTGACTTCAGTAGGGATGGCATCATGTTCAAGAAGCTGAGGAAGAGACCCAGAGCCAGCAAAAGAGACATGGGGTTTATTGAGGGGACTTACATGGAGGGCTGTCCAGTGGCGGTGGGCTGGACAGGAGAGCCTCAGCCTCTTGTAAAAAACATGCAGTTTGTATAGTATTTTCACTTAGCACCCTCCACCTGGCAACCTTCATTTAACCCAAAACAAAGGGGCCTCAATCCCCTGTATGGCCCATATTCCACAGGATGGGAAAGGGGTTCAGACGTTCCTCATAGATAGGGAATAAATTTGTGGGTTGGCCACTCCCAGATTGATTCCTTAGCTCAGAATTCTGAATACACATTCTTCTTAGACCACAGGGTCACTCTCAAGTTATGCCTAAATTACATTATTGCTGTCAGGCCGCTTGAGGGTATGCTACATCCCAGCATACCCCGGAGTGGCCCTCACATTCTTATCACACCATTCTTCCACAAGTTCCCTGGGGCCAGGTATGCAGAGGATCATTGCAGCCAGACACTGCGGCAGCAATACAAACTATAACAACAACAAAGAATAATGAATATAATAGCAATCATACCATATAGAAAGTTTTTCCAAGCACTTGAGAGTTGATTGAACCACATAGTTATAGGATTGGATGACAGGGATTCTATAGTGGAAATATCAGTATTTAGGACCTGTATAGTATGGGTTACATTGTGAGAGTCATTAGGGATATATATAAAAAACATTCATGTTTGTTTTTGAGACAGGGTCCCAGTTTTTTGCCCAGGTTGGAGTGCAGTGGCACAATCTTGGCTCAATGCAGCTTTGACCTCCCAAGCTCAAGCGATCCTCTCACCTCAGTCCCCCAGCAGCCGCGACTACAGGCACATGCCACCATGCCCAGCTAATTTTTTGTATTTTTTGTGGAGATGAGGTTTTGCCATGTTGCCAGGCTGGTCATGAACTCCTAAGCTCAAGTGATCCGCCCACCTCAGCCTCCCAAAGTGCTAGGATTGCAGGCATCAGCCACCACACCCGGCCCAATATTCAGTTTTAATTAATGCACAGGTTCTGCCCTGGCAAGCAAGATGTCCAGGGCCATGTGATTTTACAAAGAAGGGTGTGTGACCCACTCCTGGATCTGCACTACCATTGTCTACCTCAGCCCATCGTATACAGTGTACCCCCCAGCGGGGGTAACATTAACTGGCTCCCATACTAGGCAGAAAATACGTCATCTCGTCTTGTTGATGGTGGGAAACTCACTGCGTGAGGTGCTGTTGTTGCTAAAGGGAAATGGGTGATGGTCATTATACCAAGTACAGAAGTGGCTCCAGGGACTCAGGTTAGCTGCTTGGATGTATCGTGGCAGGCCCGCGGTGGTGGAGAGAGGGGCAGCTTTCTGCAGACCCAACAGTCTGTTTTGTTCTGGAGAGAGATCACTATCTGTACCCAGTCCGCAAAGAGGTTTGCTGTGCACCATCTATGGGCAAAAGGTGAGATGTTTAGTGGGTACAAGAAAGGGCAAGTCATGGCCATTTAACAAGACACAGGAAGTTGTGTCATTCTGAGAGAGCGCCACCCCTGACCATGGCCAGGTGCCTGGTTTACGATACCAAATGGATTGCCCCGCTCTGCCACATGTTATGGGAGGTCAGAGTAAGACCTGGGGGTATCATAATGTTCCGTAATGAGAGGATGATCATCCCCTTGCACAAAGGGAGGACCAGGATTCATTATTTTAGAAGTATGAGGAAGAGTAGGGTGTAAAGTGGGTGTGACCTGTATATCCTATTCCAGGCCCTTCCCCCATGGAGCAGAAAAACCAAACCATCAGGGACTGGTTTGCCATTTTCAGGGCCATGTAATGATGTGCTTGCTGGTACATAGGTCCTGTGGCAAGGGCAATAGCAGGTTACCTTGAATCCCAGGTTGGGACAAAAGTGTACTGTCCCTTAGCCTGCCTCCCTGGATCCTGACGGGGGGATCAGGTCCTTGCATCAGAACAGTGTACAGCCTGGAGTGACGAGAACGCGCATGCTCATTCAGGGTGTGGATGGCTGCTGGTAAGCAGCATGTCCACAGAACCAGAAAGTGCACCTCCTGCCAGAGTTGTCACTTCAACAGTCCATTCATCTGTTCAATCAGCCGTGTTGCTGTAGGGCTATCTGCAAGTGGAAATGCCGGTGGCTATCCAGGGCCTCCACCCATTTCTGTACTGTATGTCTGATAATTACAAGCCCTGATCGCTGTCGATATTGGTGGGGACACTGCAGGCTGCACTGTATGTCTGGTAATTACAAGCCCTGATCACTGTCAATATTAGTGGGGACACTGTAGGCTGCACACAGCTGCTCTAGTCCTTTCATGGTGGTTTTTCCGGGTAGCATGCTTGCTGGGATATGCCTGCAGCTGCCCCGTGCAGGTGTCTGCACAGTCAAGGCATAGTGGCAGCCATCAGAAGCAAAGGCCCTATGTAGTCACCTGCCACTGTTGCACTGGGCTCCAGCCCCTGACCATCTTTTAGGTATCAGGCAGCCAGGGCCTGGGGCGTTCAGGCCAGGTAGGACATTGCTGACAGACATGTACTATATCTTTATATCATAGTGGCAGGCCCCAGTTCTTCACTATGGCTCAAAGAGTACATTGTCCCCGATATCTTGTTTTCTCAGGTAGCCACGGGGACTTCCTCAAGGAGACAAATGCAGGCGAGCCCATCCACCCGTGGGTTTCTAGGTGGTGTAGGTGGAGTGTGGGCATCCACGTGGTAGGCCGCTATGTGCATCCCCGGATGCAATGGAGAATGTCCTTCCACATGTCAGCACCCCAGAGGGGGTAACCCACTACTGTCCACATCCTGGGCTTCCCACTGTAGTAGCCACATGGTGAGTCCCTTAAAGATGGCCCAACTGCAGGCCGGGCACAGTGGCTGATGCCTGTAATCCCAGCACTTTGGGAGGCCGAGGCAGGTGGATCATGAGGTCGGGAGATCGAGACCATCCTGGCTAACATGGTGAAACCCCGTCTCTACTAAAAATACAAAAAAATTAGCCGGGCGAGGTGGCAGGCACCTGTAGTCCCAGCTAACCGGGAGGCTGAGGCAGAAGAATGGCATGAACCCGGGAGGCGGAGCTTGCGCTGAGCTGAGATCATGCCACTGCACTCCAGCCTGGGCAACAGAGCGAGACTCTGTCTCAAAACAAAAAACAACAAACAAACAAACAAAAAAGACAGCCCAACTGGGCTGAGCGCAGTGGCTAACGCCTGTAATCCCAGCACTTTGGGAGGCTGAGGCAGGCGGATCACAAGGTCAGGAGTTCGAGACCAGCCTGGCCAGTATGGTGAAACCCCATCTCTACTAAAAATCCAAAAATTAGCCAGGAATGGTGGCGGGCACCTGTAGTCCCAGCTACTTGGGAGGCTGAGGCAGGAGAATCACTTGAACTGGGGAGGTGGAGGTTGCAGTGAGCCGAGATCGCGCCACTGCACTCCAGCCTAGGCGACAGAGCAAGACTCCATCTCAAAAAAAAAAAAAAAAAGATAGCCCAACTATGGGTGCACAGGACTATTGGGTCTGGCTCATGGAGTGGGACTGTCCAAGCAGCTGGCAGCTCAGCCCATTGGCTACTATGTCCTTTGCCTGTACCAAGCCAGATGCTCTCAGTGGACGGCTGGATGGCCACAGCTGTCCAAGTGCAAGGATTTTCTCGTGATGAGTGGTCTGTGTACCAGGCCTGGTAGGAGTTGGGCCCTTTTCCTCCTGTACGAGGAAGGGAATCTCTGTAGGTTTAGTGGCCTCTATCAAAGACTGCCCTTCAGTTGTCACATCGATGACAGGGCCAAGCACCAAATGGAACTCTGCGCTCAAAAGGCTATTAGTCAATGTGCTTCTCTGTTAAAGGCAGTGATGCCATTTAGCCATAGGCTATGTCTGGCCATTCCCAGACTTGGGTTTCTGGAAGATATCCTTCAGCCAACCTGCTATGGGGCACTGGGTGCGTACTAGCACAGGGACCTCCTTTAACATCCTCCACTCATTGTCAGGCAGAGTTGCATAGAGCATGCAGCACAGAGTTGTTGCTCCAGATGCTATACCTAATTTCAGCTCCCTGCCACAGTTGGGACCAGAATCCTAAAGGCACGTGTTTATGTCTTTGCCTTTACCCCAGGCCCCACCCAAACCCCTCAGGGTAACTGGCTACAAATTCACGAGGCTGTCCCTGCACTAGAACTACCAAGGCTCATATTCATTTCACTGCAACTTTATCTTGTTTCTAGGCCTCATCCTCCCCTTGTGGGCCAGTCCCCATGGCCCCTCTTCTTAATTAAGCAGTACGGGGGCTAAGGATTTGGGCCAAATGGGGAATAAAAAGACACCCATGCCCTGGAAGGCCTGAGAAGGTTTGCAGCTGCTTTGGTATGGTAGGACGTGGGTAGACCTGCACCTTATCCACAATGGCAGATGGAACAACTTTAGTCTTAGCTGACCAGAGGACACCCAAGTATTTGACTGACAAGCCTGGACCCTGGAGTTTGTCTCTGTTGACTGCCCATCCTGTTTTCCAAGTGAGACAGCAAGGTGGTGGCTGCAGTTTGCTGGAGGAAGACTCAGAAGTTAGCATGAAATCACCAATGTAATGGAAAACATGTACCCCCTCCTGGGCAGTTCATATACCAAGATCCTCAGCCACTAGGCAGGGACAGAGTGGGGCTAGGCAAATATCCCTAGGGCAGACAGTAAAGGTCCATTGTTCTCCTTTCCAGGTAAATGCAAATTGGTCTTGACTCTCTGGTGCAATGGGGTTGCTGAAGAAGGTGTTGGCTACATCGGTAACAAAATGGTATGTGTCCAGCATCTCTCCTACCCTCATCAGAAAGGAGGCGATATTGGGAACAGCTGCACACATTTAATTCTCAGTAATCTACTGTCATTCTCCATGTACCATCAGGTTTCTGTATGGGCCATACAGGGCTGTTGCATGGGCTGTGCGCTGGCCTTATGATGCCTACCCGGGCTAACTCCCCCGTGGTCCTCGTGGTTTCATCCTGCCTCTCTCCCCACCAGCAGGCGGTGTTGCTCCAGTGCTACTACTCACTGCTTTTGCATTCCCCTCCCCGCCCATCACATGCTTCACCACTCTAACTGTCATTTGGAATTCCCCAGCAGTTGTTTGGAGGGTCAAGCCTGATAAGATATCCATTCCCAAGATATATTCTGGGATGGGAGCTATGTATATCAACAAAGTTTTGGTGGCAGTCTCCCAACTTGTAAAACTAGTTCAACCTGTCTGACTTCCATGGCCTCTTTCCATAACCATCTATTGCTGACATAGGCCCTTGGAACCAATGGGAGTTGCCATATATGAGGGTGCATCCAGCTCCAGTATCCACTAGGGCACGCAATCTGGTTCAATTCTTAAGTGACCAATATATAATTAGTTCTACTTGTGGCCTCTGGTTCCCCCAGACACCCTGGCCACCATTGCTCTGATTGGGATTTCAGGGCTTTGGCCTTCATCCTAATCTGAAGGGGCCGGCACTTGCCGTTGCTCTGTGGGAGGAAGGGGCAGTGGGCTGAACCTGAGGCTCCTCAGTAAAGTGCTGTTCTGGTTTGAGCTTCTGCCACAGTCCAACCAGAACAGCAGTGGGCTGTTTATCTGTTTTCACAGTAGGTGTCTCTGCCACTACCGGGTCACCCCACATTTGTCAGCAGGTCACCCAGATAGGCCCCTTGGCTGTCTCCTTTCCTTTTATAACCAGGTTGGTTATACAGCTGTCCAAGTGTCTACATCAAATTCTAACTTGATCTGCCTCCTTTCACTCCCCTTTTAGCCAGGGGATCCATTCCCTGTCCTTCCCTAGGGTAACATTCTCACTATCCATGATAAGGGACAACTACCTGAACAAGCTGGAAATAGTGAAGAACACCTTTAGCTCAACGCTTCTCAACACTGACTTCAAAGTAGAGTTAAATTAGATTTTCAATGTAGAGACCCATGTCCCCCCACCACCCGCAAATTTGGACTCGACTGGTATGGAGAAGCGTTGTGTATTGAATTTGGATGAAAGCATAGCCCAGGTGATTCTAATGTACAGCCTTTCATGCGCGTCCGTGTGAAGAGACCACCAAACAGGCTTTGTGTGAGCAACATGGCTGTTTATTTCACCTGGGTGCAGGCGGGCTGAGTCTGAAAAGAGAGTCAGCGAAGGGAGATAAGGGTGGGGCCGTTTTATAGGATTTGGGTAGGTAAAGGAAAATTACAGTCAAAGGGGGTTTGTTCTCTGGCGGGCAGGAGTGGGGGTCGCAAGGTGCTCAGTGGGGGTGATTTTTGAGCCAGGATGAGCCAGGAGAAGGACTTTCACAAGGTAATGTCATCACTTAAGGCAAGGACCGGCCATTTACACTTCTTTTGTGGTGGAATGTCATCAGTTAAGGTGGGGCAGGGCATTTTCACTTCTTTTGTGATTCTTCGGTTACTTCAGGCCATCTGGGCATATACGTGCAAGTCACAGGAGATGCGATGGCTTGGCTTGGGCTCAGAGGCCTGACATTCCTGCCTTCTTATATTAATAAGAAAAATAAAACAAAATGGTGTTGAAGTGTTGGGGCGGCGAACATTTTTGGGGGGTGGTATGGAGAGAGAATGGGCGATGTTTTTCAGGGCAGCTTCGAGAGGGATTGGGGCGGCGTGGGAACCTAGAGTGGGAGAGATTAAGCTGAAGGGAGGTCTTGTGGTAAGGGGTGATATTGTGGGGATGTTAGAAGAAACATTTGTCATATAGAATGATTGGTGATGGGCTGGATACGGTTTTGGATGAATTGAGAAACTAAATGGAATAACAGAAGGAGAAAAACAGGTATAAAAGGTCTAAGAATTGGGATGACTCAGGATATCTGATTAGAGAGTGCCTAAGGAGATTCAGCATAGTCCTGCCAGCAAAGATTATTTATTTACTTCAAGAGTTAAGAGTGGCAGTTTGGGGATAGCACCAGGAGATATCAGCTGTGATGGCTTGGAAAAACAGTGTAAACCGGCAGTGTAAACAAGAGCAGGGCATGTATGAGTAGTTGAGAACGGTGAATAGGAGTATGACTAGACAGAAGATAGTAGGGATGACAAGTTTTTTTGGGGCACAGTCTAAGTTGGTCTGGTGTCTGGAATGAGACTGGGGCCTAATAAAAAGGAGCGTCTATACAGGAGCTCAAATGGGCTGTACTCTGTAGCATTCCGAGGACAGGCCTGAATTCTGAGAAGGGAAAGTGGTAAAAGTATTGTCCAGTCCTTTTTAAATTGGTGGCTGAGCTTGTGAGGTGTGTTTTTAAAAGACCTTTAGTCCATTCTACTTTCCTTGAAGACGGAGGACTGTAAGGGATATAAAGGTTTCACTGAATACTAAGAGCCTGAAAAACTGCTTGGCTGATTTGACTAATAAAGGCTCGTCTTTTATCAGACTGTATTGAGGTGGGAAGGCTAAACTGAGGAATTATGTCTGACAGAAGGGAAGAAATGACTGTGGTGGCCTTCTCAGACCCTGTAGGAAAGGCTTCTACCTATCCAGTGAAAGTATCTACCTAGACTAAGAGGTATTTTAATTATCTGACTCCGGGCATGTTGAGTAAAGCTAATTTGCCAGTCCTAGGTGGGGCAAATCCTCGAGCTTGATGTGTAGGGAAGGGAGGGGGCCTGAATAATCCCTGAGGAGTAGTAGAATAGCAGATGGAACACTGAGAAGTTATTTCCTTGAGGATAGATTTCCACGACGGAAAGGAAATGAGAGGTTCTAAGAGGCGGGCTAGTGGCTTGTACTATAGCATAACCTGCCTTTGCTGGTGTGTGGCGATTAGGCCTGGTGGAACCGCCATCAATAAATCAAGCGTGATCAGGGTGAGGAACAGGAAAGAAGGAAATGTGGGGAAATGGGGTGAATGTCAGGTGGATCAGAGAGATACAGTCATGGGGGTCAGGTGTGGTATCAGGAATAATGTGGGAGGCCGGATTGAAGTCCGGGCCAGGAACAATGGTAATTGCGGGAGACTCAACGAAGAGTGAGTACAGCTGAAGGAGCCGGGGAGCAGAAAGTATATGCGTCAGGTATGAGGAAGAAAATAGATTTTGGAAGTTATGAGAACTGTAGAGAGTGAGTTGAGTATAGTTTGTGATTTTGAGGGCCTCTAAAAGTATTAATGCAGCAGCAGCCGCTGCACGCAGACATGAGGGCTAGGCTGAAACAGTAAGGTCAAGTTGTTTGGACAGAAAGGCTACAGGGTGTGGTCCTGGCTCTTGTGTAAGAATTCTGACTACGCTAACCATGCCTAGGAAGGAAAGGAGTTGTTGTTTTGTAGAAGGTGCTGGGGTTTGAGAGATCAGTCGGACACGATTGGCAGGGAGAGCACGTGTGTTTTTATGAGAATTATGCCGAGATAGGTAACAGATGAGGAAGAAATTTGGGCTTGATTGAAGTAATGGGGGCTGTCTGTGAAGCTTTGCAGCAGTAAAGCCTAGGTAATTTGCTGAGCTTGATGGGTGTCAGGGTCAGTCCAGGTGAAAGTGAGGAGAGGCTGGGATTAAGGGTGCAAAGGAATAGTAAAGAAAGCATGTTTGAGATCTAGAACAGAATAATGGGTTATAGAGGCAGGTACTGAGGATAGGAGAGTATATGGGTTTGGCACCATGGGGTGGATAGGCAAAACAATTTGGTTGATAAGGCGCAGATCCTGAACTAGTAAGGCTTGTCTGGTTTTAGGACACGTAAAATGGGGGAATTGTAAGGAGAGTTTATAGGCTTTAAAAGGCCATGCTGTAGCAGGCGAGTGATAACAGGCTTTAATCTTTTTAAAGTGTGCTGCGGGATGGGATATTGGCGTTGAGTGGGGTAAGGGTGATTAGGTTTTAATGAGATGGTAAGGGGTGCATGATCGGTTGCCAAGGAGGGAGTAGAGGTATCTTATACTTGTGGGTTAAGGTGGGGGGATACAAGAGGAGGACGCAAAGGAGGCTTTGGATTGGGAAGAAGGGCGGCAATGAGATATAGCTGTAGTCCAGGAATAGTCAGGGAAGCAGATAATTTAGTTAAAGTGTCTCAGCCTAATAAGGGAACTGGGCAGGTGGGGATAACTAAAAAGGAGTGCTTAAAAGAGTATTGTCTAAGTTGGCACCAGAGGTGGGGAGTTCTAAGAGGTTTAGAAGCCTGGCCATCAATACCCACAACAGTTATGGAGGCAAGGGAAACAGGCCCTTGAAAAGAAGGTAATGTGGAGTGGGTAGCCTCCGTATTGATTAAGAAGGGGACGGCCTTACCTTCCACTGTGAGAGTTACCGGAAGCTCGGCGTCCATGATGGTCTATGGGGCTTCCGAGGCGATCGGGCTGTGTCAGTCTTCAGCCGCTAAGCCAAGAAGATCTGGGAAGGAGTCAGTCAGAGAGCCTTGGGCCAGAGTTCCAGGGGCTCTGGGAGTGGCTGCCAGGTGAGTTGAACAGTCTGATTTTCAGTGGGGTCCCACACAGATGGGACGTGGCTTAGGAGGAATCCCGGGCTGTGGGCATTCCTTGGCCCAGTGGCCAGATTTCTGGCACATGTAGCAAGCTCCTGTGGGAGGAGGTTCTGGAGGAACGCCTGGCCGCTGCGGTTCAGGCATTTGGAAGTTCTTGTGTGCTGGAGATGTGGCTGGGGTTTGTCTCACAGTGGAGGCAAGGAATTGCAACTTTTTTCTATTATTGTACACCTTGAAGGCGAGGTTAATTAAATCCTGTTGTGGGGTTTGAGGGCTGGAATTTAATTTTTGGAGTTTTATTTAATGTCGGGAGCAGATTGGGTAATAAAATGTATTTTGAGAATAAGACGGCCTTTTGACCTTTTAGGGTCTAGGGCTGTAAAGTGTCTCAGGGTTGCTGCCAAACGAGTCATGAACTGGGCTGGATTTTTATATTTGATGAAAAAGAGCCTAAACGCCATCTGATTTGGGATAAAGAAAAAGGAGCATTAACCTTGATTAAGCCTTTAGCTCCAGCTACCTTTTTAAGAGTAAATTGCTGGGCGGGTGGGGGAGGGCTAGTCACAGAGGACACTGTAAGCTTGACCAGGTGTGAGGAGGGGAGGCAATAAAAAAATTATAGGGTGGAGGAGCGGAGGCTGAGGAAGAATTGGGACCTAGCTTGGCCTGGCGAGGAGGGGAGAGGTCAGATGAGTCTGTAGAAAAGGAAGATTAGAAAGACTCAGGGACGCTTGGGGTTGGGACTGAGGGGACAGGCGGGAGGGAAAGAAGGAAGATTTGGGACGAGTTGCACTGGGCACAGAGACTAGGAAGGGACTGATGTGTAAAAGAATGCCTGGACATTAGGCACCTCAGACCATTTGCCTATTTTGCAACAAGAATTATTTAGACCTTGCAGGATGGAAAAATTCAAAGTGCCATTTTCTGGCTATTTGGAACTACTGTTGAGTTTGTATTGGGGTCAAGCAGCATTGCAGAAGAAAATAAGGCATTTAGGTTTTAGGTCAGGTGTGAGTTGAAGAGGTTTTAAGTTTTTGAGAACACAGGCCAAGGGAGTAGAAGGGGGAATGGAGGGTGGAAGGTTGCCTATAGTGAAGGAAGCAAGCCTAGAGAAAAGAGAGAGTAGAGAAACGGAGGGAAGGGGTTCGGGGGTTCTTACCTTCCAGAAAAGTGGGAAGAGGGGTTGGGGCGCAGAGATAAGAGGTCGGGGCATGGAAATAAGGGATGGGGTGCAGAAATAAGGGGTTGGGGCATGGAAATAAGGGGTCGGGGCACGGAAATAAGGGATTGGGGTGCAGAGATACAAGGTTGGGGTGTGGAAATAAGGGATTGGGGGTTCTTGCCCCCTAGAAAAGCGGGACTTGCCTCTAAGGGTGAAGGAGAAGGGGTTGAGGGGTACTTGCCCCTGCCCCAGGAAAGCAGAGAAGGGGTAGAGACAAGGAGAGAAGGGGTTGGGGTACTTGCCCCTTCCCCAGAAAAGCAGGACTTGCCGCTAAGGGTGAAGTACCAAGGCAGGCATCCCTGCGTGGTCTGACACCTTTGAAATGTGGTTGAATAATCAGAGAGGCGTCCTTGCAATGATTAAACACCAAGGGAAGGCTGCCTTCCCAGTCCGTGACCGGCGCCGGAGTTTTGGGTTGACAGATAATATGTGTCTCCTTTGTCTCTCCCAGAAAATGAAAGGAATTGAAATTCAGAGAAGGGAGAGATTGAAGAGTGGAAAGAAGAAAGTGGTTGAGGGACAGTGAGAGAGGTTGGAGAAGAGAGTAAGAAGAGGCCGCTTACCTGATTTAAAATTGGTGAGATGTTTCTTGGGCTGGTTGGTCTGAGGACCTGAGGTCGTAGGTGGATCCTTCTCATGGAGCAAAGAACAGGAGGACAGGGGATTGATCTCCCAAGGGAGGTCCCCCGATCCGAGTCATGGCACCAAATTTCATGCGCGTCCGTGTGAAGAGACCACCAAACAGGCTTTGTGTGAGCAACATGGCTGTTTATTTCACCTGGGTGCAGGCGGGCTGAGTCCGAAAAGAGAGTCAGCGAAGGGAGATAAGGGTGGGGCCGTTTTATAGGATTTGGGTAGGTAAAGGAAAATTACAGTCAAAGGGGGTTTGTTCTCTGGCGGGCAGGAGTGGGGGTCGCAAGGTGCTCAGTGCGGGTGCTTTTTGAGCCAGGAAAAGGACTTTCACAAGGTAATGTCATCACTTAAGGCAAGGACCGGCCATTTACACTTCTTTTGTGGTGGAATGTCATCAGTTAAGGTGGGGCAGGCCATATTCACTTCTTTTGTGATTCTTCGGTTACTTCAGGCCATCTGGGCGTATACGTGCAAGTCACAGGAGATGCGATGGCTTGGCTTGGGCTCAGAGGCCTGACACAGCCAGGGCTGAGAACCACTGTTAGCTGAATCTGTGTCTGGGTTCTGTGAAAGGTTTATCTTATGTTTCTATTGTATTGACTTCTACTGAGCTGACCCTGAATTGACTCTCTTATTTGCCTGGGCTCTGACCTTTGAAAATTATCTTCTTTCCAGGGACTCCCAACCTACTGCTAGCTTAGTCTCTGAAGTGTGCATTCCCATAGTCTTCTTGAATATGAGTCTTCCTGGAGAAAACTCCTGTCAAGTCAAGAAGTGTTTCAGTAGAACCTTTGCTTCTGGTGACTAGGACTTAATCTTCTGGTTCTTTCTTTAGTCTCTGGCTTTGAGACACTAAACAAAGAGAACGCATGGCCGTGGAAGCATCTGGGATCACAGCCCCAAGGCCATAACAACATGTCTTTGGGGTTCATGTCATTGCCATGCCTCCTTGAGCTGGAGATCCAAGAGGGGCTGGAAGGCGAGTGTGGTTTGAAAGGCCCACCAGCTTGGCCAGTGCTCTGATTAGAGAACATTGTACACTTTTGTACACTTTGTACATCTTTGTGTACCTTTTACAAACAAGTATACAGACAGGGTGAGCAGAGTTCACACTTTGCCTTAGTGAAATGCACTGTGACATGAAGCATATTTTTACTCTGGAATGTTTAGTCTCTAACATGGGACTCCTGTGTGTTGCCTAAACTTGTTCGTCATTTCATGATTAAGGAAACAGGAAGGACAGTGTGTGGCTTCCAGAGTCTAGAAACAAGGTAGAGCTCCCATAAGGTTTCATGGGAGCTCACTTTCCCTGCTTTGTGTCTGTAACTCTGAGGCATGGGCTGTTCACTGTCACAGTCAAAACAACAACAACAAAAAGCGAGAACTTTCCACCTCTCAATAGCTTTGGTTAAAATCTCCAGGAGTCCTGATCTCTTGCAAGTGAGAGAGTAAAGAAAAAGTTTAGAAGTTGTGAACTCTTCCTTTGAAATTCTCATTTGCCTTTCAATGTACTCTTTTGCCTTAAACAGGAAAGCCACCTATATTGCTCAAAGCCAGGGCTGAGAGGGAGAGATTTTCAGGTCTGCAAAGCTAAGTTGATGTTTTCAGAAGATGATTTTCTCTTCCTTCTTAAATGTGTTTGTGATGTAGAAAGATGGCTGTCTAGAGCTCAGATTCTGTGATTTGATGTATTACCCCTGGATTACAATGTGAAATACAGCTTTAAAAACCTAGATACATATGGCAGTATATGGATAATACAAACAAAAACCATACAAAATCAACCAACCCACAAACAAAAACCCCAACTCCCAAATAGACTTATAAGTGAAGTTGTCCTCAAAAGTTATTGAATTGAATATTTGCTAAGTTAGCTAGAACTATTATTTAAAGTAGTTTTATTCATTAAATGACATTTTGTTGATTATGCGAAGGACCCATAGAATTTAACAACAGTTTTCCGGCCCCTTTCTAGTACTGACAGTGGCGCTAATTTTTCAAGAAACTGGAATAGGGATTTAAAGTAAAATGTGGGTTTCGGCTGCCTAGTGAAATTCAATGAAATCAATAGGAAGCTCCTGTATTTGCATTCTTAGGGCTGGAAGTAGGAGGTGTCGATGCACATACATTTCCCAGTAATGCAACTTCAAAACGGGCTTCTTAATGGGAGATAATCAACTGCAATGCAACTTTAATGAACTCTGATGTTGGAATGCAAACCCAATCCAATATCCCATGGAAAATTAACCCAATCAATAGTCTAATTCAAAGCTTTAAGCTTGTAAACAATTACTACACTGACCAAGTCTGCCTTTTCAGATGTTCACCCACGGAGGTGGCCATCCTTCTCAGGGTTACCGCCTCCCGCGGCATGGCATAGTGTTGGCTAACTGCTTCCACTGTCATCCTTAACAAGAATGCTATTGAGCTTATTAAAAAACTCATCTGAGTTCAAGTAAAAGAAGAAGAGAGGGAAAGCCCTTCTCAGCCTGCCTCAACTCCAGTTTTATTAGGCATTCATCTCTCCATAGAACAGCTCCCTCGGTCCTTCATTCAAGCCTTGGGCAGCCTTTCTTACTTTCCTCGAACCCTAATGAATCTCTCTTGGCCCCTCTGCCTCAGAAAATGGGGCTATTTGTTCTGTATTTACCCTTCCAAGTGGGACTCCCTTCCACGGTTCCATGGCCTCTTATCCTTCCTTCAAAGGTCCCTGAAGAAGAGGGCCAGCTTCAGAGTACTCTTCCTTGTGGTATAAAGCTACTTCCTGTGTTCACTTCCCACCATGCGTTTTTAGGCGTGTTCTGCAATCAGTGGGTCTCAGATGTTTTTCTGGCTCTTTTCTTGATGAAGCTCCTTGGTGCCCAGGTAAAGCAGGCAGTTGAATACGTAGGTCTGAACCTCAGGAGAGACCTCACAGCTGGAGACGTGGGTTTTGACCATCCCCATGGAGTCATTAATTGACATCATAGCAGAGGGTGAGATGTCAGCTAAGGAGATGGAAAATAGGAATAAATTTCCGCAAGACTCTAAATCCTCTGGAAGGTGTGGACAAGCTCCGTGAAGTCTGCTCTCCTGCATGTGGGAGAGAGAAAAGAGAGAGAGAGAGAGAGATGTATAGCAATTAAGAACCCATGCCATGCAGAGAATGCTTAGAAAAAGCACAGGAAAAGAATGTGGTACAGCTTTTCCTTCATTAATGAGGAATACAGGTTATGATGCCTTTTGAAGGGTGTTTTGGAAGCAAACAAGGCCTTCTGTAGCAGTTAATTTATAAAGCTTTATAGACTTCATATTGAACAACTGTACTTAGCATAAATGCATATAGAGATGAAGACTAGGCGATACCGGCCTTATAACAATAAGGGGTCATTGCAGCTCAGTAGGTGCGGTTTGTGGTTCACAAGCCACATATGATGTATACTCTAGGATCCAGACTTGAGATGAAGGGAGACCTTCCCAAGCCACACTAGTTAATGGTTAGCCCCTCCCGACTCCCAGTTCCTCAGAGAAAAAGAATTGGAGGTGTGTTTCAAAACCCACCATGTAGACTTTATAGTTCGTTTTGTGTAAGTAATCACAGTATGCATAGTAAATTGAATCTGGGTTGCCAGACTTAACAAAGAAAAATATAATATCAAATGCCCAGTGAAATTTGAATTTCTGATAAACAATGAATAATTATTTTAGATGTAAGTACATCCCATGCAATATCCATCCTGTATTTTATCGACAATCTCAAACTGAATCATTAGAGGGTCATATTCAATGTATTGTTATACTCATAAGGGCCCAAGGTAAAGGCCCTCTATTTTCATTTGAATTGATTCAGTGTCCTCAATAGCTCCACCATACACTGTTTCTCCAATTTCTGTATACAAAACTCAATACCCCTGTATACCTATGGCTTAAAGGAACACTCTAGATTTTTACCTCCAAAGTCCGCTAGATGCTTCATGTGCTTTTCTTTTTTTTTTTTTCTCTTCCCTCCCCCAGTCTCCCACTGCCTTTTCAGACAGTCCCTTGCTTCCCCAGGTGAGCCTCCTTTCATCAGTAGATTTCCTCTGTTTCACACCCACAGCTGGGAATCAGCCTTGCCACTTCCAAATTGTAGGTGACTTCAAGGATCGTGGCCAAGATAGTCCCCTGAACCCTACTTACCCGGTGAGCAGGACAGATCTGATAGATCCTCCCTAACTAGTCAAGTCCAGAATTCATGCCCACAGCAGTCAAGGCCAGGAGAGAAGTTGCTCTTCCAGAACACAGTCTCATGAGGGCTGAGTTCTACAAGATTTTTCACAGTGATGGAGGCTTGGACTCCACCTGGTGGGTTGTGAAGAGCCAGTTCTTAGTGATCTCGTGGTTAAAGCAGAGGCCTGCACCCTGGGTGAAACCATTTTACACTATTTTATTTTATAAACACTAGGAAGGAGGGGGTTGCACATTTTTCTCAGGAGCTCTAGACTGAAGCTCCAAGCCTAATTCCAAAGAACCTTTTCATATTTATTCACCCTGAAATAAGAGATTTTAATTTGAGCTGACAATCTGACATTTCATTAGAATTAAAATCATGTAAAATCAATTCATGTTACCAGGATTGTTTATTACAGAGAAGGAATGAAAAAAAAAAAAAAATAGCCCAACAGTGGCAGATCTCACTAGTGGTTATATAGACAAGACAGCTTTCTTTGCTACTGATGTAACAAATCCACCTGGTACCTCTGAAACCTCTCTCCTTGGTCATCTCCATGATGTTATCTCCACATTTATTGTGACCTGGAACCCTTGGAGTACTGTTTCTGGTCCTTAGAGGCACTTTTACCCCTGCCCAGGCTGGCAGTGATAGATGCCATGTCTTATTCAACCAGAGGTTATTTCAACCAGAGTTCTGCTAAACTATTCTACCAGTTTGGTACCTGGGTATAGTTTCTGCAGTGGCTCAGGATGGGTTAGATCCAGGCAGGATTAGGGCAAGCTCCAGGAACCACTCCCAGCTAGTTAAAACATTATTTCCATGTGAGCTAATGCCATTCCTACGGCTTTTCATGGAAACAGCTCAGCATTATCTAGCAACATCTGGAATGACTCCCCCTGCACCCCACCAAGTGTGAACACTGTGGGAGACTTTTACTTCTGGTGACCCTTTGCCCTGTAGATGTGAAGATCACTGTGACTGCATTTATCCATGTGGACAAATGAGTTCGTACGTGTAAAAATCTTTGAGGCTGAGGCCAAACAAGGCCCCTTTCAGAAACGCAGACTTTTCCCACCCTTCATTCCTCGTAGCTCACAGCTATTTTTACAGCAGTGCTAGAGTCTGAAGTTTTGGGAAGAAGCCAAATATTTTGGGTGTGTCTGTACAAACTCGAAGATCTTTGGAAAAAAACAGCAAAACAATTTTCTTTTCCCTGGCTTCTAAGCATTTCTGTTAATCTGTATCATCCATGTGAGTCTAACATGAAATTGTTTTACATTTTGGGGGATAGGCCGTGTTTTAATATTCTCTGTAATCTTGCTTTTCCATCACTCTTGAGCCTTTTATTCTACTGCCAAATCATTGACCTGTCTAACCTTTGCTGCAGGAATAAACTCTGACCTTCATGGAAATTCTACCACCTCAGTAAAGGAAAACTTTAGCTCCAGCTAAGCCTAGAATCCTGCAAGGAAAGGAAGCTGAAATGAGATTTTTATTGGAATAAGGTACACTCCAATGGTTTACTCAAAATCAAGATTTAAAATAATTTCTTTTGTTAAAAAAACTGTCTCTAGGGTTATTATTTTGAAATATGTATCATTAGATAATGCCTGAAATTAGACTATAAAAAAAGTAAAAAAAAAAAAAAAAAAAAAAAACAGGCTGGGCGAGGTGGCTCACATGTGTAATACCAGCACCTTGGGAGGCCGAGGCAGGCGGATCACCCGAGGTCAGGAGTTCGAGACCAGCCTGGCCAACATAATGAAATGCCATCTCTACTAAAAATACAAAAAATTAGCCAGGCATGGTGGTGTACACCTGTAGTCCCAGCTACTCCAGAGGCTGAGGCAGGAGAATCGCTTGAATCCAGGAGGCAGAGGCTGCAGTGAGCTGAGATTGAGCCACTGCACTCCAGCTAGGCGACAGAGCAAGACTCTGTCTCAAAATAATAATAATAGTAATAAACTCGATGTTTTCTCATAGTGCACAGATCCTAATTTCAAATCTCACAATCTTATGATAATGACTATTATTCTTAATATCACTAATATGAAAAAGCTACTTCATGAATTAGTCTTTCTCTTCCGTATCTATCCAATTCACTAGATATGTTGTGATAATGCTTTTACAAACATTTAATTTCATGACCTATGGAGGCTTTATTAAGATGGGCATGATTCCAAGTACCATAGAAAAAGTTTTTTTTTTAATGGACAATATCAAGTCATACTATTATACATGTTTGCCAAAGTGTTATTTGATTTGCAGGGAAGGCTTTACATATCAACTTGATGTCAAAGAGTCATTAGCCGATACGGAAGCTGAGACAGAGTCTCCAGTAGTTAAGTTCAGATTCTGGATCAAGTTCTTGGCTACTGATAACAGGGATGGTGGAGCTGTCCCATGGAAGAGCAGAGTGAGGCCATCTTTCCAGCCCTACAGTCTGAGATCTCTAGAATGTGGAGTAGAAATCATTAGTAGCTGGCTGATAAAATAAATTCAGGGTCAACAGGTAAAATGCTATTAGTGTGAGCCCCTTCACCCACACATTCTCTTACTGGCATTTCATGACCTCTCTTCTCTCCATCAAAAGCAGGAGAAGGCCAGGCACAGTGGCTCACACCTGTAATCCCAGCACTTTGGGAGGCTGAGGCCGGCAGATCGCTTGACCTCAGGAGTTTAAGACCAGTCTGGCCAACATGGCGAAACTCTGTCTCTACTACAAACACAAAAAATAGCCTGGTGTGGTGGTTGCGTGCCTTTAGTCCCAGCTACTCAGGAGGCTGAGGCACGAGAGTCATTTGAACCTGGGAGGCGGAGGTTGCAGCGAGCCGAGATCATGCCACTGCGCTCCAGCCTGGGCGACAGAGTGAGACTCTGCCTCAAAAAAAAAATAAATAAAAATGTATGTTGAGAACCTACCACATGCTGTGAGACATTTCAAAAAGAGGAAGACTGGGTCTTCCTTGCCTTGCTGCCCAGCCTTTCTAGAGAGCTAACACTTTGACACAAACTCAGAGACTGGCAAGAACATGTCTACCTGCTGACTGAGTAGTTCATGATATTTATGCTCTAGGATAGGGCATCATGATGATCACAGTCCCCTGGGGAGTTTATTAAAAATGCAGACCACTTGTACATCAGCCCACGGAGGTTCTGATTTAGTGAGTGTGGCACAGGGCTCAGGAATCTGCATTTTTCACCAGCACTTGTGGTTTACAGATGCTACCGATCAAAGCTGTAGCATTTACATTAGCTTTCATCTGTTAAGAAAGTATTAGGCAGGAGAGACTGGTCCCAGCTAATAAGATTTGCTCAGAATCCATACACTGTAAGGTAGCTCTGAGGATTAATGGACTTAAAAAAAATGCATGCATACACCCATCTGTATAGAAAAATTAAGGTACCTGCATGGATATTCACCAGTTTGATTTCAGTTTGGAAAATAGTAATACCCTTTGGTAAATGTCCCATATGAGAATTATTTTTTTATTTTTTATTTATTTTATATTTTTTGAGACAGAGTCTCACTGTCACCAAGGCTGGAGTGCGGTGGTACGATCTCGGCTCACTGCAACCTCTGCCTCCCGAGTTCAAGCGATTCCCCTGCCTCAGCCTCCTGAGTAGCTGGGATTACAGGCACACACCACCACGCCCAGCTAATTTTTGTATTTTTAATAGCGACAGGATTTCACCATGTTGGTCAGGCGGGCATCGAACTCCTGACCTCGTGATCCGCCCGCCTCGGCCTCCCAAAGTGCTGGGATTACAGGTGTAAGTCAACATGCCTAGCCATATGAGAATTATTTTAAGGGGGGAAAAAACAGCAGGAAGCTGTTCTCAAACTCTTTCACCTGGATTCTAAAAATCACTCAAATCTATTGTGAAGACTTGTGGCAGAAAGTCTCCATGTTATATATCCATAAGGAGGTTGTATGCGTTTAAGGAAGGGGAGAATAAGAAGAGCTCTGACGAGTTAAAATTGGGTCATTTGCTTCTCCAACAGTGCGTGAAGTACAATTGTTATCACTGAGTGTAGGAGAATGTTCAGACCCCTGAAAGAGGGGGTAGCGTATTCTTGACACACACATTTCATTTCCAATGCTTGGCAGTGCTATTTTCAGAGTTTCTAAACTGGCATAGGTTTGAGTTGGCAGCTAGTTAGTGAAGGTGGAATATGTTAATAGATTCAGGTGGCGTGACCCAAAGGCAGGTGACTCTTACATTATAGATAAAACCTCTGGCTTTCAAAATGTCTCCACCCTCACCCCCGCTAGCCTTCCACACTCCGTGTAAACTGGCCATAATTTCTTAAGTTCCTATAAGAGAAAACAGTGCCTTCCTCTAAAACTCCCTGAGCTGCATCAGCACGTGGACGGATAATGCATGCTAGGCACAGGAAACAGACCTCAGACCTTACCTTAATATTCTTATTCAGTGGTGCCGGGTGAAGCCAGGAATTTGCATTTTAAAAAGTACCCAGGGAGTTTCTGATGAGGGGGATGCTTGGACTACATTTTGACACATTCTGTGTAAAGATACGCATGCCTGAGGCTGGATCCTTTCTTCAGAAGAAGAGGGAACCCTGGGCCCATAAATCATGGGGAAGGGCAGAGATATGGAAGCTCAGGGCATAATACCACCTCCTTTGCTGTTTTTTTCAAGATTAGCCTTTGGTAATCCTCTATATTAGACAGCTGTTTAAAATACAGAAACAGATGACAAAGATAGGAAAAGAGCTTCACCTTCTTAAACTCAGTATGGATGAGATCACAGGATGGGATGGCTTTTTATCAGAGGAGCAGGGTTCAAAGGCTTTATGTTTGTAACTCAAGGAATAAGCATTAGCTGCGGTTGGTCTGGAGCATGAAGCACCAGCCAGGGGCCAAGCCTCCCGGCTCAGCCGGGGGCACCCACTCTTCTGCCTTCTTTCTTCACCAGGAACATGCACTCTTCGAGTTCTGAGATCCCAGGTGCTTTGCCGTGAGAAAGATGAGGACTGGGCTTGTGACCTCTGACAAGGAAAATGCCTGGCAGGAAATCTAATTTCTGTCAGGCTTTCCAGGAGCAGCATGGGCCTCAGAAGGCCTGAGGGAGTGGAAATGGGCTGGTCCTGAGACAGAAGGGACAGGCCTTCCTGGTCAGGATTGAGGCACCCAGGAAGAGCTGAAGCTGGACAATCTCAAGAGACGAGCCATCCGGGAGAAGATGCTGGAGCCCTTCCATGCAAAGCTGAGAGGGGAGCTCAAGGCACATTGGAGGCATGATTGGAGCCCACAGCAGGAGGGCCGCGGGCCCTGGGACAGGAAGCTTCTCTGCTTCTCTCTGGTATCTACGTGGGTCACGGGCTGATACGTGTAAGAGTCCCTAGTTATGTAGTAAGTCCTCAAGTCAAGCAAAATGAGATGTCCCCTGATACATTTACTCCCAACACTTAATCCCAATGATTTCTATGATACATAGACTATATTTGTGCCAATAAGCCTACAGTAACTTAGTTTGCAGGTAAAAATCCCCATTTGTGTACACATAACTTATTTTAGAGCACACATTTGATTATACATTTGAAATCAGAATTAGGGGCCAATTATGAGAAATGGAAAAAATAAGCTTTTTTATTTTTTCAGACAGGGTCTCACTGTGTCACCCAGGCTGGAGTGTAGTGCTGCGATCATAGCTCACTGCAGTCTTGACCTCCTGGGCTCAAGCAATCCTCCTATGTAGCTACGACTACAGGTACACACCACCATACCTGGATAATTTTGAAAATTTTTTGTAGAGATGGGGGTCTTGCTGTGTTGCCAGGCTGGTCTTGAACTCCCGGCCTCAAGCAATCCTCCTGCCTTGGCCTCCTAAAGTGCTGGGATCATAGGCATGAGCCACCATGCCTGGCTTACTTTTCTTTCTTGATAAAGGTTATCGTGCCTTGGAATTCACTTTGTTGGTTTAAGAAGTAAACAATATGATAGGTGAAAAGAGCTAACTTGTTCTGTAAACAGTAGGCATTGTCTTGGGTGTTGGGAGAAATGGGAATTAAAAGGTGGTAACTTAGAAGATTTAAGAGATCTTCCAAATCTAAATCATTAGTTTCAAAGATGGAGATGTGATTTCCAGTGTGGTCAAGGGATTTGCTCAGGTAGAGCAGCCTGTGGAACCCAAGCCTTCAACTGTGGTCCATTGTTTTACTACTGTTTATATTCCAGGCCATATCGGGCACAGAGTAAATTGTGTCTACACACCAGGACTTCTGCTGCCAAAGCCACAGACTCAGAAATGGTAGATGGGGAGATGCAGGAGAGGTCATCAAGGCCTCCGGTCATACTTTTACAGACAAGCAAAGTGGTTTGGAGAAGGGAAGGAAGGGAAAGAAACTACCATCAGGTAGAGCAACTAAGGACAGAACTAGTGTCAACAGGAAGTTGCAACAAAGTACTGTAGGAAGAAACCACATTCGGGAATTGCATGACATTTTAGGAAGAAATAGCATCACTTGGAAGGACCCTGAAGAAAGAAAGGGATAAAAAAGTCAGATGGGGAAGCAAGGGAAGGGACAAGAGCTCAGAATGCCATAGACATGCTTGAGATGTTTGTGGCCTGGTTCGTTGTCATAGATAAAGCTGAAAGATTGCCTGGAGCCAGGGCACGGGGCTGTTGTATGTCAGGCTCAAGGTGTGTCACAGTGTGTCACTGATGTGATTGGACGGGTGAGTGCTATGATCAAGCCCATGTTTTAGGAGGATTCATCTAGAAGCAACAGATAGGATGGATACACGCAGGGTAAGAATGGAGTTTGATTCTTGCCGTAGTAAAGGGAAGTGTTAATGAGGATGTGAACTGGGGCAGTGGCAATTATGACCTTTGGGATACACAAGCTGGAAGTGAAGCTGGGTCTGGTCAGGGGACAGGATGAGTTTGGTTTTGAAACTAGTGCATTTGAGATGCTGACGGGCCGTCCCCATGGGAATGTCCAGCTGGCAGCAGAGAAAATGAGCCGGATGGTAGGAGCAGTGGATTCGAGAACAGATCCTAAGGAGCTCCTGTGTTTAAGGCCAGGGGAAGGAGAGGGATGAGGGAAGGAGACAGAAAAGGACGCATCCCATGTGTGAGGGACCACTGAAATACAGCATCACAGAAGCCAAGGAATCAAAGAATTTCAAGGAGGAGGAGGAGCAGTAGCAGTGTCACCTGCTGCAGCAAGGCCAGGGCTCATGATCCCTGGGGCTGGGGACATCGCTGGTGTCAGCCATACAGGCAGCGTGTGCAGAACAACTCAGAACCTAGGCATTGAAGCAAAGGAGAAATTTAAGCTTAGGCCAAGGGAGTAGTATAGCTGAGGGAAGGATTTTGAATATATATATATATATATGTATATGTATATGTATACACACACACACACACACACATATATATATATTTTTTCTTTTTCTTTTTTTTTATATGGAAACTAGCTCTGTCACCCAGGCTGGAGTGCAGTGGTGCAATCTTGGCCCACTGGAACATCTACCTCCCAGGCTCAAGCAATTTTCCTGCCTCAGCCTCCCGAGTGGCTGAGATTACAGGCATGCACCATCATGCCCACTTTGGTTTTTTGTATTTTTTGTAGAGATGGGGTTTCACCATGTTAGCCAGGCTGGTCTTGAACTCCTGGCCTCAAGCGATCCACCTGCCTCGGCCTCTCAAAGTGCTGGGATTACAGGCGTGAGCCACCACACCTGGCCCTTTAAAAATACGTTCATTCATTTATTCATAGACATTAGCGATGGAAAGACATAGGCCTGTCTGTCAGTGAGGGATAAGGAGAGAGTGCAGAGACTGAAGATGTGAGCCGGCTGGGTCCGTGGAAATGGTTCAAGGACGGTTGGAGAAGGTGGAATGAACAAAAAGCCTTGGCTCAGGAGAGGCCCACTTTTCCTTCAGAGACAAGATGGAAGCTGCTGGTAAAGCTACAGAGGAAGTTAGAAGAAAAAAGATGTTGTTGGCCAGGTGCGGTAATCCCAGCCTGTAATCCCAGCACTCTGGGAGGCCGAGGTGCGCAGATCACCTGAGTCCAGGAGTTCGAGACCAGCCTGGGTGACATGGCAAAACCCAGTTATACAAAAATTAGCCAGGCGCTGTGGTGTGCGTCTGTGAGTCCCAGCTACTGGGGAGATTGAGGGTGAGTCTGGAGGCAGAGGCTGCAGTGAGCCAAGATTGTGCCACTGCACTCAAGCCTGGGTGACAGAGCGAGACCCTGTCTCAATAAAAATAAAAAAGAAAAAGGATGTTGTTTCGTGGGTGCAGAATTTCAGTTTGAAATGATGAAAAAGTGGCCGGGCACAGTGACTCATGCCTGTAATCCCAGCACTTTGGGAAGCCGAGGCGGGTGGGTCACCTGAGGTCAGGAGTTCGAGACCGGCCTGGCTAGCGTGGTGAAACCTCATCTCTACTAAAAATACAAAAATTAGCCAAGTGTGGTGGCGGGCGCCTGTAGTCCCAGCTACTCGGGAGGCTGAGGCAGGAGAATTGCTTGAACCCAGGAGGTGGAGGTTGCAGTAAGCTGAGATCGGGCCATTGCACTGCAGCCTGGGTGACTAGAGTGAAACTCTGTCTCAAAAAAAAAAAAGAAGACGAAAAGTTCTGGAAATGGACAGTGGTAGTGGTTATGCACAATGTAAATGTCCTCAAGAACACTGAAATGTACACTTAAAGTGGTTCAAATGGCAAATGGCAAATGTTATGATATGCATATTTTAACATGAGAAGAGAGAGAGAGGATGACCTTAATTTTTCAGTCAAGTAGAGGGTGAGGGTGAGGGCTGAGAGGTGGGCCCTTTGTGCATGAAGATTCAGCAAGAAGAGCTTTTGAGCACCCGTATCAGGGAATCCATAGCAAGCCCAGGAGAACTGGGGGCCAGAATGGGCCAGTCGAGGGGTGGAGATAAGTGAGCCTCCTTTCTTGGTAAATCCTAATCCTATCATGACCCTTCTTTGCTTAAATCTCATCAATGGCTTCTCATTTTTCTGAGGATAAAATTCTAGCTTCTCACCAATACCTCTCAGGCCAGGCATAAGCAGAGCCCTGCTCTGCCCTCCCACCCTGTCCCACACCACAGTTCCCCAAAAGTCCTTGCTTCAGCCACATGGGCCTTTGTGGGCCTTCAAATGTGTCAGGTGCATTCCCTCCCCAGGGCTTTTGCAGATGCTGCTCCCTCTCATCCTTCAGGCTTCAGCGTGAACGCCTCTCCTGAGCAGCGCCTCCTCAGGCCACTGCTGTTGGAATGGCCTCCCTCTTCCCATCTTCCTTCATCCCAGCACGTCCTTCATAGCCCTGGTCACATTGTGCAATGGTATCTGTGTGTCGTCTGTGGCTGTCCCTCTACTAGTCTGTAAATGTGACGGATGTAGGGACCTCTGGGTCTGTCCTGACTCTATATCTCCAGTGCCCAATAAAGCTTTAGGAAACTTGGTAAATATTGGTTAAATGAATGAATGAATGAATGGACCAATCATCTTGACTTTTCACAACAATGTCCAGCAGCCCAGGCATAAGAGAAAAGAAAGCAGACGGTGGTGATAACACCGGACCAGGACTGAGAGTGGGGAGGGTAAGGAATTACCGCTGTGAGGAAGAACCCTGCTGATGAATGATCCATTCTGAAGCCCAGGTTGGAAAGGGCAGTAATTGCAGCCAGGAAGAGGTAGATGGGCTGGATGAGAGAGGTCGTCTCAACAAGTGAAGGAATAGACATTCGTCATGCCCAGGTTTGTAATGAAGTGTTCAGTATGTGAGAATGTGTATGAGAAGTTGTGGGGGGAACTCTGGATTCAAATGAAATGGATTTATGAACCCACTAGGACCTTGAATAGACTGACTGAGACGAAAGTACCCAATCAAGAGATGCAAATATGCATGTTTATTTCATATTTATGCTCTTCATAGCAAATTGAGGGTTGTCAGGCCAAGGAGCCCATTAGACTCCTGCTCCAATTTACTCTGGGCCCAATATGGCCTGGAACATAAACAGTAGTAAAGGCAACTATTGAGCACTTGCTCTGAATCAGTGCTTGCACTTCACACATTAGCTCATTTAATCCTCACAATAGCCCTCTAGGGTAAGTAATTTTCTGAAGATCAGAAAGCCAGCAAAGTGGTGGAGCCCCCATTAAACCCAGGCCTCTCTGCCTGCAGTTACTGGACTTTTCCCATTCAGCCAGATTGTTACCAAGCATATGAGCCTTCACATTCATAGTCGCTGCTATTAAGGAGATTACAATCCTAATGCATTTGCAGAGGGGATTGAAATTGAAGGTAAACTCTTACAAGGTTTACAGAACACATATCTTCTATGTGCTCATATGAGACAAATAGTTCACCCAGCACGCAACGTTTATTACCAAATTACTTGAATTTGGGCCTAAAATGTTTTTTTTTGCTAAGGAGTCTTTAAAAATATCTTGCCTTGAAAAGGATCTTAGAGAAATTCCTTGATTACTTGACTGGAAAACCTGCATGAAAGTGCCACACACGGAGCCCCATTTACAGCCATTTTTTCTCCCTTTTTTGAGCACCAAATGGTATCTTTGGCATTCTGCAGATTGGACATAAGGTGTTGCCTTCGGGGCCATAAAACGAGAGTGACAATTTTCTGCTCCACTTAATGCTATACCCAATTTTAGTTTTCTGTTTGTAAAAAAAAAAAAAAAAAAAAAAATTATCAGGACCTGTAGTATAGGGAGCAGACTTTGGGTGGGGTTTTGTTGAAATTCCTGCTTGGTAGCTTAGAAGGAAAAAGGCAGATCAAAGTGAAGTAATGTGAGGAAATGTAAATATGAGGGTTGGTGGTGGTGGTGACCCTGGGGGAAGTGGCTTGGAGAGGATGATGAAATGCCATTCCATCTGACAGCAGATTTCCAAATAGAAGTGTATTTTCACCACTGGCTCACATGTACATAGTCAATGGAATGGATTATTTTTGCAAAAGTGAGTTCAGAAAATCTATTTTGATAATATTCATTCAATCTGCTTTGCTTTCCTGTTGATGTCAATATTTTCCAGCACAGGCAAGTGCTCATAAGACACACACAGGGTGCAGTCCTAGGCAGGAAGGCTTCAAAATCAGTCTCCTTTGTACAAGGCAGAGACACTTCCATTTGGGATCTGCTAGACTAGTTTTGAATCCTCCCGATAATAATCATGGCCCCAAAAGAAATCAACTGGAACTTCGAGAGATTTCTGCCCCCTTTCCCAACTCTTGCTGAACCGGTTAGTAAATGGTCGTATAAGCAATAAAGATATTAATATGCTTAAGAGTTGAATGGAGAATTGCTGTTGCATGGCAGAAGGAGTGTTCATGTTATGGCTCCCTGATTTATTTTTTCTTATTTTCATTTACATCTGTACTGCTCTTGAAGTGGCAGCAACATACATTCAATAGATTAATGTCAAGAATACAAGGCCAGGCACGGTGGCTCATAACTGTAATCCCAACACTTGGGGAGGCTGGGGCAGGTGGATTGCCTGAGCTCACGAGTTCAAGAACAGCCTGGGCAACATGGCGAAACCCAGTCTCTATGGAAAAAAAAAAAAAAAAAAAAAAAAGCTGGGTGTGGTGGTGCATGCCTGTTGTCCCAGTTACTCAGGAGGCTGAGGTGGGAGTATCACTCGAGCCCACAAGGCGGAGGCTACAATGAGCTGAGATTGTGCCACTGCACGAATAGAAAAGAATACAGTAGATTGGTTTAAATGGATCCCTCTCGTCTTAATCAGATCATAGCTGTGTGGGAAAGAAATTAAGCTATTAATAACTCAAGAATTTGGACAAGACTTACCTAGAGGGGAGTGACTGACAAACAAGACATTTTGCTTTTGCTTTTAGTCATAAATAATGCAGATTTCTGTGTGTTACTATGAGACTCTCACACCTCCCTCTAAGCATAAAGCTGACCGTAAACAACCTGTGGGAAGCCGCTTGTGGTTTCAGTGGATACCCACACTCTTCTATCCGTGATTTTAAAATACAAAGATGTATTAGTTTGCTAAGGCTGCTGTCATAAAATACCACAAACTGTGTGGCTTCAACAACAGAAATGTATTGTCTCACAGTTCTGGAGGCTGGAAGTCTGAGATCAAAGCGTTATGGGATCTGTTCCTTTCGGGGCCGGTGAGGGCGAATGCGTTCCAGGCTTCTCCCCTGGCTTCCGGTGGTTTGCTGCCCATCGTTGTTGTTCCTTGGCTGGTAGAGGCATCACCCGGATCCCTGCCTTCATCCTCACAAAATGATCTCCCTGTGTGCCTGAGACCGTATTCAAATTTCCCCTTTGTATAAGGACAGCAGTCAGATTGTAGTAGTGCCCTCCCTAATGACCTCATTCTAACTTGATTACCTCCACACCAACTCTGTCTCTAAATACAGTCACAATTAGGGTGGGAGACACAATTCAAACCATAACAAAAGAGTTGGCCTCTTGATTTAGGAGCTGATGAGCTAGTTTATAGATTGTATAGGCTCTTGATTTCTCCTTTGCCCTTTTTTTTTTTTTTTTTTTTTTTTTTTTTTTTTTTGCTGCCTAGTTTTGTGTAAGAAAAGTTAGATAAAGAAAAGGGGAAAGATGAAGTTGAAGCCGTGGTCTCTCACACTGTTGCACTGAGCTTTGGTATCAGGCCGGGGGTCAAAATGCGGCTTTTAGTTCGTGGTGTGTGCAGATGGCCTCTTGTCACAGTCGTAGATACACAGTGGTGGCTGCATTAAGTCTAGAATGCCAGACCTAATTACAAATGACAGTGATGAAGTCAGGATTGTAATCCAATTTAAAATGGGGACCCACAATATACAATATATCCCAGCGATGCTCACTGCTGTGCGATTCAATCATTTGACAGCTTCATCCAGTGTGCGGCCACGGCTGGTATTGCTTTAGGCTGTAAGGGTGTGAAGAAGGAGACCTCAGGGGACCCCCGACTCCATGGGGCAAAGCTGGGGCATCCCTACCCGGAGGCGCAGGGCCCAGGACAGTGCTGACGTACTGTCTGTGTCTGTGCTTGCTATAGATTGTGGCGCGTTGAGCACATGGGGACAGAGCTGACTGGCTTCCTATTAACCAACATTTTTACTCACGGGTCAGAAGGTGATGCGGCTCTTATAGAAACTCACCCCACACATCCCCACACCATTTTTTCTTCTCACCCATTCTCAAGACCTCACCCATGTGAGACATGTCTACTTTTCTCCATCTTCCCATCTCAGTAACTTATTTTAAGATAAATCATTTTAACAGCTTTCTCCTAGGGAAATTATTCTGAAATTTCGAGCAACAGCGTTTTTCCAGAACATTCTAAGACTCAGCAGTAACTTTTTAAGGGGGAAGACGTTTTAAAAAGAAATTTCATTTTACTAACTGCCACACTGCATAGCTTTTCTAGGGCTGTGGTTAGATTTACGGGAGAGAGGCACCAGAGTGGATTACAACACAGGACTGACCTTTTACCACCCGGCTGAAGCTCGAAAAACAAAACCAAATCCCATCTTACTAACCATACCTGCGTCTTTTCTGGGAAATACCCCAGAATACAAGTTTGTTTGTTTTTTAAGATGGTTTTCCTTCCCTGAGAGAACAATCCTGAAACTTAAGTCAATAAAGTTCTCATGCTACATAAGCATTTTGCCTCCTCGGGTCAGACTTGAGGCCTTTTCCCCCCTTTCTTCTCGAACATACATCAAGTGCCTTAGATCACGGTGCATCCTAGGCAGGTTATGCCATTTTAATCTCATAAATATGAAAATAAAAGACATAATCAGAGCAAAAACAGGACTTTTTATTTTTAAACCAAAGGAAGCCAAAATAGCAACAGAGAAGAAAGGAAATTAATTAGGACCGTCTCTGGGGCCAAGGTGCATTTGCCCTAGTTCTTTTTTTACTTTTCCCACTGTTTTTCTTCCTCCCCATTCCACAGCACTCAGCATCTTCTATCTTGTCTCCCTTGGTGTAGCTCTAGTGTTCTAATTCTATCCCATCTTCTTCTACTGAAATAATGAACTTTTTAAAGAGAAAATTAAGTGAATGTCTTTGTAGCAATGAACCTCCCCCTCTCGAGAATAAAAGGGAGCTTTGGAGATAAGGCAATGCTTAACCCAGTGAACGAATTGCTTACTGATGGGGTCAGGTCAGGTGGGGCCAGGGTGGCAGAGCTGACTCTGCCTACTGATATCGGCCATGTTAAGAATAATAGCTAATATATACTCAACATCTATTACCTGGCTTATATGTTAGCTTGTTTCTATTTTATAACAGCCCTGAAATGTAAAATGGTTTTATTTTATTTATTTATTTTTTTCCTTTTCTTTTTTTGAGACGGAGTCTCGCCCTGTCGCCCAGGCTGGAGTGCAGTGGCGCGACCTCGGCTCACTGCAAGCTCCGCCTCCAGGGTTCAAGCCATTCTCCTGCCTCAGCCTCCCGAGTAGCTGGGACTACAGGCGCCCGCCACCACGCCTGGTTAATTTCTTTGTATTTCTAGTAGAGACGGGGTTTCACCGTGTTAGCCAGGATGCTCTCGATCTCCTGACTTCGTGATCCGCCCGCCTCGGCCTCCCAAAGTGCTGGGATTACAGGCTTGAGCCACCTCGCCCGGCCAAAATGGTTTTATTTTACAAGAGAGGAACTGGAGGGTAAAACGGAATTAATTTCGTTGGCAACCTTGTTAGAGTTGGAAAGAGAACCCAGGTCTTTTTGACCCAAACATTCATCATCACCCTATAGCTAGTAATGATGGGAAGAGAACCAAGAGAACAGGGAGGCAGAGATCACTTAGTGCACTTGAAACAGAGTTATTTAAGATTCAGAATGTGGACGTGTCAGGGAAAGTCATTATGTTCCAGTGTTTCTCATTCTCCTTTAGCCATGGGTCAGGGTGAATTTAGACATGGCTACAGACGAGGCCTGGGAAAAGGTGAAAACCTCAAATGTATCCGTGCAATGGAATATTATTCAGCCTTCAAAAAGAAGATCGTGCCATATGTAATAATGAGTGAATCTGGAGGGTATTATGCTCAGTGAAATAAGCCAGTTACAGAAAGATAAACACTATGGCCAGGTGCGTTGGCTCATGCCTGTAATCCCAGCACTTTGGGAGGCCAAGGCGAGTGGATCCCAAGGTCAGGAGTTCAAGGCCAGCCTGACCAACATGGTGAAGCCCCATCTCTAATAAAAATACAAAAATTAGCTGGGTGTGGTGGTGTGTGCCTGTAATCCCAGTTACTCAGGAGGCTGAGGCAGGAGAATTGCTTGAACCCGGGAGGCGGAGGTTGCAGTGAGCCAAGATCACACCACTGCACTCCAGCCTGGGCAACAGAGTGAGACTCTGTCTTAAAAAAAAAAGAAAGAAAAGAAAAGAAAAAAGGAAGATAAACACTGCATATTCCACCTCTAGGAGGTACCTAAAATAGCCACACTCACAGAAGCAGAGAGTAGAATGGGGGTTGCCAGAGCCTGGGAGGAAGATTGAGATAGGGAGTTGTGAACCAATGGGTATAAAGTTTCAGTTACGCAAAATTAGTAAGTTCTGGAGGTCTACAGTACAACATAGCACCTATAGTTAACAATCCTGTATCGTACACTTGAAAATCTTTTAAGAGAGTAGATCTCATCTTAAGTATTCTTACCACAATAAAATAATAACACAAAACAAACCCTCAAATGTGCATGAATATTCCCCAGCAATGAGATGGGGTTTAGGAGGCAGGCAGTGGTGGAGAAAGCCAATGATTAGTTAGAGCCGGAGTGAGAGATTAGTGGGCAGAGTGTCAGAGAAGGACACAGGGCATGGAGGGGATTGGAGAGAGAAAGTAGCCAGAGGGATCTAGGGTTCCACGCAGGGAGAAAACAAGGGCAGTAATGAAGTAACTTGTCTTCTTGTGACTCTCAGCCTCTCCCTCTTGCTGGTTGCCTCCCGCTGACAGCATGAAAGATAAAGAAAGATGCCAGCTATGTCTGTCCCCTTCTATCAGGCAAACACTATCAGTGACACCCCTAGCATACTTGTGCTTAGGTCTTATTGGCCAGAACTATGACTCATGGCCACCCAAGGCTAAAAAGGAGGCTAGGAAAACAAGTCAATCAACTGGGATTATACCTACAAGGAAGGAGAGCTAGCAGCTATGTCTGCTGCTACTGTTGTCCTTATTCACATATTTGTGTCAACAACTCACCAGATTGCTTTTTACCTGAGACCATCAATGTTATAAGAAAGGAATTTATGGCCGGGCCCGGTGGCTCACGCCCATAATCCCAGCAATTGGTGGCTTACGCCCATAATCCCAGCACTTTGGGAGGCCAAGGCGGATGGATCATGAAATCAGGAGGTTGAGACCATCCTGGCTAACAGGGTGAAACCCCGTCTCTGCTAAAAATACAAAAAATTAGCCGGGCGTGGTGCCGTGCGCCTGTAGTCCCAGCTACTCGGGAGGCTGAGGCAGGAGAAACGCTTCAACCCGGGAGGCGGAGGTTGCAGTGAGCTGAGATCGTGCCACTGCACTCCAGCCTGGGCGACAGAGTGACACTCCATCTCCAAAAAAAAAAAAAAAAAAAACGAAAGAAAGGAATTTATACAGGATGAAGACAGACCCAATGATGTGAGCAATGGGAAGGAGACTTTTGATTTATGGTGTACTTGAAAAAAGGTTTACGAAGAGTTTCAAGTGCAGATTGTTGTGTAGACAGAAAATAGCCAAGCCATTGGTGGGCCCAAGGTGGATGTAGGAGCAGGTAAAGAGAGCAGAATGCAATGGCAGTAATGATGAACCCAATTTATTTTGTAATTTTCCCGGGATCAACAACTTCTTTGTTGTACTAGTTGCTAAAAATCTCCAATGCCTTTTTTTTGCCATGCAAACTGAACTTCACAGATGCTTACTGTAAAAAAGTACACCCAATGACCTTTTCCAAGAGGATAAGAAAGATGCTAACAACCTGCAGCACTGTTGAGGCTGCAGGTGAAAGGATCTAGGGTGTAGGTCACTGATGCTTCTTGGAATCAGCCTGGCCATACCCTGAGCTGTTTGGCCTCAGAGGGGTGGGCCATGGTGACACCCTAGAAGCGGCCTGAACTGGGCTGTAGGCTGTTAGTGTCAATCTTGAATTCTTTACCAAGATCAAGGCCAATCATGAATTAGTTCAGCAGAAGAGCCAAAAGGAGGGAGATCATGAATTATTCCATTTAAATTCTTTTCTCTCATTTTTTCCTGGTTAATTTTCCTTTAATTTCATTTTGGAAGTTCCTTTGGCTGTGAAAGCTTGGGTTTTCCCTGCTGTGAGATCAGGACACTAGGCTTTGGAGGGATCATTTACATTTTTGGTCTCTTGATGGACAGAGCTGCTGTCTGCTCATAAAGGCAGACGATGACTCTTTGTGGATGCCGCAGTGGGCAACAGCTCTTTCTGTGACTTGCCAAAGGTCATTTATCGAGCTAGGAAGGAACCACCATCTTTGGGATTTCAGTTGACCTTGTAGCCACAGGAGGCCCAGAGGAGGGTTTTTTCCCTTCAGTCTAACTTGTGTCACTTCCAATCAAATATTTGGCATCGAATCACTGGAAGATGATTTTTAAAACTTGCCCTATTTAAAGAGATTCCATTGATTTATCATGTTAATGCTGTAACTCAAATTCCCAACATGCAAATAAGAGTGATTTATGAAAACACTATCGTCTAAAATTATAACTCCTGAAGATGGGTATATTTTTCTTCTTTGGTGTCGAATCGCTCCAAACAAGCTCTGATTGCATTAACTATACATTACGCACTGAAAGGCAAACTCTCTTCAAGGCTAGGTTTTTGCACTTTCTTACTACAACTAAAAACATTTCTTTAAAAATTAAGTAAAATATTTGTATTTACAGAAAGTCAGATAATGGAAATTGTTCTACTTATTTTAGAATTTTAATATTCTAGTGAGATTAATATGTTAAAACCATTTAGTTTTTTTTCAATGGCCAAAATATATTTATCAGGTGCCTATGCTAGAGTACTATATTAGGCATTGTACAAAACAAACAAACAAACAAAAAAAAAACCAAAAAAAAACCCATGATTTTCTTGGAAGTAGTTTTCAATTTAGGGAATAAATTAGTATTTTTTTTCAAGTCCATAAAATTCATTTCAAAGTGATTTGAAAATTAATTGGCCGGTACGGTGGCTCAGGCCTGTAATCCCAGCAATTTGGGAGGCCGAGGCGGGCAGATCACCTAAGGTCAGGAGTTCAAGACCAGCCTGGCCAAAATGGTGAAACCCCGTCTCTACTAAAAATACAAAAATTAGCTGGGCGTGGCAGTGGGTGCCTGTAATCCCAGGTACTCAGGAGGCTGAGGCAGAAGAATCGCTTGAACCCAGGAGGTAGAGATTGCAGTGAGCCAAGATTGTGCTGTTGCGCTCCAGCCTGGGCAAAGGGAGTGAAACTCTGTCTCAAAAAAAAAAAAAGAAAGAAAGAAAGAAAAAGAGAGAGAGAAAATAAAAGAAAATTAATATCATTGGCTGTTTTTAAGTTCATCTTTCCCTCCTCTGTCATCTCACAGGTATTAGTAAGAACCGCTGTTACACTGCGTGCCACACTGAATTTCAACTATCCCTCTATCTGCTTTGTCTTCTCTCCCAGCCAGTAAGCTACTAAATGATTTTGGATGAATAAATAAACATCTAGGAATGGGAAAGAGAGCAAAATTGAACAAATAGTAATGAATTAGAGTAATCCTTTAAAAGGTGGAAATTATTGGAACAGATATGCAGTTTAAATAAGTTGCAGACTAAGATAGCAGCATAAAACATACAGGAATATGGCCGGGCGCGGTGGCTCAAGCCTGTAATCCCAGCACTTTGGGAGGCCGAGGTGGGCGGATCATGAGGTCAGGAGATCGAGACCATCCTGGCTAACACGGTGAAACCCTGTCTCTACTAAAAATACAAAAAATTAGCAGGGCGTGGTGCCGTGCACCTATAGTCCCAGCTACTCGGGAGGCTGAGGCAGGAAAATGGCGTGAACCCGGGAGGCGGAGCTTGCAGTGAGCCAAGATCGTGCCACTGCACTCCAGCCTGGGCGACAAAGCCAGACTCCGTCTCAAAAAAAAAAAAAAAAAAATACAGGAATATTTGCATCTTGTTCCCCCAAACTTAGTTAGGTTGCTTTTATTGGTGGAGGGTAACAAGAGTGGACATAAATGTTTCATTTTTGGACCATCAGAGTTTTTTTTTCCATTCAACTCGGAGAGATCCCACTCTTATTCACACCAGTATCATCTCTAGTGGGTCCTATTGCAATAGCCTCGTGGTGGGATTTTCCTGACTGCTATGGTCTAAATGTTTATGACCTCCAAAATTCGTATGTTGAAATCCTAGCCACCCAAGGTGATGGTATTAGGAGATGGGTGTTTTAGGAGGTGATTAGATCATGAAGGCGGAGACATCATGAATAAGATTAGTGCCCTTATAAAAGGGACCCCTGAGATCCCTCTCACCCCTTCCACCAAGTGAGGACACGGCAAGAGGTTGCTGTCTATGGGCCAGAAAGTGGGCCCTCAGCAGACACTGAATCTGCCTTAATGTTGGACTTCCCAGCCTCCAGAAGTGTGAGAGGCAAATTTCTGTTGTCTGTAAGCTATCTAGTCTATGGTATCCTGTTATAGCAGCCCTAGCCGACTAAGACACTCACCCCTCCACTCAATCACTCTCCAGATTATAGGCCTTATTAATGCCATCCTCCACTAAAGACCACCCAATGCCTCATCATCATTGTAAAAGAAAAGAAAGCCAAGCATCTCAGTATAACCCCCCTGCCGGGCTTCCTGACACTAATTGCCCATCTATCACCAAGTCAACCATGTAAGCTTCTTGCAGCCCTTGAGCTTGCCATGTTGTCTCATGCCTCCATGTGGACTATCCTTTCCTCTTGTAACCCCATCCCCAGCCTTCCAAACTCAGCTCAAAGGGTAAATCCCTGGAGAATCTTCCCTTCCTTTTCTCTCTTCCTTTCTGGATGACTTTATCTGCTTCTATTATAACCTCTCCTACTCCACTGGTGTTATTTTGCTTACATAATTGTCCCCGGTGTACTGGCCGGAACTGGGTCCAGTTCATCTCTGTGTGTCTGAGGATCCAGATGGTATGTGTTACATTGTCCACGCTTACTTCATATCTATGGGGATGAGTGAGTAAAGGAATAAATGTAGACTTCAATGGAGAGAGAGGATTGCAGGACATTTTTGAATGGCAGGGATGAGAGGTGTAGAATGGTCTTGAATTCCAAAGTATATGTGAACCTAAGTTCCAAATACTGTCATTATTTTTAGTGAAGCCCCCTTTCTGGTCCTGGAGCAGCGGTTCGCTAAGTGGCGTATTAGTCCGTTTTCACACTGCTGATAAAGACATACCTGAGACTGGGTAATCTATAAAGAAAAAGAGCTTTAACGGACTCACGGTTCCACATGGCTGAGGAGGCCTCACAATCACAGCAGAAGGCAAAAGGTATATCTTACGTGGCTGCACACAAGATAGAGAATGAGAACCAAGCAAAAGGGGTGTCCCCTCATAAAATCATTACGTCTCATGAGACTTATTCACTACCAAGAGAACAGTATGGGGGAAACCACCCCCATGATTCAATTATCACCCACCAGGTCCCTCCCACACTGCATGGGAATTATGGGAGCTACAATTCAAGATGAGATTTGGGTGAGGACACAGCCAAACCGTATCAGTGAACTCCCCAGACCAGCAGTGTCAGCATCGTCTGGGAATTTATCAGAAATGCAGATTCTCAGGCTCCACTGTAAACCCACTGAGGCAGAAACACTAGGGGTGGACTAGCAATCTGTTTGAACACGCCCTCCAGGTGATTCCAAGGCAGCTCCAATCTGAGAACCGTGGCCTTCAGAAGTAAGAAAGTCAGGCCAGGCATGGTGGCTCACACCTGTAACCCCAGCACTTTGGGAGGCTGAGGTGGGTGAATCACCTGAGATCAGGAGTTCAAAACCAGCCTGACCAACATGGTGAAAACCCGTCTCTACTAAAAATACGAAATTAGCTGGGCGTGGTGGCGCATGACTGTAATCCCAGCTACTCGGGAGGCTGATGGAGGAGAATTGCTTGAACACAGGAGGTGGAAGTTGCAGTGAACCGAGATCGTGCCATTGCACTCCATCCTGGGCAACAAGAGCGAAACTCTGTCTCAAGAAAAAAAAAAAAAAGAAAAGAAATAAGAAAGTCAGGATTTCATAATATGCTGGTGTCCTGGCTTGAATTCAGTGCAGATTAATAAGTTTCCACTGGCTTACCTGCATGAGGAAAACTGCTAGTGACTACCTTTCATGTACTAAGTTCCTAAGACTCCCCCATTCAGGTCTACTCTCCTTTCTTACCCTGGGTTTCCCACACCCCTCTGCTTCAAATGGCAGAACAGAGAGTTCTAGAGGATAAGATCTAGAGCTTTGATTAACATGAAAAGAGATAGCTGGAATGAAAAAAAAAAAAAAGCCTGTTTATGTTGGAACAAGTCTACTAGCCTCTGGGTTTGTCCTGCTGCATTGAGGAGAAGGAAGGAGACAGCAGCAGGTAATTGACAGATCACGGCCTGTGTTAGAATCCTACCTCCAGTTAGAAGCCGGCAGACTCCTTACCTTTCCTGGGCCCTACTTCACCAAATGTGGAAGGGAAATAATACTAACCACCCATGGGGTTATTGTGAGGATCAAATGGGACACCCCTTTATGCAGGAGCTCAACACACGCTGACCCCTTCCCTTCCCCCACCACTCGATAAAAGGCCTGGACTGGGCCAGATTCACAAGGGGATTTAAGGGCAGAGCTGAATCCCTCTTTTTGGTGACACTCTGAGGCTGGGTTCAGCAAGTTTTGGTGATAGAAGGACCCTGATAGAGTTGCAAGATAAAATACAGGGCATCCAGTTAAGTTTAAATTTCAGATAAACAATGAATAATGTTGTAGTGTAAGTGTGTCCTGTGCAATATCTGGACATACTTATGCAAAAATATTATTCCTTGTTTATCTGAATTTCGAAGTCAAGTCAATTGGGTGTCCTGCGTTTTTATTTGCTAAATCTGGCAACCTTGGGGTAAAAGCAAGTTCCATAGCACGACTTTTCTCCCCACTCCCTAATATTTTAATAAAGACCATTTCTGACTGGGCGCGGTGGCTCACGCCTATAATCCCAACACTTTGGGAGGCCAAGGCAGGCGGATCACCTGAGGTCAGGAGTTCAAGACCAGCCTGGCTAACATGGTGAAACCCCATGTCTACTAAAATTACAAAAAATTAGCTGGGCGTGGTGGTGCGCCCCTGTAATCCCAGCTACTTGGGAGGCTGAGGCAGGAGAATCGCTTGAACCCAGGTGGTAGAGGTTGCAGTGAGCCAAGATAGTACCATTGCACTCCAGCCTGGGTGACACAGCAAAACTCCATCTCAAAAAAAAATTCTGAGCAGAACATGCTGGTCACACCTCATGGGGAAACCTAGCACCAAAAGACACTGGGTGATGTGGAGTTGGAGGAGAGTCCCATCAAATTGTCTTGGAAATGTGGGAGAAGAAAAGGAAGGAAGGCTGCGGGCTGATGATGATGGTTCATGTCTCAGAGTCTTGCCTCCACCAGCAGAAAGACAGGAAGCCACCTCTTTCCCTAGCTCCCCGCCCCAGGCACGTCTGGAGCTACAGTTATGGTCATCTCCCTCCCCATTCCTGTGGACTTACAGCACAGCTCGAAGTCAGATATTTAAAGCAAGGAGCATTCTTTTTAGGATTTCATGACGCTATTTTTATTTCCCAAAGTGGTATCATTCTGGTACAGAGACTTCACTAAATCTAGCAGTTGAGTTGGAACTTAAAATATTTGCTTATTTTTACTCCTTTGAAAATGATTAGCAGTTGAATTATTTAAACTAGAAAGAGATGAGGGAGTTAGAAGGGAGGGCTGCCCGCCCCAGGCACAGCCAGGGGAGAGTGCTAAATGTGGTTATCAAGAGATCAAAGAACCAAGGAGAGACTCCTTTGATCTGATGCTTGTCAGAGTTGCAATTAGATCTTTGAGACGCTGCACTTGGCCTCCCCTCCCTTCTTCAGTATTTCTTCTTTCTTCATGGACACCTGGGAGTGCCAGACCAAGGCAGGTCCCAGAAAAAGCCGGTGTGGCTATGTGAGATCCAAGTGTGCCCTAGGACACGGGAGGCATAATCTTTCTCGGAGAAAATCCCTTTTATAAATGCATTAGCTTTTTTTTTTTTCTTTTTGAGATGAAGTCTCGCTCTTGTCGCCCAGCCTGGAGCGCAATGGTGAAATCTCGGCTCACTCCAACCTCTGCCTTCTGGGTGCAAGCGATTCTCCTGCCTCAGCCTCCGAGTAGCTGGGATTACAGGCACGTGCCACCACAGCCGGCTAATTTTTTGTAGTTTGTAGAGAGGAGATTTTGCCATGTCGGCCAGGCTGATCTTGAACTCCTGACCTCAGGTGATCTGCCCCCTTCAGCCTCCCAAAGTGCTGGAATTACAAGCGCCCTCCACCACACCCGGCTAATTTTTGTATTTTTAATAGAGACGGGGTTTCACCATGTTGGCCAGGCTGGTCTCGAACTCCTGGCCTCAGGTGATCCACCCACTTTGGCCTCCTAAAGTGCTGGGAATACAGGCGTGAGCCACTGCGCCCTGCCACAGTTGCTTATTTTTAAGGCCTGGGGGAAAGGTGAATGGGGTCCCTCACCCCCACACCCGTTATACCTGCAAATGCCTGTTCCAGTGTATGAGCTGATATGAATCACACTGTGCTTCCAATGCTTTCCCTTTGATACAAATAGGAAAGGTACCCAATTGGCTGGGACTAACTTTGGGGTTGTCTGGATTTTCCAAAGGTTTGAGAGTGGGAAACCCAGGTGAGGTCTGTCAAATCTAAGCAAAGTTGGCTTCACATCCAAGCCAAATTCTACCCCTACTGATTTCTGTGACTTTTTTTGCTAAACAATGTAAGACAATGCAATCAAACCTAGAGGTCTTCTCTGCCTTCCTGTTACCCTGAAAAGCGGCTCATGGGGGACTTTAAGATGTTATTTATGGCAATCCCCTAAGCAGCCTCAGTCTTACTCTGATGATTTTTTTACACGATTTATACCAGTCCAAAGAATTCAAGAATAATGGGTATATTTCTGCAGCTGAGCCAAACATTTCTTCTCTATCAGTCTGTGCATGACACAGAATGTCTTGTGGTTTTAATATTTGTTTCCCTAATGGACAAGATTTGATAAATGTGTTTCCTAATCCCGAGCTATTGAAATATTGATTCTCATCCTGACTGGCCTCCTGGGAACGGAGCCAGCATATCTGCATCTCTGGGCTCTGAATTTAGGCTATTGCCCTGCTGGCCTAGCCTGTGAACACAAGGATGAGATTAGATTTGCTTGGGGGTGGGAACTGTAAATCCCAGTGAAATAGCTGTCTGGCCTCATTTCTATTTGACAGAATAGGGCAGCCATTCCCCACATTTTTGGCCAGTGTTATCATGTGTTTACCTGAATATCCTTCTTGCTTCTTTCTTCCTATTTGATTTTAATGTATACAGGCTGTCCAGTGAAAAGAAGAAAAGAAATCCTAGCTAAAGATTCATTTGAACTTCTGAATAGGATTGTCTGAAGGATGTAAAATATTTTACAAGGAATTCCAGAAAGATGAATAACTCACACCATGCCAAAAATGTTACCTGACATGAAAAAATATTAGAGGCCTTTCCATTACTTCTGTGACCTTTGAATGGAGATGAAAGATGGTTTGGACCCATGCTATCACAACCTGGTGCTGGACATAGTATCTGATAGGCTGTAATTCCATCCCATTTGAAGACGGGTGGGGAATATGTGTGACTGTTTATCATACATCCATTCAACCTCTTCAGACCATGACAATATTTAGGAAAAAGAACACAGGTGAACCCCGAGGAGATGAATACACCTTTTTACAACATGCTTAATGTCTTCTAAATATTGCTTAGAATATTTAGAATATTGCTTTTCTTCATCCCATTTCTTCCACCATTTTCCCAGTTTGGGCTATCACAATAGTCCCCTAGATCAGGATGATAACCTCCTAATTGGCCTTTGTCCCATATTTATCTCCCATCCTGTAGCCAAACTGAGGTCTCGAAAGTGCCTACCTGTGTACAATCCCCTAGCGTTCCCTATTACCCTCAGTCCCATGTTTCTTATCTAACATATATGGTCGTCCATGATCTGACCCATCTCCCTTTGCGGACTTGGTTTCCTTCCAATCCCATCTTGAACTTCACCTTCTAGAAACACTGAAATGCTGTTATCCCGGTTTGCCTTTGCTCATGAAGTTCATTTTTCTTGGAGGTCCATTTCTTTCTCTTTTCCTTGGCTTTCCTTCTCTGTGACTGGATATCTCCTCCAGGAGTCCTCCACAATGGCCTCCTCTCCTGACATTAATGGCCTTTCTTTTGCACTTTCTTAGCAGTACCTGTGTTTGGTTCCATCACTGCCATAACCACAATTACTGATCCCTTGGCCCATCTATCTCCTTGGTGACATTGTAAATTCCTTGAGAGTACATACATGCCTTTTCCACATTTGTAACCACAGTGACTGTGACTCACTCAGTGCATAATGCAGAGTATTTTGAACTAAATTCAGGAGAAGATTCTGCAAGTAGAAACAGGAATAATAAAGTCAAAAAGAAATGGGCATTGTTAACATTCTGATTTTGGTAACAACCCTTTAAGGAAAAATTATCATCACCATTTTATCAATGAGGAAACTCAGAATCACAGTGATTAAGAGTTTGGCTAGGAGTCACAGAAAGCAAATGAAAGAACCCCAACTTGACTGTGAGCACCTCCAGGAAAGGATCAATAAAGATCAATAAAGATTTGTTGAATTGAACCAGTTGCTAGAATATCAGCAAGCTTTGCTCTGAGTAGGTTCATCATCAGATCACATGTAGGAAGAGGCTCTCTAAAACCCATCTAATTTGTCCTCTTGTTTGTGTAGGGTTATCTTAACAGTACCAGTTTGACATAGTAAAAATTAGTTAATAGTCTCTTGGATTTAAAAAAAGTTATTTATTAGTCCACTCAGCACTCGGCAAGTATTTATTGAATACTTATTATATACCAGGCACTGTGTGTAGAAGAATGTGATTTAAAGCAAGAAAACCTGCCCTAATGAAGCTTGTATGGCAAATAATCGGCCTAGAAAAATTCCTCTAATAATGTAGAATGTACTAACCCTTGACTCACCAGTGAATGAGATATTTTATCAACTGGACTCATGTAAATCATGCACACTGGTGGCACAAATAGCTAAAGCCAGAAGCATTTATGAACCACCAAAGAGTTCCTGGATCTTTTGAGTTTGTTAGTTGCAATAGAAAGGACTGTAAGCATAAAAGGAAATTATTGAAACTGTATTAGTTGGCTCAGAGAACCACTAGGGTAGCTGGAGGAGCAAGCTTGGGAATTGGGCAGAAACAAAGGGATGCAATGCCTCCGATCCTTGGCTAACATTCGTCTGGAGAATAGGCAGTGGGGACACTGCTGTGCCATTGGTTCCCACCAGTCAATGTGTTCTGCCCAGCTGCCAGTGCTGGACTCAGATATTGCTAGTACCACTGCCACCACCAAGAATTACTCTCTGTTCTCACATCTGAATGTCACCAGCCCCTGCTCCTTATGGGTACATATAATTGATGAGTGCTGTGCATACACGCGGCTGTGCCCTGGCTGTAAGGGATGCTGGGAATACAGGTACCCCACTCTGTAGCCACTATAGAGGATAAGGGCCCTGCCTCTCCAGAAGTCTTATACATAGGGGAATTCGGCATCTGAAGAGCCAGAAGCATGGCCAATGTCCATTATAGTCACAACACATTTTTTTTTTTTTTTAGTCTTAAGATTGAGATGTCTTGGCCGGGAGCAGTGGTTTACACCTGTAATCCCAGCACTTTGGGAGGCCGAGGTGGGCGGATCACGAGGTCAGGAGATTGAGACCATCCTGGCCAACATGGTGAAACCCCATGTCTACTAAAAATACAAAAATTAGCTGGGCATGGTGACGCACGCCTGTAGTCCCAGCTACTCAGGAGGCTGAGGCAGGAGACTCACTTGAACCGGGGAGGCGGAGGTTACAGTGAGCTGAGATTACAGCACTGCACTCCAGCCTAGGCAACAGAGTAAGACTCTGTCTTGAAAAAAAAAAAAAAAATGATTGAGATATCTTACCAGTGACCACATCATACAATATGAGAACAAATAAATATTTGAATATTTACCTTTTTCTAACAATACTAATGGAATTTCTGAACTGCCTTTGGTTATTAGGTTCACTTCGTTTTACAGAAACAGTTTCTATAGAACACGTTTTATAGAAATTGTGATCAAAGTTTCACCATATGCCTTTCTTTCTGGAAGTAATAAAAAATGGAAAAAAAAAAGGAACAATAATACATTATGACAATATATGTTTTCCTCCCTCCCTCTGTCCCTTCCCCTCCTTCCCTCCCTCCCTCCCTCCCTCCCTTCCTTCCTTCTTTCCTTCCTTCCATAAATGCTTACCAAGTGCCTACCATATGCCAGGCCCTGTGTTTGGTGCTAGAAAATCAAAGATAAATAAGACATGCTCTTTACCTTCATGCTGTCCTCAATATCATAAGGGAAGACAGACATGGAAGAAATAATTGCCCTGAAATGTTAGTGGTGTTGGGATAGAAACAGGGTTCCATTGGAATACAAAAGCTAGAGTGTTTCTTTTCACCCTGTGGAAACGAGAGGTTAGATAAAGCTTCATGGAGGAGATGACATTTGAATTGAGCCTTCAAAGCCATAAGTGGTCACCAGGCTGAAAGCAGACGGACATCTCCGGGGCAGGCAACTCATAATGAGAGAGGCGTTTGAACCAGAGCAACTTCATCTTGAATAGGGGCTGAGTAAAATAAGGCTGAGACCTACTGGGCTGCATTCCCAGGAGTTTAGGCATTCTAAGGCACAGGATGAGATCAGAGGTCGGCATAAGAGACAAGTCACAAAGACCTTGCTGATAAAACACAGTGAGGTAAAGAAGCCGGCTAAAACCTACCAAAACCAAGACAGCCATGAAAGTGACGTCTGGTCGTCCTCACTGCTCACTATATGTTAATTACAATACATTAGCATGCTAAAAGACACTCCCACCAGTGCCCTGACAGTTTACAAATGCTGTAGCAACATCAAGAAGTTACCCTACATGGTCTAAAGCGGGGAGGAACCCTTAGTCTCAGGAATTGCCCACCACTTTCCCAGAAAACTCATGAATAATCCACCCCTTGTTTAGCATATAATCAAGAAATAACTATAAGTATAATTAGTCGGGCAGCCCACGCCACTGCTCTGCCTATGGATTAGGCTTTCTTCTGTTTCTTTACTTTTCTAATAACCTTGCTTTCACTTTACTGTATGGACTCACCCGGAATTCTTTCTTGCGGGAGGTCCCCTGCTCTCTTGGGGTCTGGGTCAGGCCCCTTTTCCAGTAACAATAATGACAGAATAGGGGCCTAAAAAAGAGGTGATCAGTGAAAGGGTCTCTAAGGGCTTGTGGTGGCTGGGTCCTAGAGTCTAGGGAGGAGGGGAGGGGAGGGGGCTGGTGGACCCTGAGAAACACAGCCTAACTGAGAGAAGAGAAGGCATTGCACTTCAAACGCTAAGAGGTGTGGAGCTTATCTGGACAGCATAGAGAGCTGTAGAAGGCAGTAACATGATCAGATTTAGGTTTTCAAAAGATCACAGTGGCAGTGAGGAAAAAGATTTGGAATGGGATCAAAAGCCAGGGGACCACCTAGGAGACAATGCAGTCCAGGCAGAAGATGAGAAAATCCTCAAGTACTGCAGGAGCAATGGGAATGGAGAAGAGGAGATAAAATAATTTTTTAGGGTCAGGCATGGTGGTTCACGCCTGTAATCCCAGCACTTCGGAAAGCCCGAGGCGGGCGGAGCACCTGAGGTCAGGAGTTCAAGGCCAGCCTGGCCAGTGTGGCTAAACCCCGTCTCTACTAAAAATACAAAAATTAGCTGGGCATGGTGGCAGGCACTTGTAGTCCCAGCTACTCAGTAGACTGAAGCAGGAGAATGGCGTGAACCTGGGAGGCAGAAGTTGCAGTGAGCCAAGATCGTGCCACTGCACTCCAGCCTGGCGACAGAGGGAAACTCTATCTCAATAATAATAATCATAAAAATTTTTTAGGAGCTGGAATCTGTAGGGCTCTGTATGGCTGAGAAGAAAGGCTGGTGGTGCCATTCCCCAGAGAAGCCTAGAGGAGTAACAGGATCTTGTCTGGGAAGAGGAGGCTGGTTGGGTAGAGACAAACTAACACACTAGGTTTTGACCGTGTTGATTTTGAAGTGCCTGTGGATCATCCAGTAGAAAGGCAGCATTGGTAAAGGAGCAGAGTTCAGGAGAAAGGTCCAGGCTTAGGGTCAAAAACAGAGATTCAGGTCTATAGTTATCTCACCAAGAAACCTCTAGGCTCTCCCAGAAGTGGAGACTAGAAGAAACCTAACAACGTATGTCCCTAAGTGTGAAACTGGAAATTCAGGCTTAGTCTCTAAATTCCAAAGCAGGAGCAAAATCTCAGACAACTGAAATCTCCTAAATCTCAGACAATTTAAAATTTAAAAAAAAAAAAAGCATTACATTTAGGAGGAGTTACAAGTTTTGACAATAGAAAAGACACTAGGTTAGCAGTCCTGTCTGTGTCCTTCCATACAAATTCAACCCACCACTTGCTTTGTGACGGCAGGAGATTAATCTGGACTCGATTAGTTTTTCTTTGCAAAATGAGAACTGAATGAATTCTGTGGTCTCTTGTGGGGTCCCACCCTGGCTGCAAATAAAGCCACATCCTTTCGTTTTTCAAATTAAACCTGACTTGAGCTTCCAGAGATTGTCAGAGTATCCAATCCCTCTTTCTAAATTGCCCAGATTACTCAGTTCTAGTAATAAACACCTTTTGGAGAGAAAACGGATATCTATGACCAGTCTGCTAGGTAGGAGGTGCTTTCACCCTTGTCACAGCCTCACTGCAGACCCACACGGTGACAGTTCAGTGCAGCCTCCTCTCCTGTGACGATGCCACTGCCGGCTTGGATCTTTGCACTGAGTGGTTCTTCAGGGGAGGATGTGATTGGCTCTGAAGGCTCACAACCCTTGGGTTGCATTTCTTTGCTGGGCCATTTCCTCCAACAACTTGTCAATGCCTGGGCCTAGAGGACTTTGCAGGCCCAGCCACGCCCTGCACCCAAACCACCTCTGTGCCATTCCGCTGTTGTAGAGTTGGATTACACTTCTACATACCCTCCTGGACATCATGGTGAGTTCCCCTTTCAGGAACACTTAGGGTCTTTTCCTGCCGACAGAACCCATTCAGCCCACTCCAATCCATCAGTTGAGTAGTTTGTGGACTTACTCATTTACTTTACATTAAAATGACTCTTCCCAGAGCAACGGACACCTCCAGGAAGACTTGCTATCTCTAGGATAGAAAAGTGATTGGCACATTTTAAATGGTGACCTTCTTTCATTTAAAAACAAAAGGTAAAACAATCCTAATTAGCAACAGTAAGAAAAAGTGTCAGAGGCCTTTGAACCAGAGCAACTCCATCTTGAATAGGAGCTGGGCGAAATGAGGCTGAGACCTACATACTGGGCTGCATTCCCAGATGGGTAAGGCATTCTGTCACAGGATAAAATATGAGGTTAGCACAAGATACCAGTCATAAAGACCTTGCTGATAAAATAGATTGCAGTAAAGAAGCTGGCCAAATCCCACCAAAACCAAGATGGCAATGAGACTGACCTCTGGCTGTCCTCACTGCAACACTCCCGCCAGCACCATGACAGTTTACAAATGCCATGGCATCAACAGGAAGTTACCCTGTATGGTCTAAAAAGGGGAGGTATGAATAATCCACTCCTTGCTTAGCATATCATCAAGAAATAGCCATAAAAATGGGCAACCAGCAGCAAGTGGGGATGCTCTGTCTACGGAGTAGCCATCCTTTTATTCCTTTACTTTCTTAATAAACTTGCTTTCACTTTACTCTATGGACTTGCCCTGAATGCTTTCTTGCATGAGATCCAAGAACCCTCTCTTGGGGTCTGGATCCAGACCCCTTTCCTATAACAAAAGGAGAAGACGAAAGGAAGGATGAGGATATCTCACTCTGAGAAGCAAAACTTGTGTCAGTCAGCAACCCATTAAGCGGAGGCAGTCACTGATTGGAAATCATCTGCCAGGGTCCAAGTTTTCAGCTGAGTCTGTGGGAAATTGGTGCAGTATGTGGGTAGGGGGAGTCCATCTCCATGACAGAAAGGATGGGTGGTGGTCACCACCACCACCACCCACCCAGCAGCCACCTGGCCACATATGGTGGCCATATGCTGTGAGGGCCCTTCCTGCTTTCTCTCCTCTTGGATATAAAAGTGAGGGCCAACCACAGGCTGCCCAGAGTCCTGGGGGTGAGAGTGTCCATCCTGAGGCATCAAAAAAGTGTGGGTGGAGGCTGAGTGATTTTCAAAAAAGAGAAAGGGCAGCTTTGCAATGCAGTGTGGGGAGAGCAGACTGGGCTGATGCATGAGGCCGCAAAACAACCCAGAAAAACATCTCCGTGGCTTGCACAATCATCCTCTGAATATGTGTCATCAAACACGAGACCATCTTTACCTGGCAATAACGCAGCTGAAATCAGTCATTTAAGGAGTTTCTCACTATTACTGAGCCCAACATGGTCTTTAACTGTTGTCTACCCCATAAAAAAAAAAAAATAGGAGGCTGAAGTGCAGGAAAATTTTTTTTTCTTCTTAATCACATGAAATGTTGTGAGTACACGCCAGAGAATAGGCCTGAATTGGATGTTTTTTGATGCCTTAAATTTAAACAGCTGGGCTTTTTTTCTTTTTTTCTTTTCTTTTTTACAGTAGCTGCACTATCCTGTTTAACTTTTGAAATGAAGGATTTGAGTTTTCATAGGGAATCTACATTTCATCTTAAAGCTGGAACACAGCATCTTTAACTTTTCTCTAAAGTTGAGTTCTCTGCGGATCAGGATCCTCTTTTTGCTTCTTGTTCATCTTGTATGTCTGGGATATCATAGAGACAGAACCTAGCCGGAATATATACCTGGTAGTTCCAGGACCCTACATCCCATCAGATGCAAACCTAAGAAAGTGACTTGCTGATCTCTGGTTTTGTAATTAGAGAACAAGCCAAGAGAAAAGGTACACTTTTATAACTAGTGGTTGCTATAATTAAAGTTATTAGTTAAGGAAGAGCTGTTACTTGGGGCAAAACAATCAGAAGGAAATTTTAGCAATTAAGTCAAATTCATTGCAGTGGTGAATTTTTTTCCCTTCTGGAAAACAAAACAACCTTGGGTAAGTGTTCTCAAAGAGCATCTTGACTCTGCAGTGGCTGGAGAGCAAACAGTGAACAGTGAACTGTGCTGTTGACTCTATCAGTAGGTTAATTAAGAAAGCTGTTAGTGATGATAAAAAAGGCCAGCACATTTTCAGTTCATATTGACAAAATCCATGACATCGGCAGAACTGATGTTTGTTCAATACGAAGAAGACATGCTAGAGGCATTTAGGGGAAAAGGAGGACAAAGGAAGCTGATAGTTCAGTACGGGATGTCCCGTATTAACGTTAGCAGAGTTGTTCATTTGAAATTCCATGTGTCGTTTCCTCTCCTATAAATTATGTAAGCAGAGGTGTTTAGGGCCTCAGATTCCATCAGGAAAAAAAAAAAAAAACCTAGTTCTCTCATAATGGGGTAATCACAAAGGAGCACTGATTTGGGAGCTGAGAGACTGAATTCTGATTCTAGATCTGCATCTAACGTGCTGTGTGGTTGGGGACAGTGGATTTGACTCCGTGGGTTTCCATTTCTAGACTCTATGTATCTTTTAAGTACAGTCCAGTTTCAGAAACACAACAAACCTACCTTTCCTATGTAGCATCTTCCTTTGGGGGAAATACGTCCAAAACTTCAATATGGGATGATAGGAACCTATTGCCCACCGGGCATTACCAGTCCACCTGATCCACCCGATGGGCTGAGTGAGAGGGAGTCCCTCCTGTTCCAGCTGCTGCTGGGGTCTGGGCAAAGACTGATGAGGAGTCTGAGAGGAGACAGTGTTGGGGGTCATCCTACACGAGCCAATCCTGAAGGCAGACCTTGTCCAGGACAAGGCTTCTAGTTCCCAGTGAAGCTTTATTTCATCTGCTTAGCGTTTAGTGTTCTGTTTCTCTCTTGTTCCCACTCCCCTAGTTTGTCCCTTTGGAGCAACCAAGCACACAGTATTTGTGCAATTGCTTAGGGGAAATGGAGAGGAGTGAAGAGTGTTCTTTCTAGACTCTGGGGTGGAACTCCACTTCCTTCTCTTTTTCTTTTCTTTTCTTTTCTTTTTTTTTTTTTTTCTTTGAGATAGAGTCTTGCTCTGTCGCCGAGGCTGGAGTGCAGTGGTGCAATCTCGGCTCACCGCAACCTCCGCCTGCCGGGTTCAAGTGATTCTCCTGGCTCAGCCTCCTGAGTAGCTGGGACTACAGGCATGCGCCACCACGCCCGGCTAATTTTTGTATTTTTAGTAGAGACTGGGTTTCACCATATTGGCCAGGCTGGTCTCAAACTCCTGACCTCAAGTGATCCCCCCACCTCAGCCTCCCAAAGTGTTGGGATTACAGGCGTGAGCCACTGTGCCTGGCCCTCTTTTTCTTTCTTAGGAGGCTACCACTGGTGCACTCCTAGCTGGTATCGGCCCAGGGCAGGAGCCACTAGAGAAAAGAGGAAGTGAGGGAGAAGGCACCTCTCACAGTTTGCCTAGGAGGGAAGGGAGATGTAATCAATGCACTCATAATATTTTAACACAATTACTCCTCACCTAGGAGATGAGTTTATAGCATGATTTCTTGAGGCCTTTTTTATCTGTCAATATTTGAGCATTTTTAGTGACTCAAGTTCTAAATTTGGACCTTTTTAATGTCTAGTTTGTTAAAAGTGAAAAATATTGACTCTCAAAGTTCAGACATTAGATTAAGAAATAAAAATACATTTAGATAACCCCACTTCCTCTGATGTATACGAATAAGGATACTGTATGTCTGGATGAAGTAGCGATACGGCATACTGAAAAAGCCCAGAGGAAAGAGAGAGACCCTGTAAGTTACACGAAAGAGCCCCAGAACATCCTTGGGAAAGTCTGTCTTTTTTTTTTTTTTTGAGACGGAGTCTTGCTCTGTTGCCCAGGCTGGAGTGCGGTGGCAGGATCTCAGCTCACTGCAACCTCCGTCTCCCGGGTTCAAGTGATTCTCCTGCTTCAGCCTCCCAAATAGCTGGGACTACAGGTACGTGCCACCACGCTGGGCTAATTTTTTGTATTTTTAGTAGAGACAAGGTTTCACTGTGTTAGCCAGGATGGTCTCGATCTCCTGACCTCATGACCCGGTCACTTGGGTCTCCCAAAGTGCTGGGATTACAGGTGTGAGCCACTGCACTCGGCTGGGAAAGTCTTAATAGCAAGAGAAAATAAGTGGATGGTAATGAACTGGGATGATCAGAGTTGCAGAAATTGGGCTCAGAGAGTGTAGAGAGAAATGGAAGCTTATCTCGGGGAAACTAAATGCACCAGGAAGTCCATAAAAGCACAGTTCCAGAACTCACCTCTAAGCCAGAGGCACAGAAAGGGATTCTTGATTTAAATAGTGCCAATCTGAGCAGCATGAGAATCTATTGGTTATTTACCTCTAGTTCATCCAGTCACACCTCAAATTTGCTCCATGTGATGTCAAGCTTAGTCAAATTGACCAAATGCAGGGAAAAGGATGGCAGAAAAGAGGTGCTACCAGAAACAAAGAGAAGGGAAAGCTAGTAAGAATTTGACATCTCATTTTTGACAAGAAGTCATACTACTTTTGGAGACATGTACAATCTTTCCATTTCCATGAGTTCTTTCTCCAAGGCCTCTAGACATCATACTCTGATTATTATCATTAGACTCCTCAAAATCCGGTGTGTCTCTTCATGTCTATGGAATAAAGTGCAGACATCTCAGCCTGGCCCTTGCAAAAGTTCCTACTTACCTACATCCACGTATGTGTTAGACAAACTCAGAAACAGAGCAAACCTGTGCCTGTGCGTAGAAGGCACATGATGACTGTTGGACTCCATAGTGGATATTGCTGGTTGCTTATCCAGCACTCATCTAGTTTATTTGTTCCTTTCACCTATAAGAATGCTTGTTCAGCTACATGCTGAACAAAGGAATTGTTCCTTTAACCTTTAATTATTCTACATGCTCTTATCCTACATGCAGAAACGCATCTTGTCGGGGAAGGGTGGCCTTGATTGGTCTAAGAATAATCTAGAACCACTCATCAGTGATTGGTTCAGGCATGTCCTACAATTCAGCTCTGGCTGATGAAATGTGAGAAGTGCTTCTGCAAAAATTTCCTTGCTCTGGAAAGTCACAGGGAGAGGCCAAATCTGTCATTGGATGTTCCATGTTCGGCTGTGAATCCTGGAAGTAAGCCAACCCCAAGGATGGATGAGCAGAGAGATGGGAAGAGCTTGCATCCTTCATGGCATTTCCAGCTGCCGAAGCAACTAATTCACAAACCCAGCCTACCTCTGTAGATCCTATTAGCGAATGTCATCAAGTTCCTTGTTTTAAATCAGTTACGTCAGCACTTCAACAACTTTCAGCCAAAAGCATTTCACACAATTCCACGCCACTCTTACTTTCTGTTTTAGCCTGTTTCCAGCCTGGATCTTCACATTTCCGGCTCCCCAGCCAACACACCTATGCTTCTCTATAAATGCCTTGATATCTCCCTCCCTCTGACCAGCTATTGAAACCGTGACTATTAAAAACCTCGCTAGGGCTGGGCGTGGTGGCTCATGCATGTAATCCCAGCACTTTGGGAGGCTGAAGCAGGGGGACTGCTTGAGTTCAGGAGTTTGAGACCAGACTGAACAACATGGCGAAACCCTGTCTCTATAAAATTAAAAAACTAGCCAAGTGTGGTGGCACACACCTGTGATCCTAGCTACCAGGGAGGCTGAGGTGGGAGGATCACCAGAGCCTGGGAGGTCAAGGCTGCAGTGAGCCATGATCATGCCATTGCGCTTCAGCCTGGGCAACAGAGTGAGACCCTGTCTCAAAAAAAAAAAAAAAAGCCTCATTAAAATATCACTACCACTGATATGGTTTGGATGTTGTCCTCTCTGGATCTCCTGTTGAATTGCAATCCTCAATGTTGGAGGTGGGGCCTGGTGGGAGGTGTTTGGGTCATGGGGGTGGATCCCTCGTGGCTTGGTGCTATCCTGGCAATAGTCTGTAAGTTCTCAAATGATCTGGTTGTTTGAAAGTGTGTGGCACCTTCCCCACTTCTTTTTTTTTTTTTTTTTTTTTTTTTTTTTTTTTGAGATGGAGTTTTGCTCTTGTCATCCAGGCTGGAGTGCAATGGTGCAATCTCAGCTCACTGCAACCTCCACCTCCTGGGTTCCAGCAATTCTCCTGCCTCAGCCTCCTGAATAGCTGGGATTACTGGCATGCACCACCACATCCGGCTAATTTTGTATTTTTAATAGAGATGGGGTTTCTCCATGTTGATCAGGCTGGTCTCGAACTCCCAACCTCAGGTGATCTGCCCACCTCGGTCTCCCAAAGTGCTGGGATTACAGGTGTGAGCCACCGTGCCCAGCCCCTTCCCCACTTCTTGCTCCTGCTCTGGCCTTGCGAAATGCCTGCTCCTCCTTTACCTTCCACCATGAGCAAAAGCTCCCCAGGCCTCCCCAGAAGCCGAGAGGATGCTGGCGCCATGCTTCCTGTACAGCCTGCAGAACCACAAGCCAATTAAATCTCTTTTCTTCATTAATTACCCAGCCTCAGGTATTTATTTATAGCAACACAAGAACGGCCTAACACAACCACTAAGAATTTTTTCCTGATAACCTACTCTCAGCTGTCAGCTGCCAGAAAGTTCTCCCATCTTTGAATTCCACAAGCCCTTGACTTGTCTATCTCTTAGGCATTTTAAATATTCTAGTTTGCATCGGTTATTTGTGCGAATGTCGTCTCTCTTTTCTAACTGGAAAACATGGGTCATATCATATATATCTTTGTATTCACTCCCTCTTAGAAGAGAGCCCTGCGTTTAACACAAAGCACTAGAAATTTGTTGAAGGAAAGCAGATATTACCTGATGGATTTACTCCCCACCCTCTGAGAACTCACCCAAAAACTCACTGGTGTAATAATGAAAGTAAGAATACTAATTATGTAGTTGATTCTTAAAATGTCACCTCCACATGAGAAATGTACAAAAGTGAAATTTTAACAATACGGCCCCTCTGGTAGGTCTGATTGAATAAAATGTACTGATAACGATTGAATTACATTGTAAACAATAATATCGAGTGCCTGGTAAAACTCTTTGCATTTAAAATATAAGAGCAAATAATGTAGAGATCCTGGCCATGGCATTCACTGGAATAAAACAGTCAGATGCCCAAATTTCAGAAACAAATTCACAACAAAATGGGAACAAAAGATAGTGCTCTCAACTCATTTGATGAAATATTGGCTGATAGGATTTATAATACTGTGATAAACCTAATGAATTTGGGAATTGCCAACTTGGTATGAGATGAAGATTATATTTTACACTGTAAAGTGGCATTAGAATTATGACTCTTTACTCTCCAAAATCATGGGTTGTGACACTTGCATTCCTCTTTTATGGAGTCTTTTTAAAACAATGACTTTATTCACTAATCTCTCACTGATGTCTCACTGCAAGGATACAGCCAAAGTTGGAGAGACACTAACTTCATCATATTTTATTTTGACTTAAAAGATTTTTGTTTTGTTTGAGACTGAGTCTCTCTCTGTCGCCCAGGCTGGAGTGCAATGGTGCAATCTCGGCTCACTGGAACCTCTGCCTCCCAGGCTCAAGTGATTCTCCTGCCTCAGACTCCCGAGTAGCTGGGATTACAGGCATGTGCCACCGCACTCAACTAATTTTTGTATTTTTAGTAGAGATGAGGTGTCACCATGTTGCCCAGGCTGGCCTCGAACTCCTGACCTCAGGTGATCCACTTGCCTTGGCCTCCCAAAGTGCTGGGATTACAGGCATGAGCCGCTACACCCGGCCTTGACTTAAAAGATTTTACACTTGCAGAAAATCACAGAGGATAATATTACAGATACTCCAAATACCCAGAATCCTGATTCAACATCATAATATTTTGCCACAGTTGCGTTCAATTTTTTTAAACAAGATAAAACATTACAGATAAAATCAGTATATCTCCCTCATCCAGCTCCCTTTTCTTCCCTCCCAGAGGCAAGCACTATACGGAAGTTGACAGATTTCTTGTTCACGTTTCCCTACTTTTGCTACGTAAGATGAATCCATCAAGAATACATAGCATTGTTTTGAGTGGCGTCATACCATACAGTCTGAACTAGTCTACCTGGTTTCCCATTCCAGGTCTGTCACTTATTAGATGACCTGGGGCAAATTATATAACCTCTCTGCACTTCAGTGCTGTCATTTGTAAAATGGTGATAATCATACCTTACTTCACAGAGTTTTTGTGATGATTAAATGAGATAAAATGGAGATGCTGCTTAACACCATGCCTGGTGCATAGAAAGAACTATGTGTTTGCTCTGACGATGATGTTGGCGATAATGATAATTTCAATTTACACAGATGTCATCATAGCATAATATTCTTTTACAAGTTGCTCTTATGAGATTTATCTGTAGAGCTTCGGTAGATCTAATTCTTTTATTTAATTATCCTTGGTGCACTATTATTTCAATAAGCCAGGCTTTATACACTCCATTCTGCTATTGATTCCCTATGTTGTTTCTGAATTTTAGCTATTAAAAAAAAAAGACACATGAACACATATGTTTATTGCAGCACTATTTACAATAGCAAAAACTTGGAACCAACCCAAATGCCCATCAATGACAGACTGGATAAAGAAAATGTGGCACATGTACACCATGGAATACCATGCAGCCATAAAAAAGAATGAGTTCATGTCCTTTGGAGGGACATGGATGAAGCTGGAAACCATCATCCTCAGCAAACTAACACAAGAACAGAAAACCAAACACTGCACGTTCTCACTTATAAGTAGGAGTTGAACAATGAGAACGTGTGGACACAGGGAGGGCAACATCACACACCAGGGCCCGTCGGGGAGCAGCGGGCAAGGGGAGGGAGAGCATTAGGACAAATACCTAATGCATGTGGGGCTTAAAACCTAGATGATGGATTGATAGGTTCAGCAAACCACCATGGCACATGTATACTTATTAACAAACCTGCATGTTCTGCACATGTATCCCAGAACTTCAAGTAAAAGAAAAAAAGAAAAAAAGACCTGGAAAGTTTTCATCAGGCAAGAAAAAAAAACAAAAAAACCTTCAATGGCTATCTTTGTGCATGTTTTTATTGTTTTTACCCTCACACTTGAAAAATGATTTAGCTGGGTATAGAATTCTTGACTCCAAGTTATTTTCTTTCATAACTTTAAAGTGAACCTGATTCCTGTTTTTTGTAGGTTTATATGTTTCTTTCTTGAAGCTTTCAGGATTTTCTTTGAAATTTTGCCACAGCATATCTGGTAAGAGGTCATATTGAAAAAAAAAAAGTTATTTACCCTATTTATCATTCTATACATGCTTTCAGACTGAGAACTAATGTTTTCCTTCAAAATTGAGAAAAAAAATTCAATTATTTTCTGAAATATTGACTCTCCTTTAATCTTTTTATTCAGTTAATTTAGAAATTCTGTGAAAAGGATTTTGTTATTTCTGGATAAATTATTTATCCCAATATTTATTTCATATTTTGTATCTTTATCCCTTCCTGTGATATTCAGAATACATTTTTATTCAAGTTTAATACCCACTACTTTGTGATTTGGTTATGTTCATTATGATTTTCTTATGTTTTATTTTTAATTTAGGCAAAATTTATGTAGAATAAAATGTGTAGGCCGGGTGCAGTGGCTCACGCCTGTAATCCCAACACTTTGGGAGGCCGAGGCGGCGGGTGGATTGCCTGAGCTCAGGAGTTTGAGACAAGCCTGGGCAACACAGTGAAACAATGTCTCTACTAAAAATACAAAAAATTAGCAGGGCGTGGTGCCGTGTGCCTGTAATCCCAGCTACTTGGGAGGCTGAGACAGGAGAATCACTTCAACCTGAGAGGTGGAGGTTGCAGTGAGCCGAGATCACGCCACTGCACTCCAGCCTGTGTGACAGGGTGAAACTCTTGTCTTAGAAAAAAAAAAAAAAAGTACAACTATTAAGTGTAAATCCAATGACTTTTGACAGGTATAAACAACACCCCAATCAAAAGTTACATTTTCGGCCGGGCGCGGTGGCTCATGCCTGTAATCCCAGCACTTTGGGAGGCTGAGGTGGGCAGATCACTTGAGGTCAGGAGTTCAAGACTAGCCTGGCCAACTTGGCGAAACCCGTCTCTACTAAAAGTACAAAAATTAACCCGACATGGTGGCGGGCACCTGTAATCCCAGCTACTCGGGAGGCTGAGGCAGGAGAATCACTTGAACCCAGGAGGCGGAGGTTGCAGTGAGCTGCGCTAAGATCGGGTGACTTCATTCCAGCCGGGGTGACAGAGTCCTAGGGTCTGGCCCTGACTCTAGAACACGGGGCTTACTCATAAGGTGGGGCTTTTCTAGGGTCTCAATCTAATGTTTTATGTTTTTAGCAAGGGTTCTCCACTCTGGATGGGCCATAATCCCAATGCCTCCAAACTCTGCATGATCTCTAATATCTCTGTCCAGCTCTCAGCCTCCCAGCAGTAGGCTTCACAGAATCAGGCCCTGTACATGTGCTTCCCAGTTCTTGGCCCAGGATCTGAGGGCAGTCTCCACGAAGATTTCTTAGGGCCCAGCTCTGCAAAGCTCCCCGCCTTTCTGGTGCCATGCCTCCACCAATTCCAGCTGCTTCCAAAATACTTTTCAAATAATAGGTGATAATATTGGGCAGCTCCATCTTGTTTCTGATTTTAATAGGAATTCCTTTAGTATTTCAATTTGTTGGTTTCTGATGAATACTTTATCTTGTTTAGAAATTTCCTTCTATTCTTTTACTTAGAGATTTTACCACAAATACTTACCAAATTATATTAATTGCTCTTTTGTCATATTTGGTATAATCCTGTATTTTCTTCTTAATTTATTAATGGAATACATTATGTTGATAAACTTCCAAATGAACAGTGATTCTTCAATTCCTATAATAAATCCTTATTTTATATACCATTAGATATGGTTTAAAATTTTTCAGGTCCTTAACATTTACATTACTAAAACAGAATGATAATATAATATAAGGGCCTTTTTTTAAGAAAAGAAGGAAAAATATTTAAACTAAGCCTACAAAGACACGTTGATTAATCATTGTGAAAATAAGTTAATTCTGCCTTTGTCTACTTGTATCTCTGAGACCATTGCAATATTAACCCATTTATGCCAGAGGTTGCAAATTTTTTTGTGAAAAATCAGACCTTGGGGATGACCTTATGCAGCAGGATGTAAATAACTCCCACAAGCTTAGCGTTCCAATAATGTAGTACTAGGTTAAAGACTAAGTTGATACTGTGAAGAGTGCAAAGAACTTGGAATCCTAGCTATGCCACTTATGAACCAATGATCTTGTTTAAGTCACTTACTTTCTCTGAGATTCAGTTACCATCTCTCTGTAAAATGGGCGTGAACATCACTCATAACCTGCAAGGTAAATGCGAGCGTCAAACGTGGTGATGAGTGTTTTGTAAATGGTAGGTTACTGGCCAATGTTAGTGGCTATTCTTTATTACAAGTGGTCCCCAAGGACTACACAGCTGACATGGGACGTTCCCTGTTTAGAAATGGGCTGTGGGAAGATTCTCTTCTGATCCTTGTCACTCCTACCACTGGATTCACTTGTCCTGGCTGCTGGGGAGTGATCCCTGAGGGTCCCATTTTTGTTTGGAGAGCCGTGAAAGGGAAGAAGTAATCCACTCTCATTTCCAAGAAGAGAGGGAAAGAAAGGAAAAGGGAAGCAAAAAATTATCTGCTCCTGAGTGGGAAAGGAGGACAGAAATGTAAAGGAAAGTCACAGCTAGAGACAGAGACTGCAGCAAAGGCAGAGTTTATACCTTCCTAGGTATATTCTTGCTAGGAAGATGTTATTGTTTTTCCTAAAGAAACAATGGGAAATGTTATTAATACTCCAATTCAACTGCCTTAAAACTTGCAGAAATTTTCACAGGCAGGCCTGGAAATGAATGCATTTTGGATTAGAAAAAATTTACAGAAGATTTTGTAACAAAACTCACCTCTCTGTTTCTACCTAGATCCTTTAAATACATCTCACCAGCTAAGGTTTGAAATGCCTAGACCTATGACGGTAACACTTATTAAGGGTTCTATGTGGGAAGGGAGCTGAAGAATGGCCATCAAACCCCAGGAGACACAGCTGAGGAAAGCAGCTATCTCCTTTCAGAAAGCCATGCAAATGCTTCAGAATGGTCTTTGACGAGCAGTCACCAAAGCATCCAGTTGAGTGTTAGAGACTCAGGGCTGCTCAGATATTAGGCAATAAGAACAATGGAGAGTTCCAGGCAATTTCAGAGTTGAAAGTGTCTTAAAGAAAATCCAAGGAAGCTTATTCTTGGCTAGGTGGCCCAAGATTTATAGGTACCCAGACATAGTAATTCAACAAATGTACACATATTCCCCTCAGCCTGAGGCTCTGAGCAATACAACTACTAAGGATAATGTTAGGAATGAAGCACATTCACTTGGACTAATTTAACTTATGTTTCAGATAGTGGGTCAGCAAAGTTCCCAGAAAAGTTCAACTTTTCTTCTCATTTGTCTTTCATCTGAATTTAAATCCTTAGTTTCCCTAGGCGTTTCAGTATTCTGGGAGATCTGATTTCCCTAAAATAGAGGCAAAGAAAGACCCTCTGCATTTATAACAAGAGCAGAGCATGTTTAATGGTTCAGTTCGAAAACACTCAAGACAGCTATAGGAGAAGTTGGGGTGATAGGCAGCTATGTGTTGGCAGCATGATACACTTAGGACACGTTCTACTTTTTATTTGTAATGTTATATGTTTCATTGGTAGCCTGGTTTGTTGTTTTTCAGGAGAATCACTGCAAAGATAAACATATGCTTTAATGTTGCTATTCTTTTCGCGTTTACAATCCAGGGAATAGGCCTGTCTGCTTTTCCATTTGTCTCCCTTGGGAGACACAAAATTGATTTATGAAGTTGGATTCGCTTGGGTTGATGCAAAGAGGTCAGATACTATTCAAAAATAGTGATGGAAAAAGGATTTAAACAAGAAAACAAGATGGCAGGAGAAAAAAATAAGGGAGAAATGAAAATGCTGATTAATGTTAATGATGCCGCTTTAACTGAGACTTTCAAAGGCTGCAAAACACTGAGAAATCAAATTAATGACCTGGAAAATAAACTCAGATTAAGAAATATCAGGTTGGAGGATAGTCTTGATGGGGTGGAAGTAAGAGAAACAGTGACCTTTTTTCCCCCAACATACAATGTTGCAAAACTGTTTTGGATGAATAATTTTTAATTCCTTCCACAAGCCATATCTTCATTTCCCCACAACTTGATGCAGGAACAGCAATTCTTATTTTGTGTGTGGGATAAGAAATTCTTGCAGGGAAAAGGCAAATATAATATCTTAATTTCCTCTGGTTCTGATGGTTTTTTGTTTCTGTGGAGAAGCTGACCAAGCCACCCACTTTGATTGTTTTCTAGAATGTAGGGCTTCAAACAAAGTTATTAAGAGTCTAAAGATTGGCCGGGCACAGTGGCTCAGGCCTGTAATCCCAGCACTCTGGCAGGCCGAGGTGGGTGGATCACCTGAGGTCAGGTCATGGCGAAACCCTGTCTCTACTAAAAACACAAAAATTAGCTGGGTGTGGTGGCACACACCTGTAATCCCAGCTACTCAGGAGGCTGAGGCAGGAGAATCGCTTGAACCCGGGAGACAGAGGTTGCAGTGAGTTGAGATTGTGCCATTGCCCTCCAGTCTCAGCAACAGAGCAAGACTTCATCTCAAAAAAGAAAAAAAAAAAGAAAAGAAAAAGAATCTAAAGATTATGAGACAAATACTCATCTGGTTGGCTGCAATTATCATATTTAAAACATAAAGTCCCTTGGACTGTTAATAAGTATTTTTCTAGACTGTGCTGAATCAAAGTAATTTTTGAATAGTAAAGAGGAAAGTGTTTGAGAAAGGAAGTGAGACTAAAAAACATTTTCTTTCTCCCTGATCCTACCTGGAAATTTCCAGGATCTGTTCTGTAGTCACAGCCAGTGGTCTACCCTAATAATAGATAACAGCAATTGAGCATTTACCCTATGCCAGACACTGTTCTAAGTATAAATTCAGTTAGTCTTCAATATAATTGAAAGAGGTAGATATTATTATTGCCTCCATTTTAAAGAGGAGAAAAGTGTGCTGCAGCAGGGTTAAGTCATTGCCCGAGGTCACAGAGCTATTACAAGAGAGGCAGGATTCATATCCGAGCTATTCTGGCTCCAGAATCCACACTTTCAACCACAATACTGTGGTTCTGTGTTATATAAAGACACTGAGATTTAAAAAAGAATCTATTTCTGGCCATTTTTGAAAAAATATATTTATTGAACCCAAGAATAGTTATTTTAGCAATAGGAAGTCTCTTTTTTGTTACCCATTCATTTCATAAAATGAGTTTAAACACAAAACAGGCCAGAGTCTTTACACTGCCAAAAAAAAAAACAGTACAATAAGGTGTGGAGAGAGAGGGAGAAGCCCATGTTTAGGAAGGACTTTGTATTACCTCCCTGGCTTGAATAGAACTGACTCTGATATATTCCTTTTTAAAAAATATAAAGAGTTCGAGACCAGCCTGACCAACATGGAGAAACCCCATCTCTATTAAAAATACAAAATTAGCTGGGAGTGGTGGCACATGCCTGTAATCCTAGCTACTCGGGAGGCTGAGGCAGGAGAATCGCTTGAACCCGGGAGGTGAAGGTTACAGTGAGTTGAGATCACACCATTGCACTCCAGCCTGAGCAACAAGAGTGAAATTCTGTCTCAAAATAATAATAATTATAATAATTGTATATATATACACAAAATGAAAATAACTGACTTTAAAAATCAATGTTAATGCATTTCTTTTGACATAATGGCTGGTTTAAATTACTCAGGAATAGTGATTAATGCAACAAATGTTTTAACTAAGAGCATGGAAGAAAGGATATCTTCTGAACCATGTAAGTCAGAAGATGTGAGAAGCTCCTGAGTTACCAGGGACAGTAACATTCTTAGAAGAGAAGAATGGCTGGCGAATCCACCCATCAGAGCAACAGGAAGTGCGGTATCTCTTGACACGATGGGCATCTCAGCACCACAGGGTTAGAAACAGAATGTGTCTCTGCCACCCAAAGAATAATTAAAGCAGCCTCTCAAAATGGTGAAAGTGGCTATAAACCAGCCAATGTTCCTTGAAGAGTGGAGGGTGCAGTGTTCAGCAAAATAGGGCAAAGTAGAAGGGATTAGCCCCCAAAATATAGCAGAGTATTGTACAGAATCAGGAACTCAGAAAAGAGACAAAAGGACAGCCACTTCTTGTCCCAGCTACTTTTTCACCTAACACTTTTTTCTTCCTGCTTCTTAAGGTACAATGTTGGCCACAAAAGTGGAAGAAATAGTGGCTCACGCCTGTAATCCCAACACTTTGGGAGGCCAAGGTGGGTGGATCACCTGAGGTCAGGAGTTCAAGACCAGCCTGATGAACATGGTAAAACCCCATCTCCACTAAAAATACACAATTAGCTGGGTGTGGTGGCAGGAGCCTGTAATCCCACCTACTTGGGAGTCTAAGGCAGGAGAATCACTTGAATCTGCGAGGCAGAGGTTGCAGTGAGCAGAGAGTGTGCCATTGCACTCCTGCCTGAGCGACAAGAGTGAAACTCTGTCTCAAAAAAAAAAAAAAAAAAAGATGGAAAAAAGCGTCCATGTGATTTGAGAGCTCTGGTGAGGGGAAAGTCACCTCAAGTAACAGGCATAAGAATTCAGAAAAATAAAAATAAAAAACCATGGCATTCCATAAGAACAGTAATAGCTGTACATCTCGGACGTCATCGCTTAGAGTCAAAAGAAGACGTTAGTTTAGACTTATACTTCCCACACTGATATTAAGCAAAATTAATTTTTTATAGTTTTTTAATAATTTTCTGGCTGTGTGAAAGAAAATTCCTCAAAATTTTGCATGAGGAGAGGTGGTTAAAATAACTTCAGGAGTTACCTCTTTTGCAAGGAGACAGTGCCCTTGCAATTTTATTAATTATTTATTATAATATGAGTTAAAACCACGTTTGATGAAAAATGCAGCCATAACAGTGATTATTCCGGTAGATAAAGAAACCAGATTTTGTGCTTGGAGACACAGGCAAAGTAGGTATAAAAATCTCCTGGCAGATATTTCTGTTTGTGAAATGCGGACAACACTTCTACAGATTTGCAGTAGTGGCGGTTAATGAGATGGAGGCGTTTACCATTCATTCTGCACCTACACGATGCCAGGCTTGACAGCCTGTGAGTAGATTTCAGACCCATAGGTGCTGCCGTGTGCAAGGCGTTACTCTCAGTTGTGATTTTTAAAATTATGGATTTATGTTGAGCAGTTTTTATTGCAGACTGCACATGAAGCCTCCTAGAGGCATTTTACTTCATGCTTTATGTTGTGGTAGAAATTACCGTCAACATTATGCAAATCCAAAGAACGATGGAGGTTTGGTTAGGATTCATGTGAGACATGAGATTTCACATTTCTAATTTGGTCAATGAAATACGAATTTACAACTGGGTTGAAGAATTTTAATTCTACTAAAGATTGATATTCTTGTACGGTATATTCTGTATATATTTTCCAAAGCCACACACCTTATCACTTTATCATGAAATTAATCAGGGGTCATCAGAGAAACAGACCAATGGGGCATACACAGAGAGAGAAAGAGAGAGAGAGAAGAGAGAAGATTTATTATGAGGAGTTGGCTCACATGATTATGGAAGGTAAAAAGTCCCATGGCTTGTGGTTTGCAAACTGGAGACCAAGGGAAGCAGTGGTGTAATTCCGGTCCAAGTCTAAAGACCTGGGAACCAGTGGAACCTAATGTGTGAACCGTAGTCCAAGGGCAAGAGAAGGCCGATCTCCCAGCTCAGGCAGACAGCAAGTAAGAAGGGAATGAATCCAACCTTCCTGCACTTGTTGTTCTTTTTTTTTCTTTTCTTTTCTTTTTTTTTTTTGAGACAGTCTTGCTGTGCTGCCCAGGCTGGAGTACAGCGGCGAGATCTCAGCTCACTAAAATCTCCACCTCCTGGGTTCAAGCAATTCTCCTGCCTCAGCCTCCTGAGTGGCTGGGATTACAGGCGTGTGCCACCACGCCTGACTAATTTTTGTATTTTTAGTAGTGAAGGGGTTTCACCATGTTGGCCAGGCTGGTCTCAAACTCCTGACCTCAAGTGACCCGCCCACCTTGACCTCCTAAAGTGCTGGGATTACAGGCATGAGCCACCACACCCAGCTGACCTCCACTTGTTCTCTTCAAGCCTTCAATGGGTTGGATGATGCCAGCCCACACAGGGGAGGGCCATCTACTTTCCTGAGTCTGCTGATTCAAATGCTGACCACCTCAGTAAATATCCTCACAGAGACACCCAGAAATAATATTTAATGTGGGCACTCCATGGTCAAGTCAACACATAAAATTAACCATCACAACACCCCTTCATTAAAAGTTAGAAGAACAGAAATCTTTATAAATATCTCATAAAGAGCCAAGTACCTTGACCGATTCCACAGGTAGTGAGAGGTGGAAGCCAAGTTACAGACCCAAAGAACTCTGATCTCAAAGCCACTGCTGTTTGCACAATATCACAATTTAAAGGTTAGCTAATTTAATGTTTTGCCTTTTTTACTTGATATTGTCCCAAAGCACACTAGATGCTGAACTTTCTTCAGGGGATGTATACTATTTTATCAAATACCTCAGCCAACAGTGTTTTTAAACATTAAAAAATACATATCTTGGCCGGGCGCAGTGGCTCACGCCTGTAATCCCAGCAGTTTGGGAGGCCGATGCGGGCGGATCATGAGGTCAAGAGATCGAGACCATCCTGGCCAACATGGTGAAACCCCATTTCTACTAAAAATACAAAAATTAGCTGGGCGTGGTGGTGTGCGCCTGTAATCCCAGCTATTAGGGAGGCTGAGATGGGAGAATTGCTTGAACCTGGGAGGCGGAGGTTGCAGTGAGCTGAGATCGCGCCATTGCACTCCAGCCTGATGACAGAGAGAGACTTGGTCTCAAAAGAAAACAAACAAACAACAACAAAAAAAACCCTATATCTTGTGGAATGTCAGTGTTGAGGGTGAAGATCAGGGATGCTGGGATGTTTGTCCTGTGGCTTCTGGACTTTGTTGGAAGCACAGATTGCTGCTCTGCCCCCGGCTTTCCTCGAGCCTGGTTGGGGTTTTGCATAGTTAATGGGAGGGGGGGATGACCACTGCTTTCTTTAGTTCTAGAGAGTCAGAGAACAGTTTAGTTACATTTTAATTGGAAGGGAGATAGAATTCCTGGGAGGAATACTTAAGTAACAAGATAAGAGAAAGAGATGGAAATTTATTTCCCGGAGATCACTGAGGAAAGAAAGAATAATATCGAATCCAGCCAGCATGTTTCAAATGTGTCTTTGCACTAAGATGGGTATACGTGGTGTATACTGGCTGTTTCTAAGCTTTAGATCTGTAGGGAATGAAAAAAAGTGAAATGACCTCTCTTCCCCCACAAAAGAGTAATTCAACATAATATGCTTCAAAGCAGGGTTGAATAATACTAGCACCCAGGCTATTCTGAGACACAGATTTTATAATTACAGGATTGGAAATCTTCAGTTTTTCCCTAAATGTCCACTCCACCTCCTCTGAGACCTTCCTTTACTGGTGCTCTGTTCTTTCCCAGGAAGCAGATCGGCTGTTTTATTTTTCAAATGCTGTGTTTTCTGTACTCCCTAATTTCTTTCTAGGAATCCATTCCACACCCCAGCAAAGATACAAATGTTCCTTGTCATGCACACGCCTCACATATAGATTTATGCCACAGTCACTGAAACATCAGATTCACTGAACAGTTTTTAAATTAATTTCAAATTCAGTCTCAACCTCTCTGGCAAAGCGAGACCTGCAACATGGATCATGTGTCTTGAGTAACCCCCACCTCCCTGCCCAGCAATAAGATCTATTTTCACTGCAGAAGCACATGCATTGCCCCATGCTGACAGTCACTTGTTTTAGCATTGGCTAATCACCAATATGTTCTGTTAAGTGAGATTCATAGATGCTGATTGCATTTATTGCATAAATTACTTCATTATTAAAATCAGGTCATTTGAGCCCCCAAACCATTAACATGAAGACTATTAACATAATTTCATAAGCTAATAAATCAAGCACAGGAAAAGAATTAAAGGGTTCTTAGTGATAAGTGTTTCTTCAGAGATTAAGGAACACAATTTTCTTATGCATATATTAACATTTTATGAGTGGATTCATGCAAGAGCAGTTTTTTCTCTCTGCATACATGACTCACTTCATCTTCTCCACACTTGGCCTCTGAAGCTGGTTTTCAAAATTAAGAGTTTTTTTTCCCTTTCAAATAACTGTAATGCAATTTTTGATTGAACTCATTAGCTTTCTGTGATATGCACTACCTATGAAATTCCTATCATTTCGCATTTCTTAGGCTGCAAAAGCTTTAGGGTGAGGAGAGGAGGGAAGGTAAAGTTGGAAGAAAGAATACCTTAGATTTGTTTTAGATAGTGCAATTTTCATTCTAGGTGAATTTCAAATGTATTCCTACTCTTAAGAGGTTCTGGTGAAGTTCTAATTATCTCTCTAATTACAACACATACTGAGGTTAAGTGTTCTTATCAAATGGTGCATTAAAAATGGGTTTTATTCCCAGGCTAGATGTAATAGGCTGTGATACTGGCCTGAACACACAGAAATTGGTTCCCTCGTTCATTTCACTTACCAGATTGTGAAAGATTCTGGAGGTCGGAGCCATCATTATCCAGTGCAATGATGTTGCCTAGAAACGACGATAAGTTCCAATGTAAATTAGACTATAACAACTTTATCCTTTGTGCAATTTGTGTAATGTTTTAGCAAATAGCAAATGATGAATCATAATTGAAATACGCAGAATACCGTTAGCAGGCATCGTGTTTGATTTTATAGGTGAATTTGGGCGACAGGTGGAGCCGATGGTTCTTTCTAGGAACAAGTGTAGTGACCAAATCAAACTTTGACATTTTCTAGTGACTACGAATAGTCCCCTGAATAAAGTTCAAACTTCCCTGGACTCTCCATGTGTGCCTATTTAAAACCCTTCAACAGCTTCTTATTGCTCTTAGAATTCAAAACAAAACAAAACGAAGTTTCTCAACACAGCTTCCTACCCCTGCAATGGTATAGCCTGTCCTTCGTGGTCCAGCTTCATCTCACAGCTTTGTTCACTATGCTGTTTGCTTTCAGTTCTTTGTTAGTGCCAGTTTCCTTCCCATCGCAGGGCTTTCACATGGGCTTCTTCTCGGATTCTTTTATATATATATATAAAACTCTTTAAGTTCTGGGATACATGTGCAGAACATGCAGGTTTGTTACATAGGTATATACGTGCCATGGTGGTTTGCTGCATGCATCAACCCGTCATCTACATTAGGCGTTTCTCCTAATGTTATCCCTCCCCTATCCCCCTACAACCCGGCAGGCCCCAGTGTGTGATGTTCCCCTCCCTGTGTCCATGTGTTCTATTGTTCAACTCCCACTTATGAGTGAGAACATGCGGTGTTTGGTTTTCTGTTCCTGTGTTAGTTTGCTGAGAATGATGGTTTCCAGCTTCAACCATGTCCCTACAAAGGACATGAACTCATTCTTTTTTATGGCTGCATAGTATTCCATGGTGTATATGTGCCACATTTTCTTTATCCAGTCTATCATTCCTTCTCGGATTCTAATGCTCTTCTCCGCGCTTTGAACCCATTAGCTTCCATTTAGTCTCCAGATCTCAGCTCAAGAGCCACTTCCTCAAGGAAGCTTTCCTTGATCTCTTTGATTAGGTCAAATCTTTCTTGGCTGTGATAATACCACTTATGTATCTGCCACAGTTGGAACTGCAAATTTTTTAGTGTGGTTATTTTAAAAATTATTAACAAGTTTACAAGGTGAAAAAATCAAAATGAAATAGAAAAATATGCTAAGCCATCTAGCTCTGAATTCTTTTACTCCATTACTTCTCCATTTGGAGGTAAACATTATTAGTTTCTTATTTACCTTTCCGGTATTTCTTATTTTGCAAGGACAAATGCAAATATTTATATTCTTGTTTTCCCCTTTTAAACACAAAAGATAACATACATAATGCATATTCCACATCAGGCTCTTTTCCCTTTACAATATACTCTGGAGCCTGTTCTATGTCAAAACATAGAGAACCTCCTCCTTCCTTTTTACAGTGGCATTGTATTCTACCGTGTAACTGTTCTATTGCATGGAACCCATTCCTTAAGTTGGCTGTTTGGTTGTTTTCAATCTTTTGCTATTAGAAATACTGCTGTGATAATGGCCACACGTAAGCATTATTTCATGCATGTGCAGATTATATGTAGAGTAAATAATGTGCAGGATTGGTTTGCTGGGTGAAAGGATAAATACACCAGTAATTTTGGTAGGTATTGCTGTTATGTGTCAATTTTCTTCCCAGAAACCTCTGTGGCCAGTAGCATCTTTGCCTGAGTTCTTGTCCTGCATCCAGGAAGAATGAGGTATGCAGACAAGTGAAGGGTGAACAAGATGAAGAGGAGCTTCATCTAGTGTTAGAGCAGCTCAGAGGAGACCGACAGTGGGTAGCTCAGGTAGCTCCTCTTTGTAGGCAGGTCGTCTTGTGGAGTGTTCAGTTCTCAGCAGAGAGAAGGCCCTGGAGAGGGTGGTTTCTCTCCAAAGGCAGGTCGTTGAGACATCTCTGCAGGTCTCTGACGCTTTCAGCAGAAAGGGTAACTCCTCTCTGCAGCTAGTCATCCTTTCCCCTCTCCACCCTCTGCCCTCCGGCTGCTTCTTCGGCTGAGCCCAGCAGTTTTTATGGACCTCAGAGTGGAGGAAGTGTGTGCTGGCTGATTGGTCCGTGGGCAGGCCTGGAGGAGGCACCAAAAGTCCCCACCCTTTTGGCGGGACTGGCAGCCCAGCCCCCAGCCTTACCAGGGACCTGCCCCCTTTCGCCCAGGAATCAATCGGCCTCATGCTGCCATTCATGGCTCTGGAGCTTGGCCTCAACCCTCTCCCAGATTGGAGCAGGTGCTGGGAGGGGAGAGAAGCCAAGCAGCCGGAGGAGACACCCACAAGCCTGCAAGGAATGGGGGGCCCTTCCCGGGCCCCTGAGTGTGCAGGCTGCAGAGATACCCCGGTCCTGTACCTGGGAGAGCGGCAGCAGCTACACCGGAGGAGCTCCCGCCCTAACTGGGAAGGGGCGGAGCTCCCGCTTGTCCCTGGCTCCTGCCTGCTCCGTGGAGTAAGAGGCCCAGGTCTGCAGCCATGGGTCGGGCAGCTGCAGCTGCACCCAGGAGGGCAGATCCTACCTGCTCCCTGACCCCCCGAAGAGCACAGGGAGGCTCAGATCCACAGCCTTAGAGCAGGAGGCCTGGGTCTGCAGCCGGGTTGGGTGGGCTGCAGTGGCACCCGGGGTGCTCCTGCCCCAACTCGAAAGGGGTGGGGCTCCCACCGGCTCCATGGAGTGTGCAGCCCCAGCCGTGCCTTTCTGCTGCAGCTGGCTGATGATAGCGGCTGCTGCCATCCTTGCATATTACCCGTCCTGTGGCCTATATCATTTTACATTTGCATCAACAAAATAACGTCCATTTCTCCACAGCCTCACCAGTAATGTCTCACTTTTAGTTGGGAGTTAAGAGATGGTAATGTTGTTTCAATGTGCATCTTTCTGATTTTGAGTAACGTTGAATATCTTTTCATGTGATTAAGGACCATTTTTTTTCCTGAGTGAACTCTGTTCACGTTCCTTGCCCATTTTCCATGGGATGCCTAATCTTCCTGTTATCTATATGCATTTTATTAGGGAGATTAGCCATATTTATCTGTGATATATGTTGCAAGTATTTCCCTAAATTTGTTATTTGTCTTCTGACTTTCCACACGGTGTTCTTAGATACTGTTAAGACACTAGTATCAGAGAAGGCAGGTCCCGCATCTCTTTTGCTGCCATTATGTCCCCAAAGCCATTATGTTTCTCCATCTACAAAAAAAGAAAAAGTGACACTTGTTACTGTTGGTGTCTAAAGCCCTCTTCAACTCTGAAAATCTATGCTGCTGCTTCCCATTCTTATGTTTGGTTTACTCAGGTTTTCTGCCTTCCCCTCCCTCTGTCGCTGAGCTTGGGCATGGGGGTGGTGCTTACACATGGGGCTATGTGGTGGCTAGCCCCCACATAGTGTTACATGAGAAGTGCCTGGAAGGGCTCTCTCCCCTGAGTACCCCACCTCATTGTCATTCGGCATGTCACCATTAGGAATGCGTTCTCTTTTCTCCACCCGCACTGCCTTTATTTAGGTCTTCTCTGCCTCTTGTCTGGATTTGGGCCAGTCTCCAAGTTTGTCTTCATGGGTCCTATGTATTCAACCCCCAGATGACATTTCTTATAGACTAGCCCTGCTCAGGATATTTTTCCCATCTCTTCCTTGTATTGCCTATTGCTTTTATTACTAAAGTGCTAGGGCCCTCCATGATAAGTCTCAAACTATACCTTCAAGGGGGTGTCCCATTACCCTCCTGGATAGCCTCTGCCCCATCACACAGACTACTCACCATCATCCACCTCTATGCTCAGCTGGTTCTTCTGCCATGCCCATCTTCTATCCAGGTGTATTAGATCATTTTCATGCTGCTGATAAAGACGTACCTGAGACGGGGAAGAAGAAGAGGTTTAATGGACTTGTAGTTCCACGTGACTGGGGAGGCCTCACAATCATGGCGGAAGGCAAGGAGGAGCAGGTCACATCTTACATGGATGGTGGCAGGCAAAGAGAGAGCTTGTGCAGGAAAACTCCCCCTTACATAACCATCAGATCTCGTTAAACTTATTTACTATCACGAGAACAGCACAGGAAAGACCTGCTTCCATAATTCAATCACCTCCCACTGGGGTTCCTCCCACAACACATGGGAAATATGGGAGTTACAATTCAAGATGAGATTTGGGTGGGGCACAGCCAAACTATATCACCAGGCCCAATTCTACCTGAAAAATATTGCCCATTTCTCACCATCTTCCTCCCAAACTGGAGTAAGACTCTGCTTTCCAAGGGCCCTTAATAGTTTGAATAAAAGATCATATTGTGTATTTTTTTCTTGGAAGATGCATGGCTCCCTATCTACCAGAGTAGAGTCTCTTTGAGGGAAAAAAAATGTATTCTTTATAATCCTTATAAAGTTCGGCAAGAATTCATCCCTAAGGCATTTATTGACTAGAATCAAAGTGACGCTCACTCCTGGGAAATTGAATTTTAATTTAATTTGCACAGTGCTCCTGGGATGAGTAGCAAGTTAAGTCTTAAGTAGATAGGATTTAATTAGTTTAGTGATTCATTTTTTTCTTACATGAGTGTACACTCCTGTGTAGGTGTGAAAACATTAGTGTACACCTCTGTGTAGGGGCGTGTGTGTAAACAAATGTGCATGCACCATCACATTCTGGTAGAAGGGGAATAATGTCAAAAAAAAAAAAAGGGGAAAATGTGTAGCAGTTACCACAAAGGCACTGAAGGAGCATATTTACTTTATGGTTTCACCAAAGACTAATTCTGCTCATTCTTGAAACAGCCTACCCCATTATTCTATCAAATTATATGTTTTCTGTCTGTTTACTTTTGGATAAAATTTATCCATGAAAACTTTTTTAGTTAACCCATAACCCCCAACTACCTTATATCACCCTGATAGGTTAACACAGCTCTGCACAGATGTGTTAAGACATGAATGAAGCAGTTCAATGTGATTTATCTCCTATTCAGATTGTCCTTCCTGGGATAGTACTTCCTAATTTAATGTTGAAGTCTTTCTATAAAAATTGTTCATAAATATTTGAAAGTGAAAGAATTCTCCAGATATTTGATCTGGGACAGTTCCCAGTGATCTTACACAACACTCTCATTTAGCTCTGCCCATGACTACCTGGAATAAAGGTTACGTTTTTCAAGCTTCCCTTGCAGCTAGGAATGTCCATGTGACTAAGTTCTGGTCAATGAAATGTAAACAGAAGTGTCACGTATAAGTTCCAAAAATGGTCTTTAAAGCATGAGGGCAATGTGTTTCGGACCCTTTTTTTTTTTTTTTTTCCCCATTGAGAGGGAATTGAGAGGGATGTTGACATAATAGATGAAGCTCCAGCAGCCATCTTAGCCCATGAGGTAAAAATCTGGCACTAAAAATGGCAATACCAGCAAGATAGAATGGGCCTGAGTTGATGATGACTTTCTGAACATGCCTACTGGACTACCTACCTCCAGTTTTCTTTTGCAGGAAAGAGAAACAAGACTTCTATCTTATTTAGTCCTTTGTTTATGGTTTCTTTATTCACAGCTTAACTAAATCCTGATTGAATATAGCCATAGAGAGGGCAGGGCTTGAAGAACGGCAGAGAGCCCTCAAATGAGACCCTAAATGATGCTCTGTCTGGAATTTTAAAAAATCCTTAAAAAGAAGAGGAAGAAGATCAAAATGATGTGCTACAGGGTATGTTCCCTGCTCCTTGGTGAGAGCAGGAATGTCAATTGCATTATGTGCTGGAAACGTCACAGTCAGCATTGATGGGCCTCTCAGGCCAGTGTCCATAAGACACTGGATGGACAGGAAGTACCAGAGGACGACAGCATGAGCAAGGAAGCCACGGAGCGTTAAAGAGGCTGGACTGTAATGAATGCTGGCTGTCGCTAGCTGGGCTTAAAACATGCGAGACATGGGATTTGGTGGCATGGTGTCTTCATTTCTCAACCATGGAATTAATTTTCATTTATGGTAATGAGCATATTAAAATAACTTGGTAGTAATTCCATCCCTTCTTATTTAAGCTATTCCCAGTCTGGCATCATTCCACAAAGCAAACTACTTGAGGAAGTTCTTGCCAGGAATGCAGTGACAAGGGCATTACACAATGGTAGAGAAACCAAGGTCCAGAAAGGAAAGGGATTTGCCTTAAACCGCCCAGCTAGTTAGTTACTCTCAGGGCTGGGTTTGAACTCTGGTTTCTTGAGGCTTCTGGGCCAGCCTGTCTTTCCCCAGAATCCCCTTTTATCTGCCCGTACAATCCACTGTCAATCAGGAAAATTGGTTGTGCTCTGGAAAACTGGGCTGAACTGAAATGAAATATTCATCTTTACCATAAGATCAAGAGTAATCAAACTCAGAGCTTTCATATCAAGAGAAAAATCCGAGAAAAATTTAGCTTTCAAAATGTTTGCAAAAACAATTATTTCAAGTTGTGTCTTTCTGACTGTAAAAAACAAGGTTTTGCATGAGATAATTTGTTGATAAAGCATTTGTGTGCAGAGAAGTGCGGTGCCCACGCAAGAAAACACTCTAGTGTCTTTTTTATGGGGTTCGAAATCTCCAAGTACCAAGAGTGGATGGGTGGACCAATTACAATGCCAGTTATAAAATGGATAATAAAATGAAAAAATAAGTTTGATTAACATTTTCTTTGGTACTAGATGAGTTTCCCAGAGTTTCCCAAAGCACAGAGCTCTGCAAACAATAGTATTGTTATTATTTATTATTTATTTATTTATTTTTGAGATAGATTCTCACTCTGTCACCCAGGCTGGAGTGCAATGGCATGATCTCGACTTGCTGCAACTTCCACCTCCCAGATTCAAGCAATTCTCCTGCCTCAGCCTCCCAAGTAGTTGGAATTACAGGCACACACCACACTACTCCTAGCTAATTTTTTGTATGTTTAGTAGAGACGGGGTTTCGCCATGTTGGCCAGGCTGGTCTCGAACTCCTGAGCTCAGATGATCCACCTGCCTCAGCCTCCCAAAGTGCTGGGATTACAGGCATGAGCCACCACGCCGAGACAGTATTGCTTTTTCTTTTTTTTTTTTTTTGAGACAGAGTCTCCCCCTGTAGCCCAGGCTGGAGTACAGTGGCGCCATCTTGGCTCACTGTAAGCTCCATCTCCTGCGTTCAAGCGATTCTCCTGCCTCAGCCTCCCAGGTAGGTGGGACTACAGGCACCCACCACCATACCCGGCTAATTTTTGTATTTTTAGTAGAGACGGGAGTTTCACCATATTGGCTAGGCTGGTCTCGAACTCCTGACTTTGTGATCCGCCTGCCTCTGCCTCCCAAAGTTCTGGGATTATGGGCGTGAGCCACCGCGCCCAGCCCAGTATTGCTATTTTTAAAAAGCCCTCAATACGCTATTTCTTTCTATTAAATCTTTCAGTATGTTCCTTACTCGTTACAAATTTCTAACATCTGTATTTGTATAAAAGTGCCGAATGTAAGCTGGAGATAATGATAAATCCTTACATAATGGGAGATGTGCCTTTTCACAGGCTCTCTTCCCCCACTGTTTTGTGCAAATCACCTATCTTGGAATCTCAAGTTTTTTAACATTGAAAGAAACCTCTTACTTCAATATATAAATAATCCAATCCCCTCACTTACAAATGAGAAAAAATGAGGTCCCAAGAGAAGAAAGATTGTGCCTAAGGTCACAAAGCTAATAAGTATCTCTTCACTTCCCTTCATGTCTTAATAGTTATCTCTTCAGTTCCCTTCGTGTCTTTGCAGAACAGATCAAAAAGATTTTTCTTCCCCTCTGTTTTCTCACCCACCAAGCAGTCCAGACGAGGTCCCAAGCTTGGAGAGATAAATATGGTACAATAAAGTACTACCATATACAATGTATCAAAGAACTTCTTTTTTTTTTTACTCTGAAGGAACAAAGTGTGTCATAAACATTCATTCTGAGCAGTTTTGTTGTCCACTTTTTATGTATGGGCTGAACTGCCTGTTCTTTGCCCCAAGATGTGTATGTGAAAATGTCACATGTTCACAGTTTATTGGTAGCATTTCAGAGTAGAAGTGGGCCTTGCTAACACAACCAAGCTTCTGTGCACCCTGGGGTGGATGCAGCTGCTGTTCCCAGGTGTCAATGAAGCCCAAAGCAATTGGAGACATTGGTCTAAGGCTGGAAGAAGGTTTCTGAGAGGAGCCAACATCCTAATTTGAGGTCTGCTGAATATCTGTGCTGGCTGTTGCTCTGAGCACACTGCTGCATGCCTGCAGGCCCCTGATAAACTCAGTATTAGTTCCAACATCTCTTACAGATACCACACAGGACAACCCCAAAAGGGCAGTAAATACTTACCACACACACACAAAAAAAGCCACGGTTCTAAGAAAAAGAGACTGAGATTATAGCTACCGTGCTACCTCTAACTGGGTAATATTTCCCCCATCCACCTGTATTTTCATTTTCTTTTCCTTTTTCTTTTCTTTTCTTTCTTTCTTTCTTTCTTTTTTTTTTTTTTTTTCTGTGACAGAGTCTCACTTTGCTGCCCAGGCTAGAGGGCAGTGGCACGATCTCAGCTCACTGCAAGCTTTGCCTCCTGGGTTCACGCCATTCTCCTCCCTCAGCCTCCCAAGTAGCTGGGACTACAGGTGTCCGCCACCACGCCCGGCTAATTTTTTTGTATTTTTAGTAGAGACAGGGTTTCACCGTGTTAGCCAGGATGGACTCGATCTGCTGACCTCGTGATCCGCCCATCTCGGCCTCCCAAAGTGCTGGGATTACAGGCGTGAGCCACCGAGCCTGGCCCTCTTTTTTTTTTTTTTTGAGACGGAGTTTTGCCCTTGTTGCCCAGGCTGGTGTGCAATGGTGCGATCTCAGCTCAGGGCAACCTCTGCCTTCCAGGTTCAAGAGATTCTCCTGCCTCAGCCTCCCAAGTAGCTGGGATTACAGGCACGTGTCACCACACCTGGCTAATTTTGTATTTTTAGTAGAGACGGGGTTTCACCGTGTTGGTCAGGCTGGTCTCGAATTCCTGACCTCAGGTGATTCACCCACCTCAACCTCCCAAAATGCTGGGATTACAGGCGTGAGTCACTGTGCCCGGTCCCACCTGTATTTTCAAAATAATATTTGGCCAAATTTTTATTCCTTGAATGGAGTTATCAGGAAAAAGTAAAACAATTAATGAAATAGCATGCTTTGTGGGGAGGGAGAAAGATAATCACATGTTAATTTAACTAGGAGGTGATAAAATCCACATCTTCTATGCATAATTTATCTGACCTACTACCGACAGCATAACTAGTATATAAAATATCAAAGCTTTATTTGATGCTTTCCTGGGAATTCACTATTTTACCTTCGTTGAAACTGATTAGAATATAGTACCTTTTACTGTCCTTTTAGAACATTTAGAATGAGAAGTGAGCTTGCTTTCCTAGTTTCAATTCAGAAAACTACAAGAAGTGTTTATGTAGCAGCAGCTCAGTATACATGACCCTGTGCTTAGAGATATTGGGATTAAAGCTTGGACTTCCATGATTCTTGGAGTCCATTTTAGGCATCATGTAATTCATACAAATGCCCTGTGGAGCACCTACTCGGGACCAGGTAAAGCAGGCTATTTTTACATTAGTATTTTGAGATTGCCACCTGGTAACTGTCACCTTTACTTCCTTCAGAGAAAATTTAAAAAACAAACAAACAACAACAACAAAAAAAACGGAACTCTTGTCACTGGTGTTTAATGAAGACTAATAGAAACTGATTTTCATGCAGAACAAAGAACCTAATTGGTTCCACAGTTACACAGCACTCCTAAGAAACAAACCATAGGGACTTCTAGCTAAACATGGCAAATTAAAAATATCTGTATCTATATCTATATGTATATTTCCAATCCTTCTCAAAGTCCCCCTAAGATGACAGTCAGTGGTATAGTTTGGATATTTGTCCCCCCGAATCTCATGTTAAAATGCAATCCCCAATTCTGGAGGTGAGGCAGGCAGATCACTTGAAGTTAGGAGTTCGAGACCAGGTTGGCCAACATGGTGAAACCCCGTCTCTACTAAAAATACAAAAATTAACATGATCCAGTTGGGTCATGGGGGTGGATCCCTCATGGCTGGGTGCTGTCCTTACAATACTGAGTGAGTTCTTGTGAGATCTGGTGGTTTATAAGTGTGTGGCACCTCCCCCTACTCTCTTTGTTGCTCCTGCTCTTCCGGTGCGATATACAGCTCCCCTTTGCTTTCCATCAGGATTGTAAGTTTCCTGAGGCCTTCCCAGAAGCCGAGTAGATGCCAGCACCATACTTCCTATAAAACCTGCAGAACCATGAGCCAATCAAACCTCTTTTCTTTATAAATTACCCAGTCTCAGGTATATCTTTATACCAATGCAAGAACAGCCTAACACAATTAGAGTTAGGCTAACTCTAACACAAAATACACTCAACTGGGACTCTAGGAAAAAAAGAGGAAATACCAGTATTTCAAAAGCTACCTTGCAGCAGGACGGGCAATAACTGACTTGCTAGACAGGAGAAGTAAAGCCAAACATCAGCTTGAACGGAGCCATAGAACCCTGGAGAGTGTCAGCAATAGAGGCACCAGCTGCCTCCGAACCAGTGTGGGCAAGATTGAAAATAGGAAGAGTAGGCTGGGCGTGGTGGCTTAAAATGCCTATAATCCCAGCACTTTGGGAGGCCAAGGCAGCCAGACCACTTGAAGTTAGGAGTTCTTCTTCTGGTGAAACCCCGTCTCTACTAAAAGTACAAAAATTAACTGGGCTTGGTGGCGGGCACCCGTAATCCCAGTTACTTGGGAGGCTGAGGCAGGAGAATCACTTAAACCTAGGAGGTAGAGGTTGCAATGAGCCGAGATAGCACCACTGCACTTCAGCCTGGGTGACAGAGTGAGACTCCACCTCAAAAGAAGAAAAGAGGAGGGGAGACGAAGGGAGGGGAGGGGAGGGGAGGTTAAGAGTCTATTGACCTTTATATTCTCTATGGTATCCTGCATTGCCAGCTACTATCCCCCCTTCTGCAGTTACCACGGGACTGGAGGTTTATTCTCAAAAGAGGTTGATTGAGAACGTTCTGGACTGGGGAATACTGGGCGCAGCTGAGGGCACTGGTGTCAACTGGAAACTAGAGAGACTGGGGGGGGGGGCACCTCCAAACCAAATAGTGGCATCACCAGCACCAACTTCCTCTTGTCCCTAGGATGCTGGCAGCCAGGCTTGCAGAGGAATTGGCAGGGGAAGAGGGGAAGAGGGAATTCTTCTTTGAGTAAACTGATCAGCTGAAGAGAAAGTATCTGTAGATACCGTGGTAAACAATAATGTTCATGTTCTAATCTCTGAAACCAGTGAGTATGTTAGCTTAGATGCAAAGGGGAATTAAGGTGGCAGATGGATTAAAGTTGTTAACTAGCTGCTCTTGACATAGGGAGAGTATTTTAGGTTATCTGAGAGGCTCAGTGTAATCACAAAGCTTCTTTTTCTTTTTTTTTTTTTTTTTTGAGACGGAGTCTTGCTCTTGTCGCCCAAGCTGGAGTGTAATGGTATGATCTCGGCTCACTGCAACCTCTGCCTCCTGGGTTCAAGCGTTTCTCCTGCCTCAGCCTCCCAAGTACCTGGGATTACAGGCGCCCACCACCATGCCTGGCTAATTTTTGTACTTTTAGTAGAGATGCGGTTTCATCATGTTGGCCAGGCAGGTCTCAAACTCCTGACCTCAGGTGATCCACCCGCTTCAGGCTCCCAAAGTGCTGGAATTACAGGCATGAGTCGCCATGCCCGGCCCACAAAGTTTCTTAAAAATGGAAGACAGAGGCCTGGTGCAGTGGCTGACACCTGTAATCCTAGCACTTTGGGAGGCCGAGGCAGGCAGATGACGAGGTCAGGAGTTCGAGACCAGCCTGGCCAACATGGTGAAACCCTGTCTCTACTAAAAATACAAAAAATTAGCCAGGCATGGTGGCGGGCGCCTGTAATCCCAGCTACTCAGGAGGCTGAAGCAGAAGAATCACTTGAACCTGGGAGGCAAAGCTTGCAGTGAGCCGAGATCACGCCGTTGCACTCTAGCCTGGGTGACAGTGCGAGACTCCGTCTCAAAATAAAAAAAAATGGAAGAGAGAAGCAGGAGAGACAGGCAGTGTCATGTGATGTGAGAAAGTCTTGGCCTTTTGTTGCTGGCTTTGAAGATGAAGGTAGATGGTCAAAAGTCAAGGAATAGGCTGGGCATGGTGGCTCATCCTTGTAATCCCAGCACTTTGGGAGGCCAAAGTGTGCGGATCACTTGAGGTCAGGAGTTTGAGACCAGCCTGGCCAACATGATGAAACCCTTTCTTTATTAAAAATACAAAAATTAGCCGGGCCTGATGGCATGTGCCTGTAATGCCAGCTACTCGGGAGACTGAGGCAGGAGAATTGCTTGAACCCGGGAGGTGGAGGTTGCGGTGAGCCGAGATTGCGCCACTGCACTCCAGCCTGGGCAACAAGAGTGAAACTCTGTCTCAAAAAAAAAAAAAAAAAAAAGTCAAGTCAAGGAGTATAGGTGGCTTCTTCAGGCTGGAAGAAGAAAGAAAATGGATTATTCCCTGGAGGCTCCAGAAAGGAATGCAGCCCAGTCAACATCCTAATTTTAGCCCAGCAAGTCTATATCAGACTTCTGATCTCCACGACAGTTGGATAATAAGCTTGTGTTTTAAGCCACCAGGTTTGTGGTGATTTGTTACTGCTGCAAAGGAAAATTAATGCAGACACTGGGAGGGACCCGACAAAATACTCAATCACCCTGCAACGAATCTCAGCACTTGCAAATCCCACTTTTATACTCTGGACTACCATAGCTTTTTGGGACAGGCATTCAAAATGGACAGCCAAGGAGCAACAGATATTTGAGGGAAATCTCTAATACAAAAGGTAAAATCCAAAATCAATAACCATATCAGAGAGAAGAAACCATACAGGGAGCAGGGAAAAAAATGTAAAAAACAACAACAACAACCCACAAAAACCCCTCAGGGAGGCCATGTGCGGTGGCTCACGCCTGTAATGCCAGCACTTTGGAGGCTGAGGCAGGTGGATCACTTGAGGTCAGGAGTTCGAGACCAGCCTGGCCGACATGGTGAAACCCTGTCTCTACTAAAAATACAAAAATTAGCCGGGTGTGGTGGTACACGCCTGTAATCCCAGCTACTTGGTAGGCTGAGGCAGGAGAATCGCTTGAACATGGGAGGGGACGTTACAGTGAGCAGAGATGGCGCCACTGCACTCCAGCCTGGGCAACAGAGTGAGACCCCACCTCAAAAAAAACAAAAAAACAAGAAGCATAAACAAACACAAAACCCCAAACAAACTAAAAAAAAAAAACAAAACCCTTTACAGAGATAAAAGGTATTGCATCTGTTAAGCAAGAACAGATTGCTCTTAAAAAGAAATATTCAGAAGACTTAAAGAGCTCTTGGCCAGGCGTGGTGGCTCACACCTACAATCCCAGCACTTTGGGAAGCTGAGGCGGGCAGATTGCTCAAGTCCAGGAGTTCGAGACCAGCCTGGGCAATATAGCGAGACTCCTGCCTCTACAAAAAATACCAAAAATGTCAGCCAGGTGAGGTTGTAGTCCCAGCTACTCTGGAGGCTGAGGCAGGAGAATCGCCTGAGCCCAGGAAGATCGAGGCTGCAGTGAGTCATGATTGCACCACTGCACTCCAGCCTAGGTGATAGAGTGAGACCCTGTCTCAAAAAAAGAGAGCTTTTATAATTTAAAAATATAATAGAATAAATAAATATTAAATAGAGAGGCAGAAGAAAAAGTTTTAAAAATTCCCCCAAAGCAAAACAAAACAAAATAAATAGTTTTAGAATATGAAAAAAAAGATAATAAAATTAGGGTATTCATAAAGGATATTTAATAGAAGTCCCATTTTGAGACCAGCCTGTCTAACATAGTGAAACCCTGTCTCTACCAAAAATACAAAGTCAGGCCCAGTGGCTCACACCTGTAATCCTAGTATTTTGGGAAGTTGAGGTGGGCAGATCACTTGAGGTCAGGAGTTTTGAGACCAGCCTGGCCAACATGGTGAAACCCCGTCTCTACTAATAATACAAAAATTAGCCAGGCGTGGTGGCAGGTGCCTGTAATCCCAACTACTCAGGAAGCTGAAGCAGAAGAATCGCTTGAGCCCAGGAGATGGAGGTTGCAGTGAGCTGAGATCGCACCACTGCACTCCAGCCTGGTCGACAGAGTGAGACTCTATCTAAAGAAAACAGAAAAAAGGAGTCCCGGAATAAAGTAGAAAAATTATCAGATTGAGTCAATGTCCCTACAATGTGAATGAATACAAAACCCCTATTGAGACACACCAGCCAGCGTCTTTTTTTGTTTTTTTGTTTTTTTGTGAGACGGAGTCTCGCTCTGTCTCCCGGGATGGAGTGCAGTGGCGCGATCTCGGCTCACTGCAAGCTCCGCCTCCCGCGTTCCCGCCATTCTCCTGCCTCAGCCTCCCGAGTAGCTGGGACTACAGGCGCCCGCCACCACGCCTGGCTAATTTTTTTGTATTTTTAGTAGAGACGGGGTTTCAGCGTCTTTTTTCAGAAGTCCAATAATAAAGAGATGAAGGATCAGCCCTCAGAGGTCTCAAAAAGAATATTGGAAGGCAGAAGAGCAATGCCTTAAGAACTTTGAAGAAAGTAATTTCCACCGTGGAACCCCCACGCAGGCTGTCAAACAAGTCTGCAAGTGAGATAAGCATTTTCAGACACTCAAGGTCTCAAAAAATTGCCGCCTATGCATCTTTCCCAGGAATCTATTAATGCTAGAAGATTCGCTCCTCCAAGATGAGAAAATTCAGAAAGAAGTTGCTATGAGCCAAGAAACAGGGCATTCTCAGAGTGATTACTATGTAGCAGGCCCGAAGAACACCCTGTCTGGATTAGGGACAGAGGGCCCCAGAATGCACTTCTGTATCCAGGGGGGTGATGGTGCAAAGAAACTGATAATTCATTTGTTGTCCTTGTTCTTAGCAAATGAATACTTACTGCAGAGTGTGGAGCTGAATTAGTGGTAAATACATAACAAAAACTAAGCAAACAACTCGAAACAAGACAACTATTTGCTCTGAGGATCGCAGCAGAAATCCCTATATAAGAAAAAAAAATCCTAGTTCACTTATGAGGCTTAGTTATAAATAAAGCCCTATCCTTTTAATAGGGTAAGTAGGAAATATTGATTTAACTCAAATCGGTGATATCTGATTTTGTAGCTATATAAAGAGAATGGCGGTTATGGGATATGCAGATGAGTGTATCTATTATTTGTGTGATGTGGTAGTTTGCAAAAATGGCCACAATTCTTCTCTTCTCCCTGTATTGTTTGCAGTGTGACTTTATAGAATCTCCTCCCAAGAGGCAGAGTCTGTTTCTCCTCCTGTCAAATGGGACTGGCCTTGGGAGTGAATGTAGTGGATGTACCAGGAAGCCAGTTTGGAGCTTGGCCTTCAAGCAGCTTTCCATACTTCCTCTCAGACTGTTGCAGACCCACCATCCTCTATGTGAACAAGCTGGCCTGGCCTGCAAGAGGATAAAAGAGCACGAGGAGTGTGGGAGAGCCATCCCAGCTGAGGCCACTTAAGTCAGCCAGCCCCAGCCAACCCAGTAAGGGACCACAGCTGCACAAATGAGCTTAGCCAAGACTAGAAGGATGGGCCAGCTCAGCCAAGTTAAAATTGCTGATCCACAGAGTTTTGAGTAAATAAATGGTTGCTTTCAGCCAGTAAATTTTGGGGTGGTTTGTTACACAGCAAAAACTAATTGATGCTGTGTGCATATGTGTGTGTGTGTGTAGAAAAGGTGATAATGCAATAAAGCCAAGTTTTTGTGTTTTGCAATGGAAAATCAATACTTTTTTTTTTTTTTTTTGAGACAGAGTGTCATTCTGTTGCCCAGGCTGAATGCAATGGCGCCATCTTAGCTCACTGCAACCTCCGCCTCCCGGGTTCAAGCAATTCTCCTGCCTCAGCCTCCCGAGTAGCTAGGATTACAGGCACACGGCTAATTTGTGTATTTTTAGTAGAGACAGAGTTTCACCATGTTGGTCAGGCTGGTCTCAAACTCCTGACATCAGGTGATCCACCCGCCTTGGCCTCCCAAAGTGGTGGAATTACAGTCGTGAGCCACCACGCCCGGCCTAATGTATCTATTTATATCTAAAAAATGATGCCACACAGTAGTCGCATGTTAGTTAGACACATGGAAACAAAAACAGTGATGAGATTTTTAAGTGGATAATCCAAGGAGTAGAAACGAAGGGTCAGGAGGGATTGCAGCGGTGGGCTGTAATTTTTCATTATAGGGCTTGTAGAATTGTTTGATTTTTAAAAATTATGTACACATTTCATTTTGATAAAATAGCAAATTAAGTGGAAACCAAAAAAATAAATAAATGAACTTTCAAGTGACTGGTAGGCAGCTGGTGCACAGCATCTGCCACCACCAGCAATAGTCATGTGTTCGACACATGCCCTGGTGGCAAGAGGAATTTCCAGCTGAGACATTGCCATAACCAACTCAGTTTTCCCTTTTGATTAGTATTCATCCTTCATGCCTGCATGCTTGTGGTTAGCACACAAACTGAAAAAAAAAGTGCATGGAAAAGTTGGATCCAGAGTCTCAGACACTGCAGGTGTTCTCCGAGTTGTTAGTCTCCATTCTAATACAGTCCAATAAGGACCACAAACATCAAACATAATGGAGAACTGCCTGCAACCAAAGCCAGGGCATGGAAAAATTGCTCATTAAAAATTATTCTGCGGTTACAGTTTTGAACTGGCATGGATAAAAAGTGGAGCAGAGGCCGGGTGCAGTGGCTCATGCCTGTAATCCCAGCACTTTGGGAGGCCGAGGCAGGCGGATCACAAGGTCAAGAGATCGAGACCACCCTGGCCCACATGCTGAAACCCCATCTCTACAAAAAATATAAAAATTAGCTGGGCGTGGTGGTGCGCCTGTAATCCCAGCTACTCAGGAGGCTGAGGCAGGAGAATCGCTTGAACCCGGGAGGCAGAGGTTGCAGTGAGACAAGATCGCGCCACTGCACTCCAGCCTGGTGACAAAGTGAGACTCTGTCTCAAAAAAAAAAGTGGAGCAGATGGTCATATTCAACATGGTGAAAGGCTCTGTGAAAGCAAAACAGAAACCATACACCCGCAATGGCCACCAAAACGGCTGCTGACATACGATCACTCTTTTCTTGATGCTGCTCTCTGTGCTTTAAATGTATTTTCTCTTTGAAATGATCACTTTCAAGTGTGTTTATTAAATTCTGTCTCCCATGTTAGGTTGACAGGAAGTATGTAGTATTTGGGAAAAGGCACAGGAGGCAAAAATAAGATACTAGATATCAAGGGATGTGTTGGATTACTCAGGACAGGCTAGGATATGCCACAATAAAGAAAAACCCCAAACCTCTGTGACTTAACGTTTCCCACCGCATATGCAAAGTGGGTCTGCAGAGGGCCTCTGATGATCTAAGTACCTCAAAGTTCTAGAGTGGTGCATATTGCCATGATCAGTTCCTCTCAAAGCTGACTCAAAGCGATGTGTCTCACTTCTGCTCATATTTCATTAGTCAAAGCCATTCATGTGGTCATGTCTAAATTTAAAAAGGTGAAAGAAGGCAATGTTATCCAGAAAGAGAGCTGGAATACTTGTGAACTCTTCCAACTCAATCCAGTATTCCCTCTGCTCTAAAACATAGCTATATAGCACATAGAATATAAATTAGTTACGTTTATTTTTATCCAAAGTATACTTTTCCTAGATATGTCTTACTCCAGAAAATTATTATCCTTTAAAGGCAGATGATGAATCTGGCTAGAGGAGGAGGGCCTGGAAGGTTATATGAGGTACTAACGTTATGTAAAGTGATGTGGTTTCCTTTTTCTCTTCCTGTGGTTGAATGATGTAGCACACTATTTGCAGACCAATCCTGGTCTTCCTTAAGTGGTTTCTATAACAAGATAATTTTCTTTCACCAATCACTAACCAATTTATTTTCACTTCCAAGTGGAGCCTTATTTGTGCCTCAATTTTAGAGATTGTGAGTTTAAAAGAACACCACCTTCTGCCTGTTTAAGAAATAACCCAAGGTGCCCTGGAAATAAAAATGCAAATGCACGAATGGGAAAGCTTTATTTAGCTAAATCTCAAAGCAACAGTTGTGCTTTGAGAAGAAGTTAAGGGAAGAGGAGTGGCAGGACTGGACATTCAAAGAAGGATAATTTTCAGAATGAGATAGTGTGGAGTGGAGGAGGAATAGAGATTTCCATCCCTGGGCACGAAATAAGGAAACGTATTTTTCTGCAGTTATTTGTGAAGAACTTCAGTGATAAGCACTGTGCTTCTCCTTAAATAAAGACTGAAACAGAGAAGTAGCAGTTCCAAATACTTAGCCAAAGTTCCCAAAACCTTTGATCCAACAATTCTAAATACTTAGTGCATCAAATCCAACTACAGTCACAACTCTGTGCTAAAACTCAAGCAACAAGAAAGCTGAAATAATCAGAACTCTTTATTACCTTGGAATAAGAAAAAGCACATGGCAAATAAACCAGTTGAAATCGGGCACACCTTCAAAAGAAAAGCAATTCCCAGGGTGTTACAGGGTCAGGACCGCCTTTAGCCAATTTCTCAACTTTTTTAAAACACATGTTATGCTCAGGCAGAAATAAACTTCATTGAAATGAATTACTGTCTTAACTTTGTTCAGTTTGAACTTCAACATCTTTATGATGGAAGGTACCAACTAATCTGAATGGTAACTACAAGGCCCTTAACATAGGACTTAATGAGATTTGTTGTGTATATTTGTGGTGACTCCTCAAACTCAGGAGTGTGTGCCACAAGGTATAAGCCACTGATTAATTGTCTGAGAGCACCTCAGTTCTTCCTCACTGACATGCTGGTGACACATCACTGTCAGAGTCCGAAAAAGTGGCCTGAGCTGGTCTGCTCCGAATTCTCTTCTCTTCTTCCATGTTCTTTGTTTCATGCGCCATGCCTGGGATGCGTCTGGCCCCAGGTCCTTTATGTTGCAGATAGCAATGTATTGATTATAGATTACTAGATTATATATATTCCTTTACAGAGATATAGATGTGTAGATTATTTACTTATTCACATTAAGGTCTTTTGAAATTGTATTAATCAATTTCTGCAGACCACGGTTTCTCAACATTGGTACTATTACATTTTTAGTAGGCAATTCTTTGTTATGGGGGGAAGGCTGTCCTGTACGTTATAAGATGTTTTAGTAAACATCCCAGGCCTCTACCAACTAGATGCCAATAAAACATCTTCCCTCACTTGTGACTACCAAATATCCCCTTTGGGGCTAAATTGCCCCCATTTCAGAACAACTAGGCTACCATCACTGTCCAATAGATATATAATGCAAGGCACAAATTCAAGCCACAGAAGTAACTTTAAATTTTCTAGTGGTTACATTAAACAAAAGTAAAAATAAACTAGCAAGATAAAATTTCGTGATATTTTTATTTAACCCAATATCCAAAATATTGTCATTTCATCATATCATCAATATAACAAATTATTAATGAGATATTTTCCATTCTTTTTTGAGTATTAAATCTTCAAAATCTGGTGTGTATTTTATACTCACAGCTTGTTTCACTTTGGATGAGCTTCACTTCGAAGGCACATGTGGCTGTGGCTATTTGTTGGACAGCATAGGTCTGATGGATGTTTTGGATTGCATGTCTCTGTCCCCCAGAATCCATATGTTGAAACCCTAACCCCCAATGGATGACTGGGGCCTCTGGGAGGTAATTAGTTGAGAGGAAGAGGAAGTTTAGAAGGTAGAGCCTCCATGATGAGTTTAGTGTCCTTACAAAAAGAGAGAAACTAGAGCTTGCTCTTTCTGCCATGAGAGGACACAACCAGAAGACCACCATCTGCAAACAGGAAGTGGGCCCTCATCAGACTCTGGATCATCCCGTACCTTGTTCTTGGACTTCCCAGCCTCCAGAATTGTGAGAAATAAATGTCTGTCGTTGAAGACACCCAGTCTATGGCATTCTGTTATAGCAACCTAAACTGACAAAGACAGTGGCTTTGCTTTCCCCCAACATCCCCTGCAAAATTTGCCTGCTCTGCTCATTGAGCTTGGATGCTGAGGTTCTCTGTCTTCTTAGCTAGAGTTCTGGAATGTAAGTTCTAGAAATGCAGGGACCATACCTATCACATTCACAGCTGTAAATGTGGCTCATACAATGCCTTACACATAGTCAGTGCCCGTTCCTGAATGAATATGAATGCACGCAAGCATGCACGCATGATGCATTCTCTCTGTCGATGGTGCCCTCCTGCTTACTGTGGTGCTGAAAAGGGCAGATACAGTACAAGCGTTTCTGTTTAGTCACTTCCTGTCAGTTATGTGGGAGTACATTTGCACCTAAAGAATTGCACAATGAGAACTAAAGACATGGCTGACCGTCTACCATGCTCTTTGATTTATCAATACAATTATATTCAGGATTATTTATTAAATACATTATATAAATGGTTATGTGATATTGTAAAATGTATATTTGGTCTTCAACCCATTCTGTGGCATACAACTCCTAAAGTCCTTAGATTCTCCAAAGTGATGGTTTTTTGCATGCTAATGATGACTGATGGCTGGCAACCCCTCTGTAGCTTCAGGATGGGGGCTGGTCATCAGAAAGACCAAGGCAGGAATTGAGGGTTCGGACTTTCAGCCCCATCTCCTAACCTGTGCGAAGGGAGAGGGGCTGAAGGTCAAGTTGATCACTAGTGATCAAGGGTTTAATCAGTCATGCCTACATAATGAAGCTTCCATAAAAACTAGAGACAACTGGGTTTGGAGAGCTTCCCAGAGAACTGAACACACAGAAGCATGGCAACCCTCCCCCATTCCTCTTCATCCATATTCTTCACAATATCCTTCATAATAAGCTGGTAAATATGTTTCCCTGAGTTCTGTGAGCTGCTGTAGCAAATGAACCCAATCCAAAGAGGAAGTCATAGGAAACCCAACTTAAGCCAGTTGGTCAAAAGTTCTGGAGGCCCAAACTTGTGACAGGTGTCTGAAAGGGGGGACAATCTAAAGGGATTGAGCCCTCAACCTGTGAGATCTGACACTATCTCTGGGTAGATAGTGTTAGAATTAAATTAGAGAACAGGGTGTCCACTGCAGACTTGCTTGATTGCTGGTATGTGGTGAGAACCCCCCATGCATTTGGTCACAGACATCTTCTTTGTTAATTGCTGTGGTGTGAGAGCAGAGGAAAAGTAGTTTGTGTTTTTTCCACTCACAGGTAAACACCCCAATTATTGATTTATCACAAAGTTGGATTAATTAAAATATTCTACCAAGCATTCTAAAGAAATAGTAAGTTTGTTGTTTTATTGTTTTGTTTCATTTTCTTACATTTTTAGATGAATCCTATTATAACAGTAGTTACTAGAATTGTGTATGACAAAGAGGATTTTAAAACCTCAGCAATGGCCATTCTTCCCTATAAAGAGCTTTTTTTTTTTCCATACAAGGCTGCCATTTAGAGAATTAACAGAATAACACAGAATATGAGCCCATGTACCTGGGCCTGTTTCTTCCTTAGTAAGAATTATCTCTTCTACTTTATGTATATTCTCCTTTGTGTTGGGTTATTTGTGAATCTTCTTGCCCCAACAACCACCTCCAGGAATGCCAACAAGCTGATGAGTAAGATACCCCTGGCCCAAATTACTTCTCTTTCATTCTTTCATTCTAAAATAGAGTGCTTTGAAATCTTCTAATATCATCTGCTTTACAAACCTGCATAGTCATCAAAATCTTCTGGGGCAGGGGCTTTTTGAGACTAAAGGGATAGAAAATATAGCAAATGAAAAACAAAAAAGTAGATGAAGAGGATTATGAGAAGCCATACACTTCAAACAGGAGCTAAAAAGCAATATGGAAGTGTGTCAGGTAATTGATAAGTAAACATATTATGCGGGGTGGGAGTTGTTTGTTTTGAAAAATAAGTCTAACAGGACTCCACCTCCAGAGATTATATTTTATTAGTGTTAGTGTGAGATCCGATAAGCTCCAAATGACCACTGCTTTGTAGCAACTGATCTCAAATTTATTTCACCATGGAGTCTCTTGAAAATGCACCGTGCAATGCAGAAATAGCACAAAAGATCTGCGCAGTGGGTTTTAAGATGAGTGTGAGATAGGAGAGATGGGAAGAGGGTGTCCTGTAGACAAGATTGGCAGGGACAGGGAAGCCCTCATGGGTGATTTTGATGACCAACCACATTGGGAACCAGTGGTTTAATTTCCTGTATGAATTAAAAGAGGGAGTGTACAATAGGAAGACCTCCTAAAATCCTTTGTTTTTCTGTTGTGAGCCCTTCTCTGGTCTAAATAACATCTTGTCCAGTGGCGGAAACATCCTGGACACAAATGAGATTTAGCAGAAAGAACTTTGAGCTGAAAGTCAAGACAGCTAGATTTGATTTTATCTGTTATTGGCAATCTGTCTTCAGACAAGTCATTTATTCTTGCAATCAGTTTTTCTACCTGCAAAATGGATTTTCTAAACAATATCTCTTCCTTTATGTCTGTTGCAAAATGTGATTTGAAATGTATTTAGGCTGCACAGGATACATTAATTAAAACTATTAGGATTATTCCCTGGCACATAAAACAAAAGAGCAGATTTTCTTCTCAATATTTTCCCCTGAACATTTTTTTTTTTTTGTAGGCTTATTGTTCCCATAAGAAATCATCCAAAGTCTCAGTTTGATGGAGACACAGACAAACCATACTACCACAGAGATAGGCTAGACAGAGACACAAATACACATGGTTTCTCTGTTCTCAAGTAAACTCTCAAATTAACATAAAACTAGTTACATAAAATTATTTCTTATTGTTTCCTAGTATATTTTCAAATACATGTGTTTTTTTATTTGAACGATAATCTTTCCAATTTAATGCATAGAAAGGTAAAGCATTTAAGGCATTCTTTGAATATTTTCTAAATGATAGGGCCAATTGCAATGAGATATAAAACAAAACTGTGGTTAATTACTAAGTGTGAAAACATGGCTAGTTAGAATTAATCTACATATGTAAACATAATGTTTATTTTATTCAAATTAACTTGCATAAAACTTGATAGGTGTTTATTTTATAGTGTGTTTTCATTTTGTTAAAGCTCTAGTACTTTATGGCTATCAAAATGGCTTCAAACAGTTATTATTCGGAGGTAATCAGGGTGGTATAATGATAGCTCATGTTGTGGTGAATTTATTTTCAGGGATAGCCATTATTATATAACCCATCGAGTGTATTTAGGGTTAGTCTTCAGAGATAAAGAAAAAACACATACTTAACTTTCTATAGAAAGTCTTGATGATCTAGAAAGGTGGAAGTTAAGATCACCCAACCCTGGAGTGTTTTGCTGAGAGGATACTTCTCGATTGGTTTCTTATCTAGCCTGTAAGTGGCGCACATGTGGAAACCATCTCAGATGGGAGCTGGCATCATATGCCTCTTATAAAATACCACCCTCCGAGGCTGTGGAGAAAAGTTCTTTATCCCCGCTCTCCACCCCATTTCCTGCAACTTCTGTGAAGTCACAGAACTTGGGGAAATAGTGACGCTTCCTGGCCTAGATTTATCACCATCTGGGAAGCAGAATGAGATGCTTGGCGCTGCCACTGCCACTTTCATCTGCCACATTCTCAGGAATTCATCACCCACAGGGTGATTCTAGCCAATGCAAGTCACCTCATCCATTGGAAAGAGGAAGAGAAAGAATGGGGAATGAGTTCTGTCCGAGAGCCTCCGGGCTGCTTCTGTTGGCTAGCACAGGCCGTGTTAATGCCTTGGGCTGACTTCCAAGGCCATCTGTAATTTGGCCCCACTCTGCCCATTTCTCTCCCTGGCCAAACTGGCCTCACCAATGCCTGAACAGACTCATCTCTGTCTGTGACTTCACCGAGATTGTTGCTCTTTCCCGTTATCTATCAAGGGGCAGCCTAAGTTTCAAATCTCACAGAAGTCTTTCCTGATTCCTCCAGCTTGTGTCTTCTGACCTCACAGTTTTGTCTGTGACAAGTAATTTAGAAGCAATGTATGTGCTGGGATGTATTGTCTCTTGATTATCTCCTGTGTTAAGTTTAGTTCCCCAATTACATTATAAGTTCCTTAAAGATAGCGTTTGTTACTAATGTCTATTTGCTAAACTCTCCTCACTTTCCCTTTTCTCCAGTGCTAAACCCATAATAAGTGTTTCAAAAATTCAGAGAATCTTAGAATTGGAATTTTCTAATCCAGCTAATAGCAAAAAAACTACTATATTAGAGAGATAACCACTTCCATGGCTTCCTTCTCCTTCCTTCCTTCTTTCCTTCCTTCCTTCCCTCCTCCTTTCCATCCCTCCCTCCGTCTGTCCCTCCCTCCCCCCTTCCCTCCTTCCTTTCTTTCCCCTTCCTTCCTCATTCCTTCTACATTTATAAAGAAATGAAATCTCTCCACCTATAACTTTTATTAATGTATTCTAGGCTCAGGGGATTTAAAGGTGACTAAGGCTTAGCTCAGTCTCTTGAGAAAAACGAACCAACAAACACAACACACCGTGAAAAGAATTATGCTGGAGGAAGGTCTAAAAGGGCTGAGAGCACCCAACTGCCCCAAAGGTCTCAGCGTAGCAGTCTTGTGAGCTCAAAGCAGATCCTTATTAAGGCTTAACTAGTATTGATTCCATCGACAACACCTGCTACAGATTCTTAGCAGGGAAATGACGAAAGTTGACCTAAAATCCTACAGTAAGTTTGCAAATTATGTACCAGTTGTGTCCTAATAGTTCATTTTTTAGCATATTCTTTGGAGCTTTGGAACATCTTTTTCTAATTCAAAGTTTTGCATAAAGATTATATGTCCTTGGTCTAGCCCATAAAAGTCTATTATCTCCACGATGTACCTAAAGTTGAGCGTAGTATAATATTAATACTATGGACTTTAACCATATGTAAATGGATTTGTTCAGGAAGCCATAGGATTCCAACCTTGCACACTGGAACTGTGGCACCCTGCACCATCTGACCTGTTTTCCTGTGCTCCCTTCCCCTTGCGATTACAGAGGAAGAAGGAACACGTTTTTCCCCCATTTCTTCCACATGAATGACATCAGAATAGGAGGTTACTTGCCCTTTCTCACAAGGTACCAAAGTTTCAAAGAGAAGCTGGAGAAAACGAGAGGAGACTAAGAGAGCTCCGCATATCCCAACCACATTTTCCCATTTGAAAATGAGGATAAGGTGTGGAACAAAAGACTTTTGGAGCATTTTCTTGGTGGAAGAGGTGATCTGGCAGATGTCCTTTTGTAACTGACTTCTGGAATTACTAAGACATTTCATCCCTTCCCAGGTTGTTGTGGGGATAATGCATGTAAAGTATCTACCTGTGCAGTGATGACAATTATGAGTAAAATAAGTTTAGTGTTTATTGAGGATTTACTATTACTATTGCATAGTAGAATAGATGGATACTATTGTAAACTATGTATTACATTCTCTTTTTTTTTTTTTTTTTTTTTTTTGAGACAGAGTCTCGCTCTGTTGCCAGGCTGGAGTGCAGTGGCTGGATTTCGGCTCACTGCAACCTCCACCTCCTGGGTTCAAGCGATTCTCCTGTCGTGGCCTCCCGAGTAGCTGGGATTACAGGTGTGTGCCACCATGCCCGGCTAATTTTTGTATTTTTAGTAGAAACAGGGTTTCGCCATGTTGGCCAGGCTGGTCTCAATCTCTTGACCTCATGATCCGCCCACCTCAGCCTCCGAAAGTGCTGGGATTTCAAGGGTGAGCGCCTGACCTACATGATCATTTTTAATTTTCACAACAACCCAATGTACTATCATGGCCAATTTACAGATGAGAAATTGTACTATTATGCCAGTTGCAGATGAGAAATTGAAACTTAGAAGGTTAAGGAAGGTCCCCCGGTAAATAAGCAGCAACATTTAGATTCAAAATTGGGCAGTCTGATGCCAGAGCCCAGCACTCTGGTTTTTGCTATTATTGTTTGTAGGGCCAAAAATAACAAAATATTTAAAATAAGGTAACTCCTTTTCTTTCCTACCCGACTGGCCTAATGACAACCTTCCAGTTTTTGATGGCGTGGGCTTTAGAAACCAGGGCTCCCTTCTTCCTTGATCTCACAGCCCTCTCCTCTTTTGCCATCCTCACTGCAAACACACGGCAGTTTGGAGCTTTTGCTCCCGCTCCTCTTTCAAGTTCAATTTCTTTTCTTTTCTTTTTTCTTTCTTTCTTTTTTTTTTTCTTTTTTTTTTTGAGACAGAGCTTTGCTCTGTCGCCCAGGCTGGAGTGCAATGGAGCAATCTCAGCTCACTGCAAACTCCGCCTCCTGGGTTCAAGCTATTCTCCCTGCCTCAGCCTCCCAAGTAGCTGGGATTACAGGCACACACCACCATGCCCAGCTAATTTTGTATTTTTAGTAGAGATGGGGTTTCACCACGTTGGCCAGGTTGGTCTCGAACTCCTGACATCAGGTGATCCACCCGCCTCTGCCTTCCAAAGTGCTGGCATTACAGGCGTGAGTAACCGCGCCGGCCTCAAGTTCAATGGTGGATTCATTAGATTATAAAAACTAATCATGGGCTATTCCCAAACACTGTCCTCTAAAGTACAAATTACTCTCTGTTGTAGTAAAATGTCAGCCTCTGGGGTACCACCGAGGACTGGTTTCCAGAACAGAGGTAAAGAAGGATCGGGGGCCTTTAGAAAAGGGGCTGAGAGGTGGGTGTTGGTGAAAGTGGGAAGGGAGGCTGCTCCGGGTGGGATGGGAGAGAAAGGGATGTCTGGCTTTTCTCCTGCCCTCTCCGATGACCTGCACTTTTATCTGTTCTGAGGTCACAGATGCAGTTCTTGCTAAGTCCAAGGTGTGATAAAGGGTTGTGCCTGACTGCAGCAACTGGTGGGAGGAGAGAGCAAGGAGCTAGGGTAGTTGCTCCAGGTCTGATTAAGTCCAGGAAAGATATTACCTGGCCCGGTGAATTGCATGTGCCTGCACTGTCTCCCCCTCCACCAAACAAAATTCAAAAGACCAGTTCAACTTAAAAAAAAAAAAAAGGAGAGACAGAATCATTGTAGAAAAATCAGGATGACTGTTAATCTAGATAATACTTTTTCTAATCAATTTTTATCCCATCCAAATAATGGAATCTGTAGTCATCTCAGCTGTCCACTCATCATTTGTGGTTTTGTGTTAACTTCAGATTTGAGAGATAATCTTAGATTTAGATTGCCCTGGGTTCATGAATATAAAGTGCTTCAGTAAGTCCTTTACATCTGCTCCAGGCCCAAAACAGAAGGTAGAATAAAACTGGTAAAAAATAAAAATAACAAGGCAGACACACTTTAAGAAGCAGCATTTTAATTTTTCCAGTTGAATATATTTCTTCCCCTTCCTCCCTACATTCCATCTCTCCCTCCCTACCTTCCCTCCCACCCTCCATCCCTACCCCTTCCTTCCCTCCCTTCCTCTCTCCCTCCCTCCTTGCTTTTTTTCTCCTTCTTTCCCCCTACCTCTTACCTCTCTTGGGAGAGTTAGCAATGAGTCTGCCAACTTGTAAAGAAATGAGTTGCCTCAGAACCATCAAACATTATAGCTGATAACTGAGAGATGAACAAGGAATTTTATACAGCTAAAAAAGAATTCCATTGAGGGCAAGACAATATTAGAGCAGGAATCCTGAAGTGGTCATGGGAATTATGTTCAGGTGACCTCAAACTCGCAGAAAGCATCTTGCAAAGAAAAAGTGAAGTTGGTGGCAGCCTTTTGTGTGGAGAGAAAAAGAAAAGGACATTAACCTACTGTAGAAAATCACTCATTCTGGCCAGATGCAGTGGCTCACACCTATAATCCCAGCACTCTGGGAGGCCAAGACGGGTGGATCACGAGGTCAGGAGTTTGAGACCAGCCTGACCAACGTGGTAAAACCCCGTCTCTACTAAAAATACAAAAAATAGCTAGGGGTGGTGGTGTACACCTGTAATCCCAGCTACTCAGGAGGCTGAGGCAGGAGAATCGCTTGAACCCGGGAGGCAGAGGTTGCAGTGAGCCGAGATTGTGCCATTGCACTCCAGCCTGGGTGGCGGAGCAAGACTCCATCTCAAGAAAAAAAAATCACTAATTCCCTAGCTGGCCACCAGGCAGAGTTTTAGGGGACAGGACAACTCAGGAATGATGTTTGGGAATTCCACACCCCGCATATATACAGGATGGGGTGAGAGTTTGATGAGGATCTTGGTGGGTGAGAACTAAAGCTATATTTCCCCTCCCTCAGAAAGGTATGTGAGTATCAGAGCCAGCATGATTCCCTTATTCCTGCTTAGAAGGCTTGGTGACTGAGGTGCAGAGCAATCGAAGGTGGTCTAGATTCCCTCATACAAATACAGCTTATTACTTAGGATCTCAAAAGCAGTATCCAAACTAAAAGAGTGAAACCGCTATAATCTCTGGAATGAACACATATATTTTGTTCAGATTACATTTACTGGCTATTATATGCAATGCATTGTGCTGGGTGCAGAGGCAAATGAAAACTAAGGCTTGTCTTTCTCTTAAGGAAGTGTTTCTACAAAGTGTCTCCTGGTTCTTGGCTTGCAAAATAAATGTGTAGAGCTGTGCTCCATGAATATGAAGGCAGGAGGGAAATCAATAAGGAGGTCAATGCTAAGCCCAAAGGAAATGATCTTCCTATAGGTAAACACCATGTTTGTAATATGCACAGAATCAAGCACAAGCTGGTACTTTGCTTCTTAACAAATGGCAGGTAACCTTTAAAAAAAAAAAAGACAAGTAATGGAGGCAGAATAATACAAAATTAACCATCACAGGGACCACTTTAAAGGAAACTTCCTCCCCAAGCGCCTTGATTTGTGTATTCCACAGCTGCTTTTTCATTGCCCAAAAGGTAATTAAGAGGTGATAATGATATGTATCCTCTCTTATCAAAGTCATTAACACATTATTATTGCTGTGAGGTGGCTAGCTATTGCTTTGTGGCGGTGATGCTGCTTTGGGCGAAAAGTCTTTATTAGTCTACCAGGGATTTCTGCTGTGATGAAGACATTGCAGTTTGGGGATGAATTAGCAGGTTACATTCCCGTGACCCTTGAGTGTCTTATTTCCCTTGCAGGTTTCTGAGAACCCCCAGGGCCATTCTGACTCTCAATTTGACCTACAACTTTCCTCCTTTCCAAACCATTCTCTGTGAATTAGGGATGGACCAGTTTCTTCCGACCCATCAAGTTGCATATCTATTGTGCCTGAAGCTGTGGCACAAACTCCATGTATCTGTGGTGGCTTCTCTGTTTGAATTTATTTATTTTTAAGGGATGGGGTCTTGCTCTGTTTCCCAGGCTGGAGTGTAGTGGTGCAATCATAGCTCATTGCAGCCTTGAATTCCTGGCCTTCCTCCCACCTCAGCCTCCCAAGTAGCTAGGACCACAGGCAGGCACATGCCCAGCTAATTTTTTTATTTTTTATTTTAGAGACAGCCTCTCACTATGTTGCCCAAGCTGGTCTCAAACTCCTGAACTCAAGCGACCCTCCTGCCTTGGCCTCCCAAAGCCCTGGGATTATAGATATGAACCACCAGGCCCGGCCCTGTTTGTATGTAGACTCAGATAAAGGCACTACAAATTCTCCTGCCACCAGTTAGTTTCCCTGCTTTGGTTAACAAGTGCTACCGTGTACAAATATTCACTCAGACTGTGATAAACATTTTGTAATTAATCTCTTCAACATCTCGGGAAAACATGGGAGTATCTACTCAGGAAACTTCTTCACACTTTAAATATTTCTACAAATTGGAGAGAAGAAGAGGCAAATGCATACAGATTGGTTCTGAAATCTAGGCTTTGTTATATTAGGAAATGATCTGTATGGTTTTTTTTTCAGATTTGTGTTTAAATTGCATGATCCTTGAGGGCAGAAATGTATCTAATTTGTTAATCATAAGCCTCTTTACTAATCTGTTATGGCAGCTTAATGTTTTTAAATAAGTACAAATTTATCCAAATAAGTGTACACATTTTTAAAAGTCAAATCTTACTAAAGCGCTTTAAGAAATAAAGGAAACCAAAACCAAAACACAGCAATTCTCCTGGCCCACCCTCTTTACCACCAGTCCTTCTCCCTGGAGGCAGCTACTTTAAATTAATTTTAGCTGTTTCCTCTGGTATTTACCTCCATATTTCTGGGTAACATATATGTCCTCCTAGACCATTATTTAGTGACTATTACAGTTGGTGAGGATTTACGTCTCCACAACACTGTTCCCTCTTGTTCCCCTTTTTGGTTAAATCAATATTCAGGGTCAATATTATTATAACTATGTAAATAATGTTCTCTACTGAGCTTACACGACACTATAATTACCTTTCCTTTCTTGTACAGCTTTTTGTTTTTCTTGGAGTTAATGATCACCTTGTTTTTTTCACCAGCTTGTCTTTGTATATAACTATCCCTAAGTCCTGCCACAACTTCCAACAGTTTCCCAAAATGTTCCACATAGTAATACGTAACAGATAATCTACCAGTATCTCAAGGCCTCCTTCCTGGGGCCCTTTTCTTTCTTTTTCCAACTTTTATTGGTTGTTCTTTTGGGCCCCTATACTACTGTCATCCCAAGACCTCCCTCTGCCATCATCCTGGCAATTCTCTTCACCTCTCTTGTGTTGCAGTCTCTCCTTCCTGGTTTCCATGTTTTCTTCTTTCTTGCTTTATTCTCTCATTTTGGTGACACACCCTTCCTGAGAAAGGGTGCATGTGAGGTAAATTTACTGAGAACTTTCCTGCCTGAAAATATCTTTATTCTACCCTTGCATTTGTTTGGCAGTTTGGCTAAGAATTGAATTCTAGGTTAAAAATAATTCTCATTCTGAATTTAAAGGCATTAAACTATTATCTTCTAGCTTTCAATGTTTCTGTTTACAAGTCCAACAGCACTCTGATTCTCTGTCATTTTTATGTAAACATTGTCCTTTCCCTGGAGTGCTGAAATTTCAAAATGATGTGTCTTGGTTGGGTCTTTTTTTACTTATTTTGTTGGGCACTCAAATGATCATTTTAATCTAAAGATTCAGATTTTTGATAATGGCCCCAGTTACTGCTTTCTGTACCTTGGGTGTTGGTCTTGAAGCCTGTTTTGGAGAAAATAAACCACCTGTCTTGGAGGTGGGAGGTGATGATGATGGATGCACCTAAGGAGATAACTGTATTGACTTTCAATCCACCCTTGACTGCACGCCTTCACCTTCTGCAGGCCCCATGCCTCCAGTTCCTGAACCTTCCCAGAGTTCTGAAGAAAGACTGGCTTGTTTTTTATTAAGTTGCCTCTGTAGGCTCACAGAATCCAGCCTTTTCTGTTCTGCTTAAACCATCACTTCTTCAATAGCTTTCTATCCAGCAGGTATCTGTTGATATTCTTGTCCACCGTTGTCTTTTCTGCCATTCCATTTGTTCCTGTGGATTTAAACTTTTGTATTCTTTTACTGACACTTAAGTGGGTTTCTAAGGAGTGGAAATAAACACGTGAATGTGTGTGTGTGTGTGTGTTTTCAATGTCCTGCATCTAAGTGGCTATAAATTTTGTAATTTGATTGATAATTACTTCTGAGTTTTAGCTTATTTCTTAAGGAATATTGATCCTTAACACACTGATAAATAAACTCAGTGTGGGAATTTATAGGCCATGTTTTCATAGCATTTATTTCAGTGTTGGTAACTCAAAAACTGGGTTTTCCTTTTTAAGTTAAACCAATAATATGTGAAAATTAGATGTGCTAACCAGGGCCAGGGTTGGTCTTATTCAGTTTTGTGTTGACCATTCTTCTAGGACTTTGTGCAGACCTTTGCAAATAAACTTTAAAACAAAACAAAAACCCCGAAACCCACAATGGGTTAATAGAGTTAAAGTTTTCTTCTTTTCCTCGATAAACATTTTAATGATCACTTACGAAGTACAATGAACTGCTATATGAGCTGAATATATCATGGTGAACGGAACAGAGTTCCTAGTGTGGAGGGCTTCCCTAGTGAGGGAGACTAACAAGAAAACAGGTGAGGTAGCTGGGCACAGAGGCTCATGCCTGTAATCCCAGCACTATGGGAGGCCAAGGCGGGTGGAGTGCTGGAGCCCAGGCGTTCGAGACCAGCCTGGGCAACATGGCGAAACCCCACATCTACAAAAAATACAAATATTAGCTGGGCACGGTGGCTTGCACCTGTAATCCTAGCTACTCAGGAGGCTAAGGTGGGAGGATTGCTTGAGCCTGGGAGGTTGACCCTGCAGTGAGCCCTGATCGTGCCTCTGCACTCCAGCCTCGGTGACAGAATGAGACCTTGTCTCAAAAAAATAAAAATAAAAAAGGAAAACAGGTAAGGACCATGAGACGTAATTAGTTTTAGTGTAGAAATATGCACCTAAAACAATGGAAGCACCATTCCCCTTTAGGGGAATAAAAATGCCTGCATCATTTTTTTTGATGCTCTTCATGTAGGAAGCGATGGAATCCAAGGCTCTGGGATATGGGTCCATGTAGCTGTATCTTAGCAGGTCCTATACCTTACAGAAGACATCATTAGAGAGGGCAGGAAGCACAAAACACACATCTTCTCCTCAGGAGACTTCCCAGTGTTTGCCCTTCAGAGTATATGCAGTGTTGGCTGGGCATGGTGGCTCACGCCTGTAATCCCAGCACTTTGGGGGTCCGAGACGGGCGGATCAAGAGGTCAGGAGATCGAGACCATCCTGGCTAACATGGCGAAACCCCATCTCTACTAAAAAAAAAAAATACAAAAAATTGGCCGGGCATGATGGCAGGTGCCTGTAGTCCCAGCTACTCGGGAGACTGAGGCAAGAGAATCGCTTGAACCCAGGACGCAGAGGTTGCAGTGAGCTGAGATTGTGCCACTGCACTCCAGCCTGGGCGACAGAGTGAGACACCATCTCAAAAACAAAAACAAAAACAGAGTATATGCAGTGTCATAGGTGGGTTCCAAAGTCGTCTTCAGTGCTGAGAAGAGTCCTGAGTAAGCCTTGGAAGTGGTGTTATTATTAAAGCAATCACATTGTTATTATTTGTAAACCTGTCTGTGTAATCTTTGAGGGCATATTGAAGGCCATATTCATTTCAGGGAGGCCTCAAGGTGCAGTACAAAGAGCATGGTCTTTGAGGCCAGGGCAGCTGGGTTTGCATTCCACATATTAGCTGTGAAACTTTGATCAGGTTACTTGATTTGGGGACATCTCAATGTTCTATTATGTCAGACTAAAGAGTAATACCTAACTCACAGACTCATTGTATTAAACGAGCAAAAATAGATAAAGGGCCCCAGGGCAGTTCTTGATGGGACATAGGTGCAAAATAAATGGTAGATAATTATTTTTTCTTCCTTCGATGGCCAGACCTTGAACCTCTCAAGTGCAGAGACCACATGCTATTTTTCTGTGTAACCCCACACTTAGTGCAATGCTGGGTATAAAGTTGGCACTTCATGCATATTTATTGAATGAATGAAGGAATGAATGAATGAATAAAGGAATGTTTGAATTCTAAGGGTTGAGATAGTTTCCTGCTATATGAATCACTGTTTGCTACTTTCTTCCTTTAGACTGCACTTCCTTAATTATTTGCTGGTACTAATAAACCACCATTCTTTTCTAAGCTCCTGGATTACTAGTGCTGCAAATAGAGCTAAAAAAACACTAACACTTTATTTAAAACACTCAAATAACACTTCAGATCCAGCCATGCTTAGGTACACTGTAGTAAGAATACAAAAAAGGTGCCTCTGAAGGGAAAGAGGCATTATGTCTAAAGCATCAGGTTGTCGCCATTCTGAGTTTAAAACCCATTTGGCAATCATTTCCCTTGGCAGCCCCACAGGCGATAAGAGAGGATTTGGCTGTGAGGCCCTGCAAGGAAAATAAAAAGACAAGAGGAGACAGTGAGTTGAGGAGTTCATGTGTTTTTTCATGTGTTTGCAAGCTTCCGCCCACAGAGCTGGAGTGCAGTAATTTCCGGTTGCATCTTCCATTCACTAATACATTTGCGAATGCAGGAGCAATGTTTGTTTAAACCACCCTTCATCGTTATCTGTCTTAAGCAATGATGCTACATCAGTGCTATTTAAAAAATATATATCTATATCCTAGCCTCAATGCTGTTCTTACGGCAGCAATCTGAACAGTATCTGCCTCTGCACCCTGTGGGGTCAAAGTCACGCTGGCAGCCAGCACCTCTGACCATCAGAGAATGCCCCAGCTACCATCATTGGCATCACACAATTTAGAATTTAGCACTAAATTTTAATACCGTTCTTTCGGTCGGGTTTGTCCTCCCAACTATGTTGGAAGTCCTTCGTGTGCTGAGGCCAAGCCTCCCTCTTCCCTTGCTTATTCCCGACTGTACTTGGCACAGACCTTGCTCCAAAGGAACCCACAACCAATGACCTCTTCTCTGTTGGTGTTTCCTGAGCTCTCTGCAATACACCTTTTAAACATCTTTTTTTCATTAAACTCTTTTCCGAGGACTTCTTTGAGTTTATGCTTTTAAGATTCTCCTCTACCTTCTTCAATATGACTGCTAATCATGTCTTTCTGTTCTCTTTTTTCCCCCTTGGGGTATCTCATCTACTCTGAGGGCTCCAGTTATTACTTCTATGCTAATGATGACCAATCTGCACACTCATTCTATCTCTTAGGAAATTCAAAGTTGATATAACTAAAATGTAAACTTAGCTTTTTCACATAAATCAGTGTTCCTGTCTTTTGGAATTGATCTTATTCTACCTTGCATTTACTTAGTTATTTTAGCATGTTTCTCTTGACTTTAACTCTAAACTTATCTCTGTCTTTAATTATATATGGATAACTAAACTTATATATGTTAAAAATTATATGTATATATTTTAATATATTATAAATATATTAATATATTAAAATACAGTATATATATTAAAAATATATATACTATATAGTATATGTATTAAATATATATACTATATTATATATATCATATATATACAATATAGTATATATATTTAAAATATACATTAAAAATATATACTATATAGTATATATTAAAAATATATATACTATATATACTATATATACTATATACTATATATACTATATATATATGAATATTAATATTATATATTAAAATATATATACTCTATATTATATATAAAATATATGAAAATATATAATATATTAACTTATATATAACATATATCTTATATATCACATAATATATAACCTTTATATATATTAACTTTTATCATATATGTTTAATATATATTAACATATATGTTAAATTTATATTTTTATATAATATATTAATATATTCTATATTAAATAACATATAAGTTAAACTTATATATATGTTTATATATATTAAATGTGTATATATAAACATATATATATGTATGTTTAATTATCCCTGTAACCCTTTTATCACTTGGCCCATGTAGATGCCTAATGAATGTTTGATGATTTATCTTGATTCACTGTTCCCGACTTTAAATAAGGTTAGCTCTGAAGCAGTGCTTTGAGCTGAAGATCCTTCCAATCCCATAGGAAAAAAAAAAAACCAGGTACAGTGTGTATTTTCCAAAGAAGATTACAGGGCTTCAGACAAAAGAGATTTAAAATAAAAATTTTAAGTACATAAACACGCAGCATTTTAAAGTTGTTTTTATAAGGGAAGTCATCACACCATTATAATACCACATCAGCTTACTTGGGGCATCTAAATTAGCTCAAGGCTGGATTTTGAAGCATCTAGTGCTGAAATTAGAAAAATATTCGAGAATACAAATCCTCATTATTTCCAAGAGATTGAGGTGGTGATTGGTAAAACACAAGGATAGAAAAAGAGGCTGTCGGCTGGGCAGGGTGGCTCACGCCTGTAATCCCAGCACTTTGGGAGGCCGAGGCGGGCGGATCACCTGAGGTCGGGAGTTTGAGACCAGACTGACCAACATGGCGAAACCCTCTCTACTAAAAATACAAAATTAGCCAGGCGTGGTTGCGCATGCCTGTAATCCCAGCTACTCCGGAGGCTGAGGCAGGAGAATCGCTTGAACCCGGAAGGCGGAGGTTGCGGTGAGCCAAGATCGCACCATTGCACTCCAGCCTGGTCAACAAGAGCCAAACTCCGTCTCGAAGAAAAAAAAAAAAAGAAAGAAAGAAAGAAAAGAAGAAGAGGTTGTCCTTTAAAACCAAGAGTTTTACAGACTCACATTATCATAAACATATTGTGGGCAAGATGGTGGAACACGTCACTGTTGCAGGACTTTTCCTTAGTTCAGCTAAAGATGCGGTTCTCTGTCCCACGGCCACGAAAATTCAGGCTCCCAGACAATGTGATTGGTGAGTAAGACAGGGCTCTATTGATGAAAAAGGAAGAAAAGGGGAAACAGGGACTCTCCCTAGACCAGAATCCCCGCTAGAGCGCTTTGCGTCCAGCTGTTGGAATCTCAGGTTCCGCACAGGAAGAGGAGAGCCCAGGCTCCTCCCTGGTGCAAAGGGCACGAATTTCCTGAGGCTCCACCCTAGTGGGCAAGCCAGCTAGAGTTTCTCCAGGGATCTCCTCCCACCTGGCTGTCTCATCACCTCCACTAGGTGCTGGTAATGCCCAGCCTACATTAGACCGAGGAAGCCCACTGAGTTTGCCAGGCCGAAGGCAGGGTTGACTTCTGACATCATTTACTACTGCACCTCCCCAGGAAATCTCTCCTCTTGCCTGCGATCGTTTACTGTGGTGCTTCAGATTCACCCGTGTTGTGTATGCCCGTGCACGCCACCCATGCAAAGACTTGCAAGTGAGGGAAGCAGAATCCACCACTTCGACTCAAAGGAGTCTCTCTGGAGCCTCGGCTCTGGTCTCTGTTTACACTGAACCTTAAAACGCTAAATGTGGTGCCTTTGCTCCACTAGACACCTGGGAAGGGGGCTGTGACAATTGCAGTCCAATTCATATCATGGCAAGAGTATTTTAAAACGGTGGTTTACAGTGTTTAAGAAAGCCTATTAGTCAGCTGGGATTTCTGCTGCAGGTCGTCAGAGAGTAGAGTTAAGAAGAGCTAGCTGCATGTCTGCGTTTTGGGTTTTGAAATACTTTGGTTTCTTGAGCCACACTATCGCAGACTTCACTGCATTTTCAAACAACACAGGTAATAAATGACTTCTCCAAGAGTCATTGAAAAGCTTGCCTGGATCTCCCTCTCCTTGTTTTCCATGTAGTAATCTGTTGCCCTCAATCGAAAGCCTTCTGGAGACTGTTTTTTCATCTAGCTCACTAGAGAAGAGCAGCTTTTTCATGAGTAATTGGGTGGTTGGAGTGCTTGTAACTTTTCTTCCAAAAATCTTGGCACCCGGAGTCAATTTACAAATGTATACATTTGACTCGGTTACCTTGGCTTGCACTGTGTATGATGGTGGCCTTTGGTTGAATTATCAGGCCTATGGCCGGGAGCGGTGGCTCACACCTGTAATCCCAGCACTTTGGGAGGCCGAGACAGGCAGATTGCTTGAGGCCAGGAGTTTGAGACCAACCTGGCCAACCTGGTGAAACCCTGTCTCTACTAAAAATACGAAAATTAGCAGGGCGTGGTGGCGGGCACCTATAATCCCAGCTACTCGGGAGGCTGAGGCAGGAGAATCACTTGAACCCAGGAGGCAGGGATTGCAGTGAGCAGAGATTGCACCACTGCACTCCAGCCTGGGTGACAGAATAAGACTGTCTAAAAAAAAAAGAATTCTCAGGCCTATACACAAATATTTGCATGCCTCAAGTCTTTTTATTAAACTGGACTTTCATACCTGCAAAGTCTCCAGTTAGATCCTATAGTACTTTGTTTTAGTTGGAGAAATTAGAACCAATGAAACTTTACATGCGACCTTGAGATAGAAGTATGTTAATGAGAGGATCCGAGTCGTCCATTAGGCAGTATTTCTGAAAGCAGGCCTACCTGACAGCAATAATGCCAGATGGCTAAGTAAAAAGGCTGATGGACTTATAGATTTTTTTGAGTTGAGTTAGCACAGGGTGCAGTTCTCTGCTTCTTTGAGACTCATGCTGTCTGTAACCAGACATAATTAAAAGATTAAAGAGACATTTAGAAACGTGAAGCTGTTCACTTTTTAATCAGGGAGATTGATTTTCCAATCCTGATGCAAAGGTGGAATTTTAAATAATTTATAGGGTAGAAATCAGTGGCTTCTCACAACTTGGCTAAAAGAATAAAAACTAGAGGAAAAAAAGGAACTTTTTTTAAAATTTATTTTTCTTTTCCCTTAGTGCCTTACGGAAAGGAGCATAAAGAGGAGTGAGCCGTGATTCGGCTGTTATGTATAAGATGTTTTCCAGCCTCTGTATCTCTTCTGGAAGAATGAAGATTAGCTCAGTTCCCTCCCATCCTCCTTCCTTTTCTCCCTCTGGCTGGAGGTCTGGACATATTCTCTTCACTACTCAGCAACATTTCTCTTTTATCCTACAGATACCAGTCAGGTCCCAATCAGCTTAAAACCAGAGTCTCCTGAACAGAGATCGTGACTACAGCACAGCGATGCTTCCATTAGCCAAGAGGGTGCATTCCACAGGCACATGTTATCAGAACCTTCATAATCAGAGTCAGAAGTAATATAGGACAGTGAAAGGAGAGTTCTGTGATGCTAGATCAGGGCACTTCTGGTACTAAAAGAAAAGAAGTCTTCCATTGTTAAAGTAAGGTCCAGTAGATATTTGTGAGAAAATATAAAATATTTATTTTACATGTGTATATGTATGTCTAGGTGTTCTAGTCCTAAGGGGAAGAATTGATTAATAGATCAATTGAGTGATCGACAATCAGAAGCCAGAAGAAAGCCTGCAGAGAGAGGATTGTCAGCTAAGGCTATTCTTTTAAGAGTAGTGTGGGTTTGGGTTGAGAAAGGATTGAAAACGTTTCTTCCATTCCCAGCTCAGGTTTCCAGTGATTCAGCCAACTTGGCGGATTGTCCCTAAGTCAGGGAGTGCCTGGGTAAGGACGGCTGACTATGCTGGGTCCTTTCCGAGCATGCACCTCTTATCACACCTCTCTCCTTTTCCAAATGAGTTTTCAAGACTAAAGCAGACTTACCTTCAGACAAAGCAACAGGCTTTTAGGACATGGTCTACCCTCACCCAAGATCTCTCTGTAGCTTTTTGAGTCTAGAGTGGCTTTGCCCAAGTGGAGAGAGGAATAGAGAAACCCTTTGATTCCACAAGTCCCTTATGCGGTTATTGTTGAGTGTGGAGAGTTGTCACTAAAAGTGCATCAATCGACCAGTCATGGCAGCTCACGCCTGTAATCCTAGCACTCTGGGAGGGCAAGGTGGGTGGATCACTTAAAGTGAGAAGCTTGACACTAGCCTGGCCAATGTGGTGAAACCCCATCTCTACTAAAAAAAAAAAAAAAAAAATTAGCAGGGCTTGGTGGTGGGTGCCTGTAATCCCAGCTACTCGGGAGGCTGAGGCAGGAGAATCGCTTGAACCCAGGAGGCGGAGGTTGTGGTGAGCCGAGGTCGTGCCACTGCACCCCAGCCTGGGAGACTCTATCTCAAAAAAAAAAAAAAAAAAAAAAGTGCATCAGTCAGTCAACTGAAGGAACTGGTAACCAATGGCAGGTCCTTCTTTACCAGCTGTTAGTCACCTGCTCTTGCTCGTGGGGAAGGAGGGAGTGTGATGGAGAAGAAAATGTGAAGGCTCAAGAACCCACATTGTAGTGGAGGTAAGGTCAGAGGGGATTACCACTCAGCAGAGGGAAGAGAAATATGGAAGTTGCCCGGCTAGAAGAGGGCCTCACATGGCATCTGTCTGCTGTGAATTTGGCTGGGATAGTGAGAAGCTGGGAACTAAGACATTTTTGCTCCTCATCAAGACCCATCAATTGAACAATTTATTTATAGGAGATTTTCTCACAAAGAACTCACTGATTAGGAGTGTCACTTGAACAGGGGCCCGGAGCCTCTTCCTTTGAATTGGCTAAGATTCCTAGCTGCTCCTTCTGGCTACTGAGGTGGTAGGGAATAGATCAAACAAGGGGCCCGAAAACCAACTCTCCAAATAGCAGACTGTGGGGCTGGACATCGTGACGGATTTTTGAAGACAAATAACAAACAGAGGCTACATTTCATGTTCATGGTTTATATGCGTGCATTTGTGGTCCAGTGCAAAGCATAAGAGAAAATTATTACATCACAATTCTATCATCTCTGCAAGCCTGGCGACTTGCCTATAATCCTAAAGCAGGGTTTCCTAACTGCGGCACAGTTGACTTTGGGGATGGACAATTGGGAAGAGGCTGTCCTGAGCATTATAGGATGTTTAGCATCATCTCTGACCTCTACACATTCGATGCCAGTGGAACTTCTTCCCTACCCCCACACTTGTGACAACCAAAAAATGTCTTCAGATATTGCCAATAACCTCTGGGAGAGTGGGGTGAAATTGCCTACAGTTGAAAATCACTGTCTTAAAGGAACCTATAATTTGTATTGAGTTAGCAGGCTGATTACAAATCAGGTTGAATCTGTACTTATTTATTAAGCTTTCATATAAATAAATAATAAGACCACATTAGGCATGTGCATGTGGGTTTGAGCCATACTGGAATCATTCTCTCATAATTGTTATGCACTCTGGTTGCACCAGTGTTGCAAAACAGCCTTTAATAGGACTGTCAGCACACAAAGCCTTGTGTTACCACCTTTATTTCAACTCTCTTCCTCTTTTTCTCTTTCTGTATTGCCCCCTTCCCACCCTCTTGGCCACCAAACTGACTTAAATATGGTGCCCCTTTGAAGATTGTTCTCCAGAAGACAATCCTGAATGTAAAGAAATGATTCATTAATGGTAGAGTTTCAGGCAGCAGGGCTCAGGGAGTCTGGGAGAGATTTCTGTATAGAGACTTTTCCACTGTCCTTAAATCATACCAGGGAGAGGCCACCAAATCTTTCTATCTGTGTGGTTGGCTCTGTCAGAGCAGATCCTGTTGTTCATGCCCATTAACAACTGGGAATAACAGTGAGAGCTGTTGTTGATTTTGCTGGGAAACAGGTCTGGATCTGAAGAGAAGGATCTTGTCTTATAGGAAGTTGAAGCATTTTGCCCCAGGAAAGGAATAAAAGCAATCAATGGTTCTTACAGAGCTTTCTGCTCAAGTAATTTTGGTCAACTTAAGTGTGTCAGTAAATTGAACAAAATGTTACCATCATAGATTATGAAATGCAGAGTCTAATTTTAATAAGGTTACCAGTAAATGTAGGAGTTCTCAGTCAACAATGAGGAGTCTGGGTGAGTGAGAGCCAAGGAAAAGTTAGTAAGACAAACAAACCAACAATAACCTGTAGGGCAACCATAAAGAACTATTTACTTGAAAACTTTATGAGAAGAGGCAGCAAAATTTCTTATTTGCATTAACGTAGTGTTGCAAATATATGTTTGATAATTAACTACATGTTAAAGGGGACGCATGTCCTAAGGAGCTACTAGTACTTCCACCAGCTAGAGGAGGGAATGGGCATTTAGGACCACTGGTCCCTAGTTTTATCCCAACATCAAGTTCTATAAAACAATCAGTCCTTTGGGAGGCCGAGGCAGGTGGATCACAAGGTCAGGAGATTGAGACCATCCTGGCTAACATGGTGAAACCCCATCTCTATTAAAAATACAAAAAACTAGCCGGGCATGGTGGCACACACCTGTAGTCCCAGCTACTCCGCAGGCTGAGGCAGGAGAATTGCTTGAACCCAGGAGGCGGAGGTTGTAGTGAACTGAGATTGTGCCGCTGCACTCCAGCCTGGGCGACAGAGCAAGACTCCGTCTCAAAAAAAAAAAAAAAAAAAAATCAGTCCTTTCAGTAGCAAAAGTTGGTCTATCCCTTACTGTTTTGCTGGTTGAAAAGAGTGAGAAAGAAAGGATCTTGTTGGTTAAAAATTCTTATGCCATTTATGCTGAAAAGATTCTTCAGTTGTCTTACTAAAATTACAAGTGCCCCTTGAAAATAATAAAACAAAAGGAAACAGGATGGGATAAACTCATAGGCACTCCCTTCTGTGCTTCTAGCTTTCTCGAGCTAGGATATTGTTATTAAGTCCCCAGTTTCCCTGGAATCTACAGGGCAGATGAGGCCATGTAACAAGCAAGCTGTGATCGATAACTGTTCCCCTCTGCCTTCTAAATCAGCTCCTATCTATCTTTGGAGGCTTGCTGTCTTTCCTGTCTGTACATATGCGTTGACTTTCTTGAACCATTTTGAGACGTCTGGTAAAAACTGGATCTGGCATATAAATATGTGCTGAGCTTCCAAGCTCTGTTATGACTTCTTCCCTCCCCACAAAAATGATCTGCTTAGCCTAAGACTTGGGGCTGTCTAGTTTTTAGTTGACTTTCAAACATGGTAACTCACACCTAGGTAATCTCATTCTGTTTTATGGCTTAAATACCATCTGTTTCTGATGCCTCACAGATTTATTTCTCCAGTCCAGACTTCTACCTGAACTCCTGCTTCTCACCCCTGGGATGTCTCCTAGGCATCTCAGACCTAACACATTCCAAACCTGAATTTCTGATTCCCATCCAGCAAACCTGTTTTTCCTTCAGTATTCCTCATCTTAGCAAATGGCAAGTCCAAAACCCTTGGTATCATCATCCCATCTCTCATTACCCACATCCAATCCATCAGCAAAGCTGTTGGTTCCACTTTCAAAGAACATCTATCCACAATCTAGCCATCTCTTACTGTTTCCATGTCTATACTGGTCCAAAGCACTCTTGTCTCTGAAATGCAACAGCATCTTTTTTTTTTTTTTTTTTTTTGAGACAGAGTCTTGCTCTGTCACCCAGGCTGAAGTGCAGTGGCGTGATCTCGGCTCACTGTAAGCTCCACCTCCCGGGTTCACGCCATTCTCCTGCCTCAGCCTCCTGAGTAGCTGGTACTACAGGCACCCCCCACCATACCCGGTTAATTTTTTTGTATTTTTAGTAGAGACAGGGTTTCACCGTGTTAGCCAGCATGGTCTCGATCTCCTGACCTTGTGATCCGCCCGCCTTGGCGTCCCAAAGTGCTGGGATTACAGGCTTGAGCCACTGCACCCAGCTTGCAACAGCATCTTAACTCACTTTCCTGCCTCCTTATCTGTGCCCCTACAGTCAGTTTTCTCAGCACAGAGGATAGAGGGGTCCTTTCAAAATCACTGCCCTGGGCTGGGCGCTGTGGCTCACACCTGTAATCCCAGCACTTTGGGAGGCTGAGGAGGTCAGGAGTTTGAGACCAGCCTGACCAACATGGTGAAACCCTGTCTCTACTAAAAATACAAAAATTAGCTGGGTGTAGTGGCACATGCCTGTAGACCCAGCTACTCAGAAGGCTGAGGCAGGAGAATCACTTGAACCCGGGAGGCAGAGGTTGCAGTGAGCCAAGATCACACCACTGCACTCCAGCCTGACGGACAAAGCGAGACTCCGTCTCAAAAATAAATAAATAAATAAATAAATAAATAAATAAATAAATAAATAAAATCACTGCTCTGCACAAAACGTCTAGTCTTCACACCTCAGTCAGGTGACAAGGCCATATGCAGTCCCCGCAGTTGCATTTTCTTCCTTTCTCTCTCTCTCTGTTTCTCTCTTTCTCTCCCTCTCCCTCTCTCTTTCTCCCTCATGGTATTCCAGGCCCACCATTCTCCCTGTTATTCTTTGAGCCGACCAAGAATGTTTCTGTGTCTCGGCCTTTGCAGCTACTATTTTTTCCTGGACTGCTGTTTCTCCAGGCAGCAACCTGGCTCCCTTCCTCACTAACTTTTGAGTTTTGGCTCAAATATCAGTTTATTGGTGAGGGAATCCTTGACCCAACTGTATGAAGCTGCACTTGCACCCTTCCTTCTTCACCACAACTCTCTACCCTCCCTCCACAACTCTCTACTGGCACTGGCCATCCCTATATTATTTTTCTCCATGGATTTATCACTTGTACTCCTTGTTTTGTCTTTTTTTTTTGAGAGTCTTGCTCTGTCACCCAGGCTGGAGTGCAGTGGTGCAATCTCCACTGCAACCTCCGCCTCCCGGGTACAAGCGATTTTTACGTCTCAGCCTCCTGAGTAGCTGGGATTACAGGTGCCCACCACCACGCCTCACTAATTTTTGTATTTTTAGTAGAGACAGGGTTTCACCACATTGGCCAGGCTGGTTTCAATCTCCTGCTCTCAAGTGATCCGCCCACCTCAGCCTCCCAAAGTGCTGGGATTACAGGCCTGAGTCACCATACTGGGCCACGTATACTCTTTTTTTCTTTTTTTGGAGACTGAGTCTCACTCCATCGCCAAGGCTGGAGTGCAGTGGCGCCATCTCAGCTCCCTGCAACCTCCCCCTCCCGGGTTCAAGCAATTCTCCTGTCTCAATCTCGCGAGTAGCTGGGACTACAGGCGCCTGCCACCACGCCCGGCTAATTTTTTGTATTTTTAATAGAGATGGGATTTCACCTTGTTGGTCAGGCTGGTCTGGAACTCCTGACCTCAGGTGATCCACCTGCCTCGGCTTCCCAAAGTGCTAGGATTACAGGTGTGAGCCTCTATGCATGGCCTACTTTTACTCTTATATTTACTTGTTTACCTTGTTTGTCTCTCAATAAAGTGATGTAAGGTTTATGAAGGCAGGACTTTGTTTTGTTCCCTGCTGTATCCCCAGGGCCTGTATCAATGACTACTACATTCTAGGTGCTTAGCACACTTTTGTGGAATGAGTGGCACCTTTAAATTCCATTTCAATGTTACTTTTTGTAGAAAACCTTCCATGATCCTCTAAGTCTGGGTTAAACCCCCCTCCCAAGCTGTCTGTACTTCCCTGGTCATAAGGCTTCTCACACTGTGATAGCGGCAGGAGGCAGCCAAATGTCTAGGCAGATGGGGCAGGTCCCCAGTGAAACCCCACCTCCAAGCAGAAGACAGTTTAAAGCCTGAAAGCCAAACTACAAGTTAAATTCTTGGACCAGATTGAGAACTTGTCTTCCTGTTCGGCGCGCTTTCCTCTCATTGATCCCCATTCTTCACCTATTTTACATATACTTACCCTTTCCTAATCGGTTTTTTTTTTCTTTTCTTTTTGAGACGGAATCTCGCTCTATCACCCAGGCTGGAGAGCAGTGGCATGATCTCGGCTCACTGCAACCTCTGTTCAAGTGATTCTTCTGCCTCAGCCTCCCGAGTAGCTGGGACTACAGGCACCCACCACCACACCCAGCCAATTTTTGTATTTTTAGTAGAGACAGGGTTTCACCATGTTTGCCAGGCTGGTCTTGAACTTCTTGACCTCATGGTCTGCCTACCTCAGCCTCCCAAAGTGCTGGGATTACAGGCATGAGCCACCACACTCAGCCTCCCAATTGTTTTTCTACACTGTCATGCCCACCTTTGAGGGGTGTCTTCACTTTAAGCTTTTTTGCATACTCACAAACCAATCAACAAGCACTCTCCATCCTCTGCTTATAAAGACCCCAGACTCAGTCAGTAGAGGAGGAGACAGCCTGACTTCAGGGAAGAGACAACCTAACTTTGGGGAAGACGACCTGTCCTTCTCGTCCCCTCTCCAGCTCCCCTCTCTGCTGAGGGCTGTTTTCATTGCTCAGTACAATTCTCCACCTTCATCATCCTTCAACTGTCTGTGTGACCTCAGTTTTCTTGGACTTTGAATAATAGCTCAGGATCCACTGAGTGCGGGTATCCAGAAAGGCTGTCACACCAGCCCTTTGCCCTCACTGGCAGAGGTCAGCCGCCCCATGCAACAAGGCAAGGGGCCAACTGAGCTGCTAACACACTGCCATCACTGCCACCCATGGACAGCAGAACTTAAAGGACACCGTAACACTCCCTCTGTGGCTTCGGGGTCCCTGGTACCCTCCCCAGGCACCACTGCATTTCCCTCAAGGTGACACACCTGGCCCGGCGGCGGGCCCTGCACAGAGCTTGCTCCTGTGTTAGTGCCTGGAACAGCCAGCCGGGTCCCACACTCACTCACTCACATGCTCCCTCTTCAAGGAGCTGAGCAAGATGGGCCAAGTAGAGGGGACATCCCTGCCACAAGTCTGGCAAAGGGACCAGATCCTGCATCAATTGCGTGATGATTTCAGGGGTAATTTGTGAAAACTCCATAAGCCTGGAGTAAGTTTATCTTTTTCACTGATGAAGTTCCAATAGTTGCAAAGTGGCTGGCATGTTGTTGATACTCAAATATTTGTTAAATTGAATATATGTTATATTCAATTCTATATACATGCATAATATATATAATGCAACTGGGTTATAATTTGGAAATTTTCATGTGCATTGTAATAATCAGGTTCCTTTACAATGAACGCTTAATGATAAGTCCAAATTCTTTTCTTATTCCGTAAGGGTTTTTTTTGTTTTGCATTTTAAAAATTGAGTTAAAATTCACTTAACATAAAATTAACCATATTAAATCCAATGGCATTTAGTACATTCACAGTGTGGTGCATTTGTCACCTCTGTCTAGTTTTAAAACAACCCAAAAGAAAACCCCAAACTCATGAAGTAGCTACCCCCCATTCTCTCTCACCCCAGCCCCCGGCAGCTACTAATCTGCTTTCGATCTCTATAGACTTGCCTATTCTGGACATTTCACATAAATGGACTCATACAGTAGGTGACCTTTTTGTCAATGAGATTTTAATATATGTAACTTAGAAAGTATTATTACAAGATTTTGTTTTTAATCCTATTGGCACGGGTAGTAATGGGATTGAGCCTGTATCGCTTTCTCTCAAGTACATATCACTTGAAAGGGCCAAATAAACTAATGTGAAGAACTTTATTCCAAGTTATCACTGGTATTTTGCCAGAAGCCTTTTCTTATGCATTGACCACTCCTTCAAGCCTTCGTCTTCCCTCAACTCCCCCACCAAGTGTCTTTCATCCTGTCTCCCCACCTCATAGTTCACCATCTCCTCTCGCACCTGTTTCTTGATGCTTGCTGGGATCAAAGTATTGGTGATAAAAGACTAAAGCTGAGGAGGGCTGATGAAAGTCCATAAAGTCATGAAAGGTAGGGAAAACCTGTGTAAGAACTTGTTCCCCAAATCTCAGAATCTTTTTGAAGCTTAAAGGAGCTAGTTTAAGGGAAAAATAAAAAGAAGTTCTATTTTATGTAGCAGACTGGATACATACAGAACTTGTTACCCTGGTGAAAAGATAAATAGCTTTAGGGTTTAGACAAATATGCAGACAATAAATCAATAACAGCCTGTTGAGAGGAAGCTACAGAGAGGAGTTAATATCCCCCAGCAATTACCAGCCTTGCACACAAAATGCTCCTGCTTGGAGCAGGGCACGGGGCTGACCAGGCCAAGGGTGGGCCCCAGGGTGATGTTAACAGCAGCCTGTTAATTGATCTGCTAGACTGTCTCTTCCTCAGCAATCTTTCTGGAATTGCAATCAGCTTCAGCTTTTCAGAGGCTTAATTTTACAACTATAAATGAATTTGCCCTTGGGTTGGGCATTAATGTTTTTCCTGACTTTTAGCTATTTCAGAACTTGGAGGGTGACAGAGGGAGAGCCATTGAAACCAGTAAGTTGTTTTTCTTTGTTACCAACAATAGATCCAAATTTTATCTTGAAGGAGGCAACAGTCAAGCTTTTGTGTTACTTTAGGTTTTAGTTAATTGCCAGGGAGCATCTGAGAATTAGCTGGACAGTTTTAAAACATTATATTTGATTAAACACCTTATGGCAGAAACTCTTTCATTTTATGCTTTGACCTTAGCTTACATTTTTACTTTTAGATTTTATAGTAATTTATAATTCGGATAGAAGGGTGCACACAATACTAGCTTGATCCTGTGGTACTTAATTCAATCTACTGTAATAGCTCAATACTACTGTCTGAAACTGGTTTAACACAAAAATATTGCATTGTTTACTGGACTTATGCTAACACGTATGGTTTAAACTAAGATACAACAAAGCTCCTCTGAAACAAATACGTGAACAACAAGCAAATACTGTCTCCTTTTGCCAGTGAAAGCAGATGGCCAGATGGATGGTCCAAAGGTAACTAACACTAATGTGCTGAGTCACAAGCAGAGATCTCTGAAACAGAGAATTAGAAAAACTCACAGGAGGTTTTACTTTTGAAATTCAGGGTGTACTGGGTTATTTATTTGTTTTTAATTTGGTGAAATTTAGCGTAGAAGTGAAAATAACATCAAGGTTTCAGGCACCATGGAAAGACTAATCTGGAAACAAAAGGCATTTAGCTGGTTAAAATAATAATTTTATTATTTTATTTTACTTTATTTTTGAGATGGAGTTTCACTCTTGTTGCCCAGGCTGGAGTACAATGGCGTGATCTCGGCTCACCGCAAACTTCCCCTCCCAGGTTCAAGTGATTCTTCTGCCTCAGCCTCCCAAGTAGCTGGGATTACAGGCATGTGCCACCATGCCCCGCTAATTTTGTATTTTTAGTAGAGACAGGGTTTCTCCATGTTGGTGAGGCTGGTCTCGAACTCCCGACCTCAGGTGATCTGCCCACTTCGGCCTCCCAAAGTGCTGGGATTATAGGCCTGAGCCACTGCGCCCCGCCTAAAATAATAATTTTATAACAAGGGCTACAACTTGCCTAGCAATGGCTAAAACACAATCAGGTCTTTCCAACTGGAGTAGTTGTTCATCTTCCAGATTATACACTTTGGCATAATTCAGAATGAGTAAACTTTCTTAGATGGGGAAAATGTAATCAAAAGAAAATGATGTGATAGAGTAGCCTGCCCTTAGCCAGTATTAATGAACGGGAAAGGTGCATTTACAAGTCAGAAGAGAACACGTCAAGGCCTAGAGATAGGACAGCCACTTGTTTTTATCTTTGTGTGTCTTGTTTCGGGTATGAAATAACTAATCACTTAACATGTATTTATTTAGAATCTAATTCCCATTTAGCCCTGCCCTAGGTATTGCTAGGTCTTCAGGAACTTTTCTGATTTAGGATCCTTACATCAGTCATCATCAATACAGCTAACATCTAATAAATACCTACTACCCGTCAGGCATTTTGAATTTATTTCACTGAATATTGACAAATGCCTTGCAAAGGAAATATGATTTTGTCCATTTTGTACATAGGAAAATTCATGTTTAGAGAAATTAAGAAACATGGCCAAAGCCTGTTATCAATGGTAGAGTCAAGATGAAATTTCAGATGTGACAAAGCCCTATCGGTACACCATGCTCAGTATCTGCGTCTGAGCGTATATGTTTATCTGAAACATGGGTTGATAAACTCTAGGGCAATTACAGGGATTTCTGTGCCATTTGTCTTAGTAGTCTTCCCTAGCTGGAATAAAGACCAAGATGACAGACCTTCAACATTACATTTGTATCACATTGTTCAGTTAAAGGAAATTCAAATTGGGTGGTCAGAAATTAAACAATCCTCATGGCTCAAACAGTTAACACAATCAACTTTCTCAAAATTAAAACCAAACATTCTGCATTGTCAATATCTATCCATCTTATTAGAATTTACTGACTTAAAAAATGTATGTTAAAGCTTGTGAGTTTCAGTTCCCAATTATTCTGAGGAAGTTTTATTCTAAAGCAAAGTGAAATTGCCTTTTTCCATAAAACAACTTAGAGGCATTCTCCATCTACTATTCCGACATAATCATATTATCAGCATATGTGGCAAGTTATTTTTATTTATTTATTTATTTATTTATTTGTTTGTTTTGAGATGGAGTTATGCTCCAGCTGTTGTCCAGGCTGGAGTGCAGTGGTGTGATCTTGGCTCACTGCCTCCAGGGTTCAAGCGATTCTCCTGCCTCAGCCTCCCAAGTAGTTGGGATTACAGGTGCCCGTCACCACGCCCAGCTACTTTTTTGTATTTTTTTTTTAGTAGAGGTGGGATTTCACCATGCTGGCCAGGCTGGTCTTGAACTCGTGACCTCAGGTGATCCACCCGCCCTGGCCTCCCGAAGTGCTGGGATTACAGGCATGAGCCACGGTGCCTGGATTGTGGCAAGTATTTTTAGTCATTTTGAGAGTCATCTTTGGAGCATTAAAATGATTTTTAATGAGCACATATATTAATGGCAAGGGACAAACCTTTTGTTCCCCTAAAGGCACATCCTAATACATTAAGTATTTCCCATTTTGTTTTAATCTTGGCTAAAATTTAGTTGAGGAACCTAAATATTTTTAGAAGGATAAAATTCATATACTATACAATTCACTCTCTTAAAGTGTACAATTCAGTAGTTTTTAGTATATTCATAAGACTATACAGCAATCACCATTATCTAATTTCACAACATTTTCATCATCCCAAAAAGAAATTCCAAACCCGGTAATGATCACTCCATATTCCCTCTCCCCTCAGCCCCGGTAACCACAATCTACTTACTGTCTCTATAAATTTGCCTATTATGGACATTTCATTTAAGATGAATCAAATAATATATAACCTTTTGCCTGGCTTTTTTCATGGAACATAACGTTTCCACAGTTCATCCATGGTATAACATGTATTAGTAATTAACTCCTTTGTATGACTGCATAATATTCCATTACATGAATATACCATGTTCTGTTTATATAGTTATCAGTTGATGGACATTTGGTTTGTTTCTACTTTCTGGCTAGTATGAATAATACTGCTATGAACATTTATGTATAAGTTTTTGTTCCTGAATGTGAAAAATATGTTTCTAGTGCCTTGAGTATATACCTAGGAGTGAAATTGCTGGGTCATATGGTAACACTATGTTTAACTTTTTGAAGAACTACCAAACTGCTTCCTATAGTGGCTGCACCATTTTACATTCCCACCAGTAAGGTATGAGCTTTTAATTTCTCCACATCCTCTCTAACATTTGTTATTATCCCTTTTTATTTTGAGGTGGCATCTCATCGTGGTTTTGACTTGCATTTCCCTAATCACATACTATTGACCATCTTTATATGTGCTTGTTGGCCATTGTATATCTTCTTTGGAGAAGTGCCTATTCAGGTCCTACGACAATTGTTAAAATTGGGTTGTTTACCTTTTTGTTGTTGAGTGTTAAGAGTTTTTAATATATTCTGGATACTAGACCCTGACTAGTCACATATATGATTTGCAAATGTGTTCTCCTATTCTGCAGATTGTCTTTTTACTTTCTTGGTAGTATCCTTTGAAGCACAAAAGTTTTTGATTTTGATAAAGTCCAACTCATTTTCTTTTGTTTTTGTTTTGTGCTTTTTGTACCATATCTAAGGGACGATTGCCTAATCCTAAGCCAAAAAGATTCACATCTTTGTTTTCTTCTCCAAGTTTTATAGTTTGTTTCTACTTTTAGGTCTTCAATCCATTTTGAGTTAATTTTTGTATATGGTGTGAGGTAAAGTTCCAAATTCATTTTGTTTTTTCTATTGCTAGAATTAAATATCTTGGTAGAAGAGTATAGTGATTAAAAGATCAAGGTCTAGATCCTCACTGCTGGAGTTTAAATCCCTCCTCTTCAGTTACTAGTTGTGTGATATTAAGGAAGTGCCTTGATTTCCCTATGACTCACCTTTCTCATCTGTAAAAGGGGATATAGTAGTACCTACCTCATTAGTAGTGCATTAAAATTCAAATCATGGAATTGTCATAAGAACTGAGTCTGTGCATACAACATGCTGATACATAGTAAGCACTGGTTATTATTTAGCATTATCTCTGGCTCCATGAACTCCCTTCACATTTAGGATTGTCTCATTTTCTTGTCCAAGTATATGTTTTCAGTGGTGGGCTGAGTTACTTACCCCCATGTGTTATCAAGAATAGGACTTAACAGATTTTAATATACCCTAAATGTTCCAGGAGGGTTGGATATGGGCTGAGTTTATGGTTGTAGCTTACCACAAAAAGCAGCAAAGTATCTGGAGAAAGGCCTTTCCAATCTTTCATAGAACTTCACACAAGTAAAGAGATTAAAGGAAGGCAAATGTATTGGTTTGCTAGGGCTTTCGTGATTAAGTACCACAAACGAAGTGGTTTAATTAATAGAAATTTATTTTCTTACAATTCTAGAGGTTTGAAGTCTGAGATAAAGGTGTCAGCAGGACTGATTCCTTCTGAGGGCTGTGAGGGGCTCTGGTTTAGTCCTCTCTTCTTGGTTTGTAGATGGCCATCTTCTCCCTGTGTCTCTTTACATCTGCAATGAACTGAATTGTTTCTCCCCAAAATTCATATGTGGAAGCCCTAACCCTCAATGTGATGGTATTTGGAGATAAGGCCTTTGGGAGATAATTAGGTTTACATGAGGTCATGAAGGTGGGACCCTCATGATGGGATTAAGACCCTTGTGATGGGATTAAGACACCTGAGAGCTTACTCTCTGTCTATGCCACTGAAGACACAGCAAGAAGGCAGCTGCCTGCAAGCCAGGAAGAGAGCCCTCATCAGTAACAGAATCTTTAGGCACCTTGATAGTGGCTTTCCCAGCCTCCAAAACTGTGGGAAAAATAGCTTCTGTTGTTTAAGCCGCCCAGTCTGTGGTCTTGTTACAGCGGTCCAATCTGACTAATACAACATTATCATCCCTTTATGTGTATCTGTTTCTGTGTCCAATTTTTATAAGGACACCAGTCAGATTGGATTAGGCTCACCCTAATGACCTCATTACAACCTGATTACCTCTGTAAAGATTCTGTCTCCAAATAAGGTCATGTCCTGAGATACTGAGGGATAGGACATAGGACGTCAATATATCTTTCTTCGGGAGGAAGGGGGCAATTCAACCCATAATAGCTAACAAAACAAGCCAAATGTGCATAGCACCCTTGAGAGATGCTGAGAGAGTAACACAGGCATTGAGAGTGAAAGGGAGCAAGTGGAAGTTAGTAAGGACCAAGAAGTGAGGGATGGGAGGAATCAGTGATTTAACGGGGAAAGTGACATGTTATTTACTAAATAAAATATTGTAACATGTTTAGGTGGAAGATGGGAGTTTTCCATCTATATAGGAAAATGACTGTCATTCACATGGCACATTGTGGTACCAGGGCCAGCCTCATGGGTGTGTAACCTGTGCAGTGACACAGGGACTTTGAGAGTCTTAATAATGTTGTCTTTGAACTTATGTTTTGTAAGTGAAGTCTGATGGGATGGTGGAGCATTGTGTGAGTAGAGAAGATATGAGCAATATGGGTGTCTTTAGCCATTCCTTACCATTCACATAAACTGCTTACCATACCCCATGAGCACAGAATTACAGTGGACCCACATGCATGGGAATTTGGCGAGACTCAGTGTGAGTACAAGGTAAGCGTGTTAAGGCTACGACTCAGTGATCAGGGGCTCTGAAAGCCCCTAGGGACCATCTTTTCCTTTCAAACCAGAACCTGCTTCAAACACAGAAAGAAGTCTATGGTGTTCAAAGAGGCATGGATGACCATGAAATCCCATTCTATCCTACCCTTTTTACTCATGTTTCTCCCCTGTATTAGCCAACCACATAAGCTGAAAATGATAACATTAAAGGAAAGAGAAAGATAGGCCACCCATAGTTCCCTTCCCTCTCAGACCTTCCTTACTCCTCCATGAGATAAAGACAGAGAGTGTGAGTGTCAAGAAGTGAAATGTAAACAGGTGTGATCATTTGGGGCGGTGTTTCCACTGTTCTGGCAAGAATAAAATACTTATGCATGTACAAGCTATCAAATACTAATTGTGTAATTTTGGTGATTTCACACACAAGTTAAATGCCACTTAAAATGGTCATTGCGGCCAGGCGCAGTGGCTCACACCTGTAATCCCAGCACTTTGGGAGGCTGAGGTGGGAGGATCACTTGAGCCCAGGAGGTCAAGACCAGCCTGGGCAACATGGTGAAATCTGACTCTACAAAAAAATACAAAAAATTAGCCTGGTGTGGTGGGGAATGCTTGTAGTCTCAGCTACTCAGGAGGCTGAAGTGGAAGGATCACCTGAGCCCAGTAGTTGGAGGCTGCAGTGAGCTGTGATAGCACCACTGCACTCCAGCCTGGGTGACAGAGTGAGACCCTGTCTCAAAAATAAACAAACAAACAAACACACACACAGTCATTGCCTCATATAAAGATGAATGGTAAAATTCATGCTAGTCTTATAAAATAAGTTTCCTTTACTTGACATTAAATTAAAAATTATAAAAAATATCATGATAATTCAAGACCACAGAAGAAAAGGAAAGGCTTTATTACATTTTAGTACCTTTAATGACACTTTTTTCTAGCTTTTTGAACAAAGGGTACCACATTTTGATTTTGCACTGGCTCTTATATATTATTCAGTAAGACTCACAGATTAGTTCTTCAACAGTGTTACATTTTGATGCAGAAGTGAAAGCAATACTTAATTCTAAAATTGATGTCTTTGTTATGAAATCTAGACATTTGCAATAAGCCAGTGAAGGCAATGCTCTGGAGAGGGACACACTCTTGTTACCTCTGCATTTCATGTAGGCAAATAACTGCCTTCATAGAGAGTCCGTCCTACTGAGATGAAAGGTCCTTAATTTGGGTACCTTGTAAAAAAATATTTAGCAGGAAACTTTCAGCGTGCCTAACAAGAGACTTCCAGGTAATTTAGACTTAACTTGCCTTCTAACACACACTTAGAATGCTTAAAAAGAAAGGCCAAGTGTTAGTGCTTCCTGAGATTCGGCTTCAACTAATTAATACATGGTCACTAACTTCAGCTAGGGGAGTAGGCAGGGGGTAAAAGCTGTCGCCTTAGGGAGATGTTTGTCAAACGGAAAATTAAAAAAAAAAAAGTCATTCCTTTTGAGCTTGGAGTCATTAACTCCTGTAGTAACCTACTGTGAGAGTACTGTTTGAGCTTGTCTTGAAAATTACTTTAAGAAAGGAAGAACAAGGAGGCTGCTGACTTGGGTGCCAGTTTATTCACACATCTTCAGCAAGAGGCAGCATATGTGTGTTTCAGACCTGCTTAGAATTCTACTGGTGCTCTCTTCTTACAGAAGAGTTCCGTCTATGTGAGAATCTGCACCTGCTGCAGTGTGGCACGGGCTCCAAAGTTGTGACAACCTCTAAAGCAACTCTTTCTTTTTATATTTTTGATCCAGAAAAAGTAATATTCAAATACTTGTTCTTATACCCACAATCATTTGAGCAGGACAACTCGAAGGAAACTTTCAGGGCAGGCTCACTGTCTAGTACTTTGTTCAAAAGGCGGCAGCTCATCAAAGCGCTGTCTGTTCTGGGGGTTCTTATTCATGCTAATGAACACAGGAAGGGAGAGGGAATTCCAACGATCAAAGTATTGGAGGTGGGTATTAGTTTGCTAAGGCTGCCCTAACAAAGTACTACAAACTGGGTGGCTTAAAAAACAGAAAGATACTGTCCCACACTTCTGGAGGCTGGATGTCCAAAATCAAAATCAAGGCATGAGCAGGGCTGGTTCTTTTTTTTTTTTTTTTTTTTTTTTTGAGACGAAGTCTTGCTCTGTTGCTGAGGCTGGAGTGCAAGCGGCACAATCTCGGCTCACTGCAACCTCCACCTCCCAGGTTCAGGCGATTCTGCTGCCTCCATCTCCCAAATGGTTGGGATTACAGGCGTCCTCCACTATGCTCAGCTAATTTTTGTATTTTTAGTAGAGACGGGGTTTCACCATGTTGGACAGCTGGGTCTCGAGCTCCTGACCTCAAGTGATCCACCTGCCTTGGCCTTTCGAAGGGCTGGTTCCTTCTGAGGGCTGAGAAGGGAGGATTTGCTCAGTCCTCTCTCCTTGGCTGTACATGCCCATCTTCTTACTGGGTCTCTTCACATTGCCTTTCTTCTGTGCATGTCTCTGTGTCCAGATTTCTCCCTTTGTAAGGACACCAGTCAGATTGCATTAGGGTCCCCCCTAATGACCTCATTTTAACTTGATTACCTCTGTAAGGAACCTATCTCCAAATAAGGTCATATTCTAAGATACTGGGCAGTAGGACTTCAACATGTGAATGTGGTGGGGGAGGGAGTGTGTGGAATTCATCCTTTAATGGTGGGAGGGGGTGCCATTTAGCAAAAATCCATGTAAAAAGCCACACACTGACCTGTGGTGGCCTTGCTGATATACTCAGCACAATAACAAATACTTCCAGTGTCTCAAAAACAAGCCTTCTAGAAACATTCAGATTAGGTTCTGGCACTAGTCAGAAGGGTATGGAGGCAGAGGAATCTATGAGTAAGATTGGACATTCACAGAGTATTGAACCTTTTAATCGCCCACAAGTAAATGAATACATGAGTGAGTGAAGACCATGATCTTTAAGAAATGATTTATCTATTGGTAGAAAATCAGAAAACTCTCCCCAGTCGCTCTTGTTGGTTTCACCATTCTTTAATATAATTTATCACTGCCTAATTCTCAATTTTCCTTCCTAATACACGTATTAGGCCTTGCTTTGGTTCTCCTGGTTATCTGGTCACTGGGTTTCACATCCACATAATTAATCTCTCAAACTTTATCCCATACAGTGTATGCAGTGATCTCTATTGCTTTCTCAATACTTCGGGCTGCTTCCAATCACTTGTAGTCCAATTGTGGAGTCATTGCTTAACAGAGAAGTTCACTCTGTTAAGCAGACAGCTCCAGGTCATCTAGAACCTCCCTCCAAAACAGTTTTCCAGCCTCATTTACCATCATTCCTTACAAAAAAAACCTCCAACCAGGGCAAATAAGTGACTGTTTTCCAAGTTTCCATTTTCCAGGTTGTTCTGTCTCCCTGGAATAACGCTGTTTATCCCCATCCTTCTTCAGCCTCCCCTCCCCATCTCCCACCCAATGCATAAACACAAAACTGGAGTTTCAAGTTCCAGCTCAAAACACACTGCCCCTGACCTTCCAAAAAGAAACAATTCCACTGGTTTCTTCGGAAGGCATGACACATCTCATCTGACCGTATTTTCCATTGTGTTCTTAATTATCTGCATGGTAAGACTGTAGTTCTCCTCTCCCCAGAGCCTAACTCATGGCCTGAAATAGAAGGGAGTGCTCAATTCAGGGTTTAATGAAGGGGTAAATGAATGAATGGAAGTGAATAATGATAGGAAATATCCAAAACATCAGATAATCCAAAAATAATCTATATGTGACTTTGGAATGTATTTTATACACATTTTCAAAGAACATCAAACACAAAACTTCAAACGAAGTAATGAAGCCAGCCTGTGCAGATCCCAGTTGGGTGGGGTGTCCTGGAAAAAGGGTGGGAATCCTAACAGGAAAGGAGGAACCTCTCATCAGCCAACTACCCTTCCCCAGCCTCGTGGCTTATCTAGAAATCAGAGTGAATCCAAATGGCTTAGAGCTCAAGGGTACAGTGTTGGGTAATTCATAAATGATTGAAATGCCTTTAGAAATATAAGTGCTACATAAATGCTAAATTATAATAACACAAAAATAATCATTTTCCATTATTTTCTTTAGATATGTAAATGGCATACTCTTTTAAATCTAAAGTGGGTTCAAGAAACAGCAATAAGTTTAACACAAATGCACCAAACGATCATGGAAACCCATTCAGTGTTCTAAATGCAATTATCGTGCTGACCATCAGCCCAGAAAACAAATTACGGTAGCTAATGACAGGGAAGAGTAATCACAATGTTTTTAGAAAATTACTTGGAAACAACTTTGTCAACAGAGACCACTCAAATATAGCTGTAAACAGCTTAAGTAACAGAATAACACGGTGACCTATGCCCCAAGTGACAAGAAGAAGATGTAAAACATATTCTGGGTCCCAAATCACTGTTTTCTAAAGTGACTATGTACACTGTTTTTAACCTCAGTCTTTCTGGGTCATTCTAAATGTGGGAGAGATTCAAGTGCCCTTGAACATTCTGCTGTTTAGTAAGTCTTATCCTAGTTCACTCCTATACTCAGGATAAGTCTCCCTTTCTCCTCTCCTTTGCATTTTTTGTTATCTTTGGCATTCGTTTTTGAAAAACATGCGCCTCACTTGGAGCAAATCCATTAAAGCAAACAACCTGAAAACTTTCCAAACAGCCGGGACTGTTGTGATACGCTGGCATCTCTCAGGGCTTGCAGCGCTCAGAGATCCAGGCGGAAGAGTTTCTCGTTAGCTATAATAGCAACTGACATTTACATATCTCCGTTTTAATTCCCCGGAGACTGGTATAGCTCGAGTGTGCGATAAGCGAGTGGGGACACCGGGTGTAAAAGGAAAACCAGCGTGGGTGGAGGAGGGTCTACAAAATGAGGCCAAAGGACATGCTGCAAGCTTTGAGATTGAAATATTGTTCTCAGAGTGCTTTATTAGCAACAGAGCAAAATGAGGAATATGTGAGAAGATTGCTTGTATAAATTGCCACTTTTTCCAGAAAAGCTCAAGTATAACTCTTGCATTGCCTGTAATGGAGGAGTGAGCAATCCCTTGTAGTTTGTAGTTTCTTTTTGTTTGTTTGCTTGTGTGTGTGTGTTTTAAGGCAAAACAAGCACCAAAAATACATTTTGAAAAGAAACCAGGTTAAGTGAAATTATTTCTAAAATGTGTATTCCACATGTTTCTCTGACTAGACAGTGACCCAACTAGGTTAAGTCTTGCCATTGAGGCATCTGATGTCATTATGAGAGCCAACTGCCATGGAAAATGCTGGAATATAATTATGCCTGGCATCCAATATTAACTCATATTCAAAATGTTTTGGTCCGCTTGGGGTGGTTTTCCCTACCTCTGGACTTCACTGTGAGGCTGGCAAATGTCACTTTTTTTTCTCTTTTCTGGAGTGCAGTGGCGTGATCTCGGCTCACTGCAACTTCCGCCTCCCGGGTTCAAGCAATTCTCCTGCCTCAGGCTCCCGAATAACAGGGACTACAGGTGCGCACCACCATGCCCAGCTAATTTTTGTATTTTTAGTAGAGACGGGGTTTCACCATGTTGGCCAGGATGGTCTCGATCTCTTGACCTCATGATCCGCCTTCCTCGGCCTCCCAAAGTGCTGGGATTACAGGAGTGACCCACCGCACTCGGCTGCAAATGTCACTTTTTGCAACCCCATCCAGTTTTCAATTTACTGCTTCTCACATACTGTGGCCTAGAAATTCTAGCTTAGAATTGTGGCAAGAATGAGCCTCACTGGCTTTTAGTAAGAGGCTGTGAGTAAAGTGTGTAGGCTTTCACGTTTATTTTGCTTGCTAGTATCCTTTTCTTTTTACTTTTACCAGTTTCTTGACCACATTCCAGAGAGATCTGCTGACCAATAAGAAGGGTACCACTGAAATTAATAAAAGGTGAATTTTATGCTACAAAAAAATAGAAAGAATGAATAAGACCTAGTATTTGCTAGCACAACAGAGTGACTACAGTAAAAAATAATTTAATGTATATTTTTAAATAACTGAAAGAGTACAGTTGGATTGTTTCTAACACAAAGGATAAATACTTGAGGTGTTGGATACCCCATTTACCCTGACATGATTACTATGAATTGCATACCTGAATCAAAATATCTCACGTAACCCATAAATGTATACACCTGTTATGTACCCACTAAAATTAAAAGTTAAAAAAACAGAAGGTGAATTTATCACACAGAATTTAGACATCTCATAGAGATTTATATGAAATGCTAGGCTTACACGTAACTGTTTATCTCTATTCTTTGACTTAAAATTTTATATTTTTCAGGATGATCCCAAATGCTAAAATTATATTTATTTTAAAAATTAGGCCGGGTGTGGTGGCTCATACCTGTAATCCCAGTACTCTGGGAGGCTAAGGAGGGCAGATCACTTGAAGCCAGGAGTTCAAGACCAGCCTGGGCAACGTGGCAAAACCACATCTTTACTAAAAATACAAAAAAAATTAGGTATGGCGCATGCCTGTAATCTCAGCTACTCGGGAGGCTGAGGTATGAGAATCGTTTGAACCCAGGAGGCGGAGGTTGCAGTGAGCCAAGATCGCACCATTGCACTCCAGCCTGGGAGACAGAGCGAGACTCCATCTCAAAAAATAATAATAATAATTAACTTAATTTCTACATTTACACCTAATAGAATGAGTATGATTTTATTATGGAGAATTTGCTATATAGAGAAAAACAAACAAAAAATCATAGTCCTTATTACTCTGACACTACCTCCCTTTGCACTTTCCGACACTTCTTTCCAAATGCTTCCTAAACATGCATTTGGAAACATAGTTTGCTACCATCATCTATATAAGTTTACATCCTGTTTTTGAAATGTGCTATATCATAGTTATTCTCCTTATTGCTTTATGTCTTTTTGACTATCCTTCTAATGACTATAGAATACTCCACTGAGTAGCTATATAATCATTTACTTAACCATTACTGGACTTCCAGGTTGTTTTCAAATTTTTACTATTATAATAACTCTGCGATGAATATCTTCCTGAACATAGCTTTTATTTGTTTGATTGTTTTGGGATTATTTCTTTAGGAGTTCCCCAGGAGGATTCACATAGAAAAAGACTGTAATAATTTAGAACCAAGTCTTAAAAAAGGAAAATTCTGGATGGATATGGATACACTTATGGTCCATAAGTGTATTTCTTGTTTAGTGGGAAGGAAACAAAGTGGTTATTTTAGACACACACAAAAAATACTGCTCTGAATTAACAAGCAGGGGAGAGGGGACCACTGGGCAAGGCATGAGATACTATTTTGTTAGGAAAACATCTGGCTTCTTTGATCCCTATGGAACAAAGAAGTTGCAACAAAAATAACTAAATTATTTCATATAACAAAGTAGCAGAACACATTTTAGTCTTCTCCAGTGGGTGAGGAAGTCAAGGAGCCTTGGAATGGAAAGAAGAGAGGTAGGTAGGAAGAGGATTCTCTGGGTTCAAAGAAAGAGGAGGCTTGTCAACTTGCCAAAGAGAGGGAAACCAGGAAGAAATGCCTGGAGGGTTACAGATGGGCTAGGCACTTTTGCATAGAGATGTCTTCATTTGTTTTCAAGTTGCTGCCTATTCTATACCATGATGTGACCGCTTTGGTCCCAAGACTTTAGGGAAAGGTAACTATTCATAAGAGCTTGTGTTAGTGCAACCTCGGGAATAAAGCCTAGAGACTGGTCCTTGGAAATGGGGGATGGAGAATAGAGCAGCTGCAGGAAGGAAGAGGCAGAGTTTACTGGACACAGAAGTCAGGGTGAGAGACAAAGAACACCAGGAGGTTCCTGAGAATTCTTACAGATACTGGGGAAATGCTAAACCTACCCCATTACAGCATGTGGTAGGGGGGCTCAGATTTATATGGATGTTGAATGAAATAAGAACTCAACAGGTCAGTTCACCTCGATCCCCAGAAAGAAGACTCCGTAGTTAAAATTACATGATTAGCTAAGGCCTAGATGTCCTGAACCCACAAATTAGACTCTTGGATTGAAAGTAAAATGTGAGGGCCAAGAGCAGTGGCTCATGCCTGTAATCCCAGCACTTTGGGAGGCTGAGGTGGGTGGATCACGGGGTCAGGAGTTCAAGACCAGCCTGGCCAAGATGGTAAAACCCTGCCTCTACTAAAAAAAAAAAAAAATTAGCTGGGCATGGTGGCACGCACCTGTAATACCAGCTACTCAGGAGGCTGAGGCAGAGAATTGCTTAAACCCAGGAGGCAGAGGTTGCAGTGAGCTGAGATTGCGTCACTGCACTTCAGCCTGGGTGACAGAGCGAGACTGCATCTAAAAAAAAAAAAATAAGGAAAATGTTAACCAGCCATCCCATAAACCCTAGAACTGATATTTCAAAAGCTAAGTCAGTATGTTGTTTTTCTGGTGCATGCCTGAATTCGACTTCTGTATGGCTGATGTATTTACTTTTTAAAAATCTGTATTTTTGTTTTTATAAAAGGCATGCAGACGTTGCTTCCATGAGTCATCTACCTGTAACTAGTGGACAGAGTTGGCTGTCATGCCCCTGGAAAGGCTGCTCCTGCTCTCGAGGAAGCTTGATGAGCAGATGCCAAGTAAATGAGAAGTGGAGTCTGCTCTCAGAGTTGACAGCCCAAGTTGAGGATTTGACGTGTAAAATGATTGTTGTGAGTCCTCAACTATTTGTCTTTGCAAGCCAACAGAATGCTCTGTCACAGGGGGAACATCAGGAAGTCCCCTGATATTAGTCAAGATCATAGACAGCAACTGAGAGCAACTCCTAAAGCAGCTGGCATGCATTCCAGAGATGAGAAGTGTTGGGCTAGGGAGATGTGTTTTATGGCTCTGCTACCATACTTCTCAAGGACATGTACTGTTTTACAGTGGTAAGAGGGCTTTGCAATGTGTTAAGCAAGATACCATGAAATGTGTATGTGAATCATTGTTAATATATGGCAAATACAGGGGAAGTCCATAACGTGGTCCCAATGGTAGAGATTGCCTAAGGGTCAGTAACAAAGGGAAAGAGAATATTTACGTAGTTTAGACCCACCAAGGCACATGAGAAGGTAGTAGTCACTTGAACAAAATTCAGGCTCTGTCAGAAAAAAATTGGGAGATCTGGGATTCCAGACTATTTATAGGATGAGATATATATAAAAAAGTTACACTCACAAAGTACCTAGTATGTGGTAGACACTGTACTAGGTACTTAAATATTATTTTAAAATATACAATTATATATAAGGATGTATTGTAATTCTAAAAATGCAAGTCATTCAAGTTCCCGCGTTAGTAAATTACAAATTTGAACTCAATTCTCTCTGATCCAAAGCTCATGCTTTTTCTATTGTATTAATTTTCAACCTTTTTGGGTCATTGGCCCCTTTGAGAGCTTGATAAAAGCCATTGGAAAAAAATGCATGTTATCATAAAAATGCAAATGTGCACATAGTTGTAAAACTTATATAGAATTTCAGGGTGTTCACAGACCTCCCGAGGGCCTCAGTTTATTAATCCTGTGTTACACATACCACGATGCCAAGGAAGGTTGACCGCATTAACCAAGTGTTCTCACAGGTCTTGCAGCCAGATCTGTGTGGAGAAGTATTTTCTTTAATTCAATCATTAAGTTTCCAGGCCTAGCAAACTCACTTCTTGAAAGTAAGTCTTTTTCACTTGATTAAAAAGAACCCTGTTTTCATTGCTTGCATTCAATAGAAGACTTTTTTTTTTTTTTTTTTGTGTGAGATGGAGTCTCGCTCTGTCACCCGGGCTGGAGTGCAGTGGTGCAATCTCGGCTCACTGCAACCTCCGCCTCCTAGGTTCAAATGATGCTCCTGCCTCAGCTTCCCGAGTAGCTGGGATTACAGGCACCTGCCACCACTCCCAGCCAATTTTTATATTTTTGGTAGAGACGGGGTTTCACCACGTTGGCCAGGCTGGTCTCAAACCCCTGACCTCATGATCCTCCCACCTCGGCCTCTCAAAGTGCTGGGATTATAGGTGCGAGCCACCAAGCCCGGCCCAATAGAAGACATTTTAGGCAGGCTTATGCTGTCCACAGAGGCACTCAGCCACGGTTTTCCTTACAGGGAATATCATATGTTTCAATTGGGGTTTACTCGAATCTTAATCTTGTCCAGACAGACACACCTCCCAGTTTAGGATCTTCCTTTCTGCCTCTCATCAGCTCTACCTTGGTTCCTTTATTTTGCAAGCTCCTCTGCAACCACCCTCTGTCACTCTTTGTGTCTAAAAGACAAAATGTGTCTAAAATCTAGGCAAGTGGAGGTCTTTTATAAAGCATTTGATTTAAAATGCAATATGCAATTTTTCTTTTTCTTTTTTTTTTCTTGAGACTGAGTCTCACTCTCTTGCCCAGGCTGGAGTGCAGTGGCGCCATCTCTGCTCACTGCAACCTCTGCCTCCTGGAGTCAAACAATTCTGCCTCAGCCTACCGAGTAGCTGGGATTACAGGCACCCACCATCACGCTCTGCTCATTTTTTCTATTTTTAGTAGAGACAGGGTTTCGCCATGTTGGCCAGGCTGGTCTCGAACTCCTGACCTCAGGTGATCCGCCCGCTTCAGCCTCCCAAATTGCTGGGATTACAGGCGTGAGCCATCGCGTCCAGCCTAAAATGCAATTTTCTTACATGAAGCCAAAATACATTAAAAACTGTATTATGCCAGGCGCGGTGGCTCACGCCTGTAATCCCAGCACTTTGGGAGACTGAAGTGGGTGGATCACCTAAGGTCAGGAGTTCAAGACCAGCCTGGCCAACATGGTCAAACCCCTGTAATCCCAGCTACTGGGGAGGCTGAGGCAGGGAGAATTGCTTGAACCAGGGAGGCGGAGGTTGCTGTGAGACAAGATCGCGCCACTGTACTCCAGCCTGGGGGACAAAGTGAGATTCCTTCTAAAAAAAATTGTGTTATAATTAAAATGCAGCATAGAACTTAGAAATAATATATAGTTTTCTTCTAGATGCCAATGACTCCAAAAGGTATTTTAAAAATTTCTATTTGGAAGCTTACAATATAATAATCTAGGTAAATGATTTATAATTGTTGGTACGCATACTGTTGTTAAACAACAACAACAAAAATCTGGCCATTATAGAATGCTCGAGAAATTACAAACATACACAAAGAAGAAAACAAAAATAATCTTCATCCCACCACCCTGAGATAATCCTTGTAACATTTGTGAATAGGATATTCACTGATCTTCTCCGTGTGTGTGTGTGTGTGTGTGTGTGTGCACGTGTGCATGCACACAAAATTGAAATGATTTTAACATGGAGGGCACTTGCATACATTCCCAAAACAAACTCTGTTTTCATATTTATTGACTTTTTCTTTAAGATACAGATAAAACTATAATAATACTAAAAATACTAAATACTACTACTAACTACAGTATTAGATTAGATACTTTAACATGCCCATAAAAATGATGGTATTAGACCTGGATAGAAAGGCTTTTTCTTTAATTAAAACAATGTAAAAGTGATAACTCCTCAATACTGTTTTGACAATGTTTTTCTCTATTTAAGTCATATGACCACACACCCTGGGGGTTTGGAAGAAAACATAAATTTTATGAGAGTCGGGTCACAACGAAAACAAACAAAGAATTCAAGAATAATCTGTCGAGTTTCACACTGTCATGCTTACAACTTCACAGCAAACCTTTGGGATTAAATTGTGACATTTCCAGGCTGAGGATCCAGAGCTCGAAACCCTCCTCCTGTTTTATTTCACTGATGTTTGAAGAATGTTGGTGGTCTTGTAAGAGAACCTGAAGAGAGGGAGGAAATAGTCAACATTAGGGAATAATCTAGGGAAAGTAAAATATGATTTCCTTTCTTCTACCAGAAAGTATAGCTGATCAGCCAAGATTAGGTTTTCTTTGTGCAAGGCCGTTTCCTGGGGTGCAGAAAGAAAATATTAAAACTCTTCATTAAAAAAATTATAGCTTCTATATATGTATAGTTCTATATACTTTACAATATATGTTAATATAGTAGGGCATTATACATATTTTATAAACTAACAGGTATATGTATATGGGGAGCTAACTGAACTCATATTCGTGTATATTTGGGGATGTGTATACTCAAAAGCCTTTTCAGGAGAGGAGTGCACCATCCAAACAGATCGCCGCTTATCTTCCCTCAAAATCATTTCTTTATTGGAGTCTTGCAAGGGATTTTATTACATGGCGGAGAATCACATCCTCACTGGAAGATGCTCTGAAATTGCTTTTTATATGTGTCTTTTTGACAACTGAACTAATTATTGAATGGAGTCGGTAGAGGAAGGGGGCCTGTGGCCCCCGCCCTTTCTCCAGGCCAAGTGAGAACAGATTCCTTCACTAGTTCAGCATTGATCAAGGCCATTCTCCATGAGCACCATTGAGTACTGTGAGGGAAACAGAGATGACTAAGACATGGTTCCGGTGATAATCAATAATTGAAGGAAAAGTGAAACTCTGTACTGGAAATATGGGCTGGGTGCTGGGGAAGTGCTGAGGAGGGAGCACTTAGTTCACACTGGAACTGTCAGGGAGGTTTCGAAACAGGAGATTTCCGTGGGCAATCCGGAGAGCTGGCAGCCCTGGATAAGGAACCAAATAGAGCTATGGAGGTGTGGGAAGTATTTAGTCTGTTGGAAAAAGCAAATTGTTCAAACAGGTGGGATCCCAGGCTATTTAGAGTAACAGAAAGAGCCATAGATGGGACTGGAAAGGAGATTATGGGGGTTCTTGAACATTGTGCTGAAGAGTCCAAATAGTAGCTCTGTAAGATGGTTAGCATCATCCTCATTAAAAAAAAAAAAAAATTTTTTTTTAGATGGGGTTGCACTCTCTTGCCTAGGCGGGAGTGCAGTGGTGCAATCATGGCTTCCTGTAGCCTCAAACTCCTGGGCTCAAGGCATCCTCCTGCCTCAGCCTCCCGAGTAGCTGGGACTAGAGGTGAATGCCACCATGCCTGCCTAGCATCCCCATGTCTACACATGAAAAAACTGAGGCTCAGAGAAGCTCAAAGTCACAATGCAGGTATACTGCAGAGCTGGCCTCAAATCCAACATTTTTTCCACTTTTAATTTATAACAGAAGTATAAAAACAAAGATGCAATATAAAATGCTTTTGTGCATTATTGGTTAATTGTCATGTGCATTTAGAAGAGGTAAGCTGAACCAACTAATAAGACTTTATAGCTGTATTATCAGTCCTTTTAAATTAATATATTTGAAAATCTGCTATAGTGCCCACAATTGCAGCTGTTAAAGAGTTAATGACAGACACTGAAACCAGCGTGGCCTTCACGTGCCTGGTGTCTGAAGCAGTGCCCGAACCATAGCAGGTGCTCCATGAATGCAAAGGAAATAAAACCGATTCCATTTTTATTTTAAAGTCAATTAAATTTGAATTCAATCAAGAAAGTTGATTAGAAGTTGATTAGAAGATGCATGCACACAAATACATTTGAAATGAATTTATGTCTGTTAATTGTGGATTTGAGATTTTATTTATGAAAACTAGGGTCTTTGAATTTCCACTTGATATCTACCTAATTTTTGTATTATTGAGAGAGTCCATTGGTGGAAAGTACCCAGGGTTAGGAGCTAGATTTAGGTTTGAATCTTTTTTTTTTTTTTTGAGACAGAGTCTCGCTCTGTTTCCCAGGTTAGTAAGCAGTGGCACGATCTCGGCTCACTGCAACCTCCATCTCCCGAGTTCAAGCGATTCTCCTACCTCAGTCTCCCAAGTAGCTGGGATTACAAGAGTGCACCACCACACATGGCTAATTTTTGTATTTTTAGTAGAGATGAGGTTTCACTATGTTGGCCAGGCTGGTCTCAAACTCCTGACCTCAAGTGATCTGTCTGCCTCGGACCTCCAAAGTGAGCCACCAGGCCCAGAAAGATTCAGGTTTGAATCTTGACTCTACACTTTTTTAAACCTTGGATAAATCTTGATTTAACCTTGGATAACTTCCCTAAGTTTCCATTTCCTCATCTGTAACATGGGAATAGTAACACCCCTTTGCAGGATCATTGGAAGTATTAGAAATAAACTCCACATAAAGTCCGTATGTATAAAGATATGTAAAGATGCACAGGTATGCTACATACAAAGTCACGTAGTAGGTACACAATAAATTGTGGTCATCATTGTTATTTTCTATTTTAATTTTTTAAAACTCTGTTACACTTCAGACAGATAGTCATTTTGTTGGCTAGCCTTTCTAGCTCATGAAACCTGTGACTATGTTCTATAGCCATATAATTTCCTCAAGCTTTGAACATTAAAATTAAATACAGAATAATCCTGCAGATATGGATACTTTCAGCTCAGCTGTTTCCTGTCTGTGAAAATATCACAATTTATTTAATAACTGATGTCAGAATAGGTTTCAAGCAACCTATAGAATAGTAATGAAGCTGGGTTTAAACAAATGTGTCTGTTTATATTTAATTCCCTCCACTTTCTGATAGAATGAACAGTTTTATTAGAAAATAATCAGTGTGTGGATCTCTTTTCTACACACTGTTTCCACCTTAACTACCTAGACCCTCTTAATCTCCGTGATTCTCATTGAATTGGGTTCTTAACAGATAACAATGAATTTTAAGTACAGTGGGTACCGCATTCTTCATTCTGTGGGGTAACTGATTTGATGGAACAATAGATTTGGAGTTCCAATCTGGGGCGGAGTGCAGAATTTACAGAAAAAAATAGATAACTCGGCAAAATAAACAATATCTTTCGAGGACTTATAATTCCCTCTCCAGAAAGGGCTGGCAGAGTCATTCTTTTGCTATGTATCTTATTTTGTTAGAGACATAAATCTCAGTTATAAAATCAGTTGAGGCCGGGCACGGTGGCTCACATCTGTAATCCCAGCACTTTGGGAGGCCAAGGCAGGCGGATCACTAGGTCAAGAGATCGAGACCATCCTGTCCAACATGGTGAAACCCCCGTCTCTACTAAAAATACAAAACTTAGCTGGGCATGGTGGCGGGTGCCTGTAGTCCCAGCTACTCAGGAGGCTGAGGCAGGAGAATCACTTGAACCCAGGAGGCGGAGCTTGCAGTGAGCCAAGATTGCACCATTGCACTCTAGCCTGGGCGACAGAGTGAGACTCCATCTCAAAAAAAAAAAAAAATCATTTGAGGACTGTGTTATGCAACTTTATAAACCACATGCTTGAGAGCTTCACAAAGTTTCCCTACAGTCGGAGAATCCTACTCATCCCCCTTCGCTCAGGAATTTTTCATTAGAGGCTTGAGGCATGTGAGTTAATAGGGTTCATGATCCCCATTCTGTTTTTCCTCTAAGCAGGTCTCCTAAGAGCATTAATTTGTGCATTCTATTTCAATAGAGACTTTAACACAAAAAAAGGTCAAATTATTACCCACATAATTTTTGTCACTTATTAGAAAAGTCTCAGTTGTCAAGTCCCTTTTCACCTGAGAAGTTCATGTGAGATGAGTTCCAACTTCTTTGCAGTGATCCGTGCTGATATTCAGCATTCTGGAAATTCTGCATGCAAATCTCAACCTGTAGGTGAAAGTTACCTTTTAAACTTCAACTCCCCCTTCAATAAAGACAATTTTCAACCTTTCTGGTAACAGACATTAGTTAAATTCTAACAGTCTAATTTTTTTGTTGTTTGTTTTTGTATCAGCCATACAACATCCCCAAATGGTTTGCTTTTCTAATAAAAATGAATTTTTTTTCTTGGCTGGGTTTTTTTTTTCTCTCTCTCTCTCTCTTTTCTATGTTGCTCAGGCTGGTCATGAACTCCTGGCCTCAAGTGATTCCCCTGCTTTCCAAAGTGCTGGTATTACAGGCATGAGCCACCATGCCCAGCCTTAAAAAAGAAATTTTTAAAATGCAAATATTCCCTACTGTCATGGGCTTCTATTTGAAGGCAAGAGTCCAAAGGTCTTTACAGAGGGTCTCCTGCAGTTTGCTGGACCGCAGCCAGTCACTATGGAGGAAGAATAGGGTGGGAGGACTCAGGGTATCCCCACCGGCCCCTCTTTCCTGCCCAGTGGAGCCGACAATCCTAGGTCAAACTGTGGGTCCTGCAAAATTCTACAGAAAACCCTGATTAGAGGCCTAAAGAATAAATCCACTGATTTACAAGAGGCTTTCCCTGACCTCATAGGGTGATTTAGAGGGGGCCCAGAGATGTCATTCACATTTAAAGAAAAAACGCAACTTGAGTCTTGTAGCTTGAGTCTCAGGCTGGACTGCACTTATTCAAGTGCCCTCTTGTTCCTTCTCATCATGGTCTCCTCAGATGCCAGGTGTGGGCCTCCAGCTATTTGGTCCAATACTTAGCAAGAGTGATTGTCTGTATCCTCTTAGTGGTACCCTCTGTGCTGCTTGGGTCTGAAGTTGGAAGGGTGATATTGAGGCAAAACCCCAGAGCAGCTTGTTGACTTTGTTTCCACTGGCTTCTCCTCGTGTTTTGGTTGACTTGGTCAACATCGTTCCTCCCAGCATTCAAGACTCCATATAGAGCACCATTCAAAACCTGTTCTGTCTTCAGGGAACTTTCATTGCAGGTGGTTTTCTACTGAGGGAGAAGGTAGGAGAAGTGTTCAGATGCTCTAAAAATTCAAGTTCCCCAAAAGCAAAGGATCTTGCCACATCATGACTTTTTCCTAATGAGCCTCTCTTTGCAGGGGAAAGAGTAGTTCTGATTGAAAGGCAAAATCTCTCCCTTCCAAGAAGGAAGCTCAAATCAGATCATTTTACTTCTCTGCTAGACACCTTCTCATCCTTTCACATCTTAGTAAAAACCAGTGATTAAAATGGTGCTGTCTCTGCATGATAGGGTCTTTTGGCACCTCTCAGGCCTCATGCCTCCTCCTTCTTTCTGACCCCATTCCAGCCTCAGTGGCCTCCTCACGGTCCCTCCAGCATGGCCAGCACGCCCCTGCCTCTGGTCTTTGCACATGCTGTGCCCCCTGCCTGAAATGCTGTTCTGCACATCTCTGCAGAGCTCTTTCCATGGCATCTTCCAGTCTTCATTCAACTGCCACCCTCCCAAGTGACACCTTCCCTGACCATCCCATCTAAAATTACACATATAACTCCCATCCTCCCCTAACACTCTTTCCATCCTCTTCTGTGCTTTACATTTATTCTTAGCACCCATAACTGTCTTATGTACTATTGTTCAAGCAAGATAAACAGGAGGCCATTTACCGGAGCCTATCTTCGTACTTTGTGTTCCTATGTAACAACCGCCCCCTCAACCAACTTAGTATGTAAACCAGCTGAAACATAAGTGAATAGTATATATTTTATATTTATATATATATATATAGTAACAAATAGCCAAGTTTCAGCCAATCACAAGCAGCCAACTCATCACACCATGTCCAAATAAGGCAAACACCTAGCTGTAGCCAACCAGGTGATTGCTCTGCTCTGCTTCTGAGTTCAGCTCCTGCTGCTGGGCTGAGCTGTCTGAACTTCTGGCTCTGAGGGCTGCCTAACTTAGGAATCCTTCTTTGCTCAAATAAACTCTTAAATTTATTTGAGAGACAAACTCTATCTAAAAGTTTTTTTTAACACTATGTAGTTTGAAAGTGTATATCATTATCTGTTGGGTTTTTTTTTTTTTTGAGATGGAGTCTCACTCTGTTGCCCAGCTGGAGTGCAGTGGCGCGATATTGGCTCACTACAACCTCTGCCTCCAGGGATCAAGCAATTCTCCTGCCTCAGCCTCCCGAGTAGCTGAGATTACAGGTGCCTGCCACCACGCCCAGCTAATTTTTGTATTTTTAGTAGAGACAAGGTTTCACCATGTTGGCCAGGCTGGTCTCGAACTCCTGACCTCAAGTGATCCACCCGCCTCGGCCTCCCAAAGTGCTTGGATTACAGGTATAAGCCATCACACCCAGCCTACCTGTTGGCCTTTAAAAATGAAAGCACCACAAGGGAAGGGATTGACATCCTATTTGTTCATTCCTGTATCTGCAGCACTTAGAATGGTGTGTGACCGGCACATAGCAGGTGTTCAATGAACGTGGGGTGAACAATGAATGCCTGAACAAAGAATAAAGTGAGGACCATTTGTGGCTTTATTTTTTTATTTTTTTTTGAGATGGAGTCTCGCTCTGTCACCCACACTGGAGTGCAGTGGCACAATCTCAGCTCACTGCAACCTCTGCCTCCCAGGTTCAAGTAATTCTTCCACTTAAGCCTCCCGAGTAGCTGGGACTACAGGTGCCACCACCACGCCCAGCTAACTTTGTATTTTTAGTACAGACAGGTTTTCACCATGTTGCCCCGTCTGGTCTCAAACTTTTGACCTCGAGTGATCCTCCCACCTTGGCCTCCCAAAGTGCTGGGATTCTAGGCATGAGCCATCACGCCTAGCCTATGGCCATTCTTGACTATCCTCAGCCAAGGGCACCCAGCTCATGCTTTCCCGAGGGCCACATGGTTCTCGCAGCACCCCGCAGAAGATCAGAGGTGCTGCCCAGACTCTGGTTGTGCTCCTGAGAAACTGAGTCTTCTGCATCCTCTTATCATTGGCCATTGACCTGGCTGGAGATGCAAACTGTGTTCCTTGGCTTTTTGTATGCATAAACTGAATGTTTGAAGCCTCACCTTCCTTTGGATACAGATGAAATCATATTTAATGAAATATAAATCATAATAACTCTCAGCCCCCCTCCACCCCGCATAATTGCAGGAACTCTACGCATCCCCCCCGCCCCAGCTTTCTGTTCATGTTCTTCCATGCCAAACTCGCTAAGGCACTTGTCAGTGCCCCTGAGAAAGGTCCCCACTATGCCTAGCCCCTGAACCACTGGGAGTCTCTGCCCAGCACCAGAGCTCCTTCATGGGCTCTAGAGGCGCGAGGGGAGGAAAGCAGCAAGCTGTTTCTGCTAGTGATACCGGAGCGGGGCAGGGAAATGCTGGGTAGAGAAAGGCGGGGTCCCTGGCTAGGTCTCCACCCTCGGGCCTATACTCACGGACCTATGTGAGAACAGGCATTTCTGTTTTCCCGCCTAAATGTTGCATTTTCCAACACCACCCTGGCCCGCCATACCCCCTATCCTGTGCCTGTAAAAACCCTGAAACACTAGAGGGGACAAACACAAGCAGCTGGACGTTGAGAGGAACACACCAGCAGAAGACACCGGCAGAAGAACACACTGACAGACACCAGCAGACGCCCGCAGGTCATCTACCGCGGGACGACGCAAAGTTCAGCCGAGGGCAGTCAGGGGAGAGCTGTGCCGCCCGACTCCAAGGGAAAACCACCTTCTCACTCCACACCCCTTCTGGCTCCCCATCCATCTGCAGAGAGCTACTTCCACCACTCAACAAAACCTTGCTCTCAGCCGGGCGCGGTGACTCATGCCTATAATCCCAGCACTTTGGGAGGCCGAGGCGGGCGGATAACGAGGTCAAGAAATCGAGACCTTCCTGGCCAACATAGTGAAACCCCGTCTCTCCTAAAAATACACAAATTAGCTGGGCGTGGTGGCGCGTGCCTGTAGACCCAGCTACTCAGGAGGCTGAGGCAGGAGAATCGCTTGAACACGGGAGGCGGAGCTTGCAGTGAGTCGAGATCGCACCACTGCACTCCAGCCTGGCCACAAAGCGAGACACTCCGTCTCAAAAACAAACAAACAAACAAACAAAAACCTTGCACTCGTTCTCCAAGCTCACGTGTGATCCGATTTTTCTGGTACACCAAGGCAAGAACCCCGGGATACAGCAAACCCTCTTTCCTTGCTGTAAGGCAGAGGGTGTAATTAAGCTGATTAACACAAGCCGCCTACAGATGGCAAATCTAAAAGAGCACCCTGCAACACACGCCCACTGGGGCTTCAAGAGCTGTAAACATTCACCCCTAGACGCTGCCATGGGGTCAGAGCCCATGCTCCCCACGACCTGCCTGTCTGCCTGCTCCCCTAGGGGTTTTGAGCAGCGGAGCACCTGAGCCGCAGCCCCATCACACGCCAGGAGATGGGGACGAGGGAACTTTTCTCATTTCACTTGGACTCACAAAGTCTTTAGGTGACCATAACTACTTTTGGGCCTGGGCCTGCACTTTCCAATTACACAGCTTATAGGCAAACCCTCCAGCTGGTGGGAGAGTAGAGAACTTGCATTCTCTTCTTGCTCCCCTCTTCCCCTTCTCCTTCTAGGCGTTCGTGCAAAATAATACCCTTTGACTCCTGCACCCGACACAGATGTTTCTGGAGTTGTCGTCCATGTGCCAGAAGTTCCTAGTCTGTGACCTTATAGGACACCTTGCAATTCATTCTCATTGTGTTTAGACGATCCCTTCATATGCTAGTCCATTCTTGGTTTCTGGCTCCTAAGTTCACTCATTGTTTATCAGGGGGCAATTCTTATTCACCCCTTACTTACTCCTTGGGAGAGTAAGAATTGCCTTCTAGAAACATAACACCAATTCTCTCAAGGCTTTCTAGGAAAATCTGCTATAGACTTCTGTACATAAACCCACTTCTTTCTTTCTTTACTCATAAGCTCACTGATGGAGCATAAACCAGCCCACCCCTACTGGAGTTAAGGTCACTTCCTTCTTGGAAAATCAATATTTTTCTTTTATATCACAAATTAAGAGTTTCCTCATAGAGAAAAAAATTATCCTAAAGCCTAAAGTCATCCTGCTTTACTTTTCTTTTCTTTTTTTTTTTTTTGAGATGAAGTCTCACTCTGTTGCCCAGGCTGGAGTGCAGTGGAGCGATCTTGGCTCACTACAACCTCTGCCTCCTGGGTTCAAGCAATTCTCCTGCCTCAGCTTCCCAAGTAGCTAGGACTACAGGCGTGCACCACCACACCCAGCTAATTTTTGTATCTTTTTAGCAGAGACAGGGTTTCACTATATGTTGGCCAGGCTGGTCTCCAACTCCTGACCTTAGGTAATCTGCTCACCTTGGCCTCCCAAAGTGCTGGGATTACAGGCATGAGCCACCATGCCCCACCCTGTTTTACTCTTAAGATCTCAAATTATGACCTTTCCATATTCCTTCCATCCATTTTAGTCCCCCATTTATGAGGGTCCCCACACCCTCATAAACCTTCCATTTGTGACACTCTCTGATTGGAAAAATATGAATGTTAACAAAATAATGTCCCGCCTTCAAAAGGGAATGTGTTGTGTTCAGCATCCTTTAATGATTTGGTTGTAGCCTGAAGATGCCTATTAGATGTAAGCAATAGAAGTAGGAGATAATGTTGTGGGAAGTGACCAATGTTTGGTGCCCACCTTAGAATCATGAAAGAGAGTAGTTCCTGTTCTAATTCCTGAGCAGTGAGCTACACATAGCTGTTTCTAAGGGTAAGAGGTCTTGAGGCCGCTCCTCCCGACAACCTGCCTCACCGTGCACCGTGCATACTGAGTCTCCTGGTCCTTTGCACATTGCTTTGCACACTTATCCTGCTTTGCCGTAGCTTTAGGACAAACAAGTTTGCTGAAGCTTCCAACGTGTACTTCTCTTTGAAAATGGCTCAAAGCTGAAAAAACATTAAGGATCAACTGTTCTCAGAGGAAGAAAAAGAAAAATATGCAGGGTTTGTCACTGCCAGGAAAAGTGTTCCTAAACTTTCACCCAGAATTATATACTGTGCTTTCATAAAGGCTGTTCCTAAACAGCTCCGGCTGGTTCTCACACAGCAACAAGACAGCCTGTCATTGAGACGGCAGACCACTTCTAAACCCCTTCTCCAGGAACCTGCAGGCTGCAGGCCAGTTCCAGTTAAAGCCCTTTACTAGGTAGTGGCCTGGTCTGCTGCTTCCAGGCTCAATTCAAAGTCCATAACTTTTAGAAATAAATGTTTCTTGTGGAAAGGGTTGCTGTCTTAAGGTTGCCGCTTCCAGAATCTGTTTTTACTGAAAATGTGAACTGTTTTTATTATCAAATGTCTTTAAAGCCTTGTGACCTGAAACAAAGTATCACAAAGGTTTGAATGTTATAAACTGAAAAACAGAAAACGGGCATACTTCAGCATTTTAACACATGAAAATGTCAATCTGTAGTTAAGGCTCAAATTTTCAATAGCTTCAGTGGCTGACACAGATTCTACTTGGAATCGCTGCTGATTTATTTATCCTGGAATAAATGCAATGCCATTATATCTTGGTGACAACAGAAACAAGCTTTGGCCAGGTCTGTGCATAGTTTAGGGATGAAGAAAATAAGTTTTGAAAGGCAATGGGCATTGCTGATTATAGGTTTTTATTAGGAACAGATGTGGGGCTCTGGTTTTTAGTGGTAGATAAACTGTTATTGAAACAAGTCAGCTGACTAAAAACCATAATGTCTTCTTTTTTAGGAAAGAAAAATATTAACAAATTGAATTCATAATCTTTTTCTTTTTTTTTGTTTGTTTGTTTGTTTGTTTGAGAGGGAGTTTTGCTCTTGTTGCCCAGGTTGGAGGGCAATGGCGCAATCTCGGCTCACCACAACCTCCGCCTCCCGGGTTCAAGTGATTCCCCTGCCTCAGCCTCCTGAGTAGCTGGGATTACAGGCACCTGCCACCATGCCTGGCAAATTTCTGTGTTTTTAGTAGAGACAGTTTCACCACGTTGGCCAGGCTGGTCTCGAACTCCTGACCTCAGGTGATCCACCTGCCTCGGCCTTCCAAAGTGCTGGGATTACAAGCATAAGCCACCATGCATGGCCCATCATCTTTTTCTTTAAGTGATCACCCACTCCAGGCTATAACATATCTCCAGGCTAAAGCTGAGGTTTAGGAAGTAATTATAACAACCTCTTTTACCACCATGCTTAAGCTTCAGATCTCTCCACTTTAAATTTGTTTATGGCTGTCCCCTTTGGACAGTTTTCTCCTCTTAGGGTATATTGATTCTAATGCCAAGTTATATACTGTGTGATCATTTTATGTATTCCAGGGCTGTCATTTTTCTTTCTTTAAGGAAAGTGTAAACGTTTTGGGTCACTTGCTGCCCTATTTTGGGATGGGTCAGCTAAAAGGGAGATTTTAGACATTGTGGATCATTTCCATTTCTCTCTGACATCCACCTTTGCTCCCAGCCATTTACTGAGATCCCTCCATTTAAGGATACTCCCTGGAAATTTCAAATGACACTTCTGATCATAGACCATTGGCCACAAGTTGGCATATTCACAAGTGGCATATTCACATGCCCACACCTAGCTTCAGAGGAGGCTGGGAATTGGAGTTATTCCAATCCAGAATGGTGCTCGCATCAAGCAGCCATGTGGCCAGTTAAAGAATCAGGGCTTCACTTTCTAGAAGAAGGGAATTGGGTAGTGGGAACATTGGTGGTCTGTAACACAGGCTTGTACCAAATTACTCTCCTATCAACAGAATACGGCAGCTCCTTCTCCTCCATGTTTTCATTTAAATTTGATGTTGTCAGACACTTTGATTTTTGTCAATCTGATGGACACTCATTCATTTTTTTTCAAAAAAAGATATATATCCATACCCTGCTTTCATTCTCTTTGCCTCATAGATAACCATTCGAATGTATTTTAATATATCTTTGTGAATATTGTGCGTACTGTACTTTTTTTGGTATGCATCCATTTTTTAATTATTTCATAAAATGATCGATTCTACATCTTTTTTCAATAAGCACTGTGTTTTTAGCTTCCATCCGTGTTGCTATTTGTGCATCTACACTTTTGCAGCTGATCACTAAGTAACACTCTGTGACATTCACCCACGCATTTTACTCTCCCAGTGATGGATGCTCAAGTTGCCTCACTCCCTGACATCCCTTATGCCTTACAGCAAGCCCGTGTGATAAGTCTTATCATTCCAATTTTACAAATGAGAAAACTGAGGTTCAGAGGGGTTAAAGAATTTGCCCCAGGTTCCATTGTTAGGAAGAGGGAAAGAGCCAGGAGAAATCCCCTCGTTAGTTGTTGAAGAGGTGATGCGTCTCTGGTATGAGATCAGAAGTTCCGGCTAAAGTGGCCGGGTGCGGTGGCTCACGCCTGTAATCCCAGCACTTTGGGAGGCCGAGGCGGGCGGATCACGAGGTTAGGAGATCGAAACCATCCTATCCTGGCTAACACGGCGAAACCCTGTCTCTACTAAAAATACAAAAAATTAGCCAGCCGTGGTGACGGGCGCCTGTGGTCCCAGCTACTCGGGAGGCTGAGGCAGGAGAATGGCGTGAACCCGGGAGGCGGAACTTGCAGTGAGCCAAGATCACGCCACTGCACTCCAGCCTGGGCGACAGAGCAAGACTCCGTCTCAAAAAAAAAAAAAAAAAAAAAAGTTCCGGCTAAGCTTCCCTGCTCTGCGTGTCTTCTCCATTCGGCTCCAACGATGCCTCCAAGTTAAAAGCAGAAATTCTTTTCTTTGACTTAATGATTCCTTTCTGATCAGAATCCAAATAGATTGTAAGCCTCATTGCGTATTTATGCCTTGTGGTTAAATGAGTTTTCAGCCCCTTTCTGGGGGTGTATAGCTCTTGAGGGTTTAGAGGGCAGTGTATCCTTTGGAACAGAATTCCACTGTGAGTGTATGAAAACCCAAGTAACAGCGGCTTCAACAAGTGGCTATTCAGTTATGCAAGTGGTTCCCAAAGCGTGGTCTCCAACCAGTGGCAGCAGCGTCCTCTGGAAATTTGTTAGGAATACAAGGCTCAGGACCCCACCCCAGACCTTCGGAATCAGACACTCTCAGGAAGGGCCCATGAATCTGTGTTTTTATGAGACCCCCAGGTGACTCATGTGCCTACTCGGGTTTGAGAGCTACAGGGTTATCCTCCATAGCAAAAGATCCAGGGTTAGGCAGTCAGGGCTGGCACCATAGTACCAGCAATGCCAATGAGCATCCAGGCTCTTTATGCTCCCCTGCTTTGCCATCTTGAGCATACGGCTTTCATCTCTGGAAGCAAGATGTATTTTATTTTATTTTATTTGTTTGTTTTTTAAGAAGGAGTCTTGCTGTGCCACCCAGGCTGGCATGCAGTGGCCTGATCTCAGCTCACTGCAACCTCTGTCTCCCGGGTTCAAGCGATTCTCCTGCCTTAGCCTCCCGAGTAGCTGGGATTGCAGGAGCATGCCACCACGCCCGGCTAATTTTTGTATTTTTAGTAGAGACAGGGTTTCACCATGTTGGCCAGGCTGGTCTCAAACTCCTGACCTCAGGTGATCCGCCCACCTCGGCCTCCCAAAGTGCTGGGAGTACAGGCGTGAGTCACCATGGTCGGCTGGAAGATGTATTTTAGATACCTCATCTGCATTCCAGCTAGAAAAAAAAGGGAAAATCCAGGGTGGTGCCTATATCAAGAAATCTTTCCCAGAATCCTCTGCTTATGTCTCCCTGAGAGTAAAAGTCACATAGCCATGCCCAGATGCACAGAGTCTGGATAGGTGAGGATGTGTTAACTGTGCACATTGTCATTGTTCTCTTGCCCCCAGACTGGGACTCTGTTAGTGGGAAGAACAGGGGGATTGATGCCACGTGTAAGCAAATCAGCAGGTTCTATTTGTACTTAAAAGCAGAGATGGGAGAAGCCACATTAGAGCAGTAAATAGTCAGGAATGGCTTTAACCTGCTTCGTAATTTTTCTGGAGGCTGGCCTTAGTGTGAAGATAAGAGATCTAGACTCTTTTCCAGCCTGTACACTTGAAGGAGATTGCTGTTTCACCTGCATGAACAACAGTTGTTTGGATTTGTGGCCAGCAGTTTCCTTTTGTCCTTGGAGATCAAGAGAAGTTCCATAATTCACAGCCACTAAATCTGTAACACTAGCCCCAGCACTGAGACTAGATTCTGTCTTGCAAAAACCACAGAAGTGATTAGCAGAGGGACAGAAACAGATTAAGAAGGGCTTGCTATGCTGAGTTTGTTTACACGAGCTCCCCACCCACCGCCCAGGAGAAGGGATCATCATTTATTTTTGCCTCTTGGCCTTGAGCCTGTTTTTTGTTTTTTCCCTGAGTATCTCTGCCTGTTGACATACTCTCCAGCTCAGGGTTTTGTTTTTGTTTTTCACTTATTTTCTAGGTATACTTGGGAATAGACCTCTGAATAGAAAGATAATACGTATTTTTGTCTTAGTCCTCCAAGGACTGTCTTGTGAAAAAGAATAACCAGCCCTGCCCTGTCTTAAGCATTGCAAAGTGCAGGGAGCTGGTTGCCCAGTAGCCCGTGGGCATGCTTGGGCCCTCCAGCCTTCCCTGGAAGGGGTGGGGCCCCTGCAGCTTACAGAAGATCTTTCATGTTTCCTTGCTCCTAGGAGTGGGTTGTGCCCATCAACACTACAGGTGGGTCCTAGGCAAGTGCCAAACAAGCAGCTGCACAGCCCAGGGACTTTGAGCTGTTTGCAGCTCTCCTCTCTTTGTGCCCCTGCCAACTCACACACACCTGGGATTTCACCAGCTGCCTGCCCACTGAGCCCCCTTCCCACCATGTGACCTAATCCTCATTACACCTGCTCCTCTGCAGGGCAGCCAGCCGGTTCCCACCTTGCCTAAATAAGGCCTGGGGAGGTTTGAACAAGACCTACGCTATTCATGCCTGAAACAGCCAACTCCCACCAGTTTCATGGCAAATTACGAGGGATTGAGGTTTACTGTGAAGAAAGGCTAGACCTGACAATTAATCAGCCTGGTCATATGGGGATCAAATTAAATTGGACCTGAGGCCTCAGCTCCAAAATGGAATCAAATTTTCTCTTTTGGCAGGATACGTGCATTGGACTGAGACTACAAACACAGCCTGTCCATCTTCCTTCTTTGCATACAGATATTGGTTTGTAATTTTAAAACACAGCAAAGAGGTGAGACAAATACTATAGTTTGAGTTTTTAAAGTGAATGCAGGGCTTCTATTCAATTCAGCAAAGATTTATTTTGTCCTTTTCCCTAAGAAGTCTCTCAGTTAGGTGTTAGGGGTAAAAAGTCTGCATAATACCAGATCTGCATCTTCAGGGAGATCAAAATCCAGTAAAGAAGATAGACATGTTATTAATATAAATTTGACTATTAAGCACAAGAACATAAAGCTATAGAAACCATTAATTGTCATTGGGGATTAGCAATAACTTTGCAGAGAAGATAACATGTGAGCTGAGTTTTGAAAGATGAGTGGCAGCTTTGTGCTTTCTCTCTTTGGGCAGACACTGTGAAGTGTCCTGCAGTTGGGATATTTTCTTTAATGGTGTCTGACAGTGTTTTGCACCATTACTGCCTCTCATATTCTGTGCATGAGTATAGTCCAAGGCTAAAAGCGGTAATCACCTTTGGAAACTGCCAACAAACATGAATAACTCTTCTGGGGCCAACTTTTCTCAAGGAAGTAATAAAAGTACTCTTGTGGCTAATGGCAGTAAGCATGAAAGTCTCTTTCTGGCTCTCTTACTGCCTTGTGACTTTGGACATGAAACACAATGTATCAGTCAGTTACCTTTACAAATGTGGGCTCTTTGTGATGGTGTTAATCAACCAGCAAATGAGTTGTAAGCACTTACTATGTGCTTGGTGCAATTCATTGCCACTTTTCTGAGTCACAAAAGTGCAGAAAAGATGAAAAATGGGATAGAAAGGATACTAGTTGTAATATATAAGGAGCAACTTTGTAATTTTAAAACAGAGTATCAGTTTCAGAAATAACTGGAGTGATCACTAAAGTATTTATGCAGCTTGAAAATTTTAGAATTCTAATAACTTTTAGTCCTTGCCTCACCTTCTTCACTAGAGATCACCTCCTGTGGTAGACCAGGAGCCTTCAGTGCTGTTTGTCGATATTTCCAGTTCTGTTTTTGGAAACACAAGGGATAAAGTTTCGTCAGCTCCCTGAGTTTAGGCCCGGCCATATGTTTTGCTTTTACCAGTGAAATGTGAGTGGAAATGGCATTTCATATCTGAGTCAAAGCACCTAATTGCAGTGCTCAGTTACACAACCCTCTCTTCTGCCTCAGCATCATGGAAGCCTTTTTTGATAAAGAAGGGCTTGCTGAACCATCCTAAGGAGGAGAGCTTCCTTGAAGAGTCATGTGGGGCTGCTATGGACTTTGCTTAACTAAAAAAATAATAATAACTGTAATTTTTTTGTTTGTTTCTTGGAAAGCCACTGAAATTTAGGGGCTACTTGTTACTGCAGTATAACCTAGGTTGTCCTTACTAATGCAACAACTGAATAACCATTATTAACTATGTTAACATGTAAGAAAATGGAGTAATTCAGAACACACCCACCTTAGGTAGACTGACACATGGAAGTCATCTCAAATTGTTCTGTGCGTGGTAAGGCCCTTTATACACAAACCTGCAGCACTAATTCAAGTTACCTCTTTTTTTTTTTTTGAGATGGAGTCTCACTCTATCTCCTAGGCTGGAGTACAGTAGCACGATCTTGGCTCACTGCAACCTCCGCCTCCTGGGTTCAAGCGATTCTCCTGCCTCAGCCTTTCAAGTAGCTGGGATTACAGGCACCTACCATCACACCCAGCTAATTTTTGTATTTTTAGTAGAGACAGGGTTTCACCATGTTGACCAGGCTGGTCTCAAACCCCTGACCCCAAGTGATCCACCTGCCTTGGCCTCCCAAAGTGCTGAGATTACAGGTATGAGCCACCACACCCGGCCTCTCATTTTAATTCTCATATCAACACTATATGATAGGTAGCACTACCCACATTTCACAGGTAAGATTCACAGAGTTCCACTAACTTGCCCAAGACCACGTGTAATTGGCCAGTGTGATGGCAAATCCTAGGTTCTCTCCCTTAAATTTGCTGCCTCCCAGAACTGATATAGATGGTTCCCTCCTGGTTCTATTAGTTTGTACATATTCACATGAAGCCAAACCCCACCACATGGACCAGGTAATTCATTTCCCTTTCTTACTATGCACTCTAACCTCAGTCTCACTTGAATTCTGTCTGAATCAAGTGTCTGATAGACATTTCCCTTCAGTGTCAAGGAAACCAAATGGAAGAATGTGGATGGAATGGGGAAAATCCACCCCAACTTCTGGAGAAAACAAACCAGATAATTGGTCAACAAGGGTGACCGTTATGCGTGAAGCACAGGCAAAATTTTTATGTCGCATGTACATTTAACAACAACAACAAAACAGAATTTCAAAAGCTCTCAAAAGGCTATCCACTCTGTTTTTCTAGAAAAGATGGGCCAGGCGCGTTGGCTCACGCCTGTAATCCCAACGCTTTGGGAGGCCGAGTCGGGCAGATTATGAGCTCAGGAGATCGAGACCAGCCTGGCCAACATGGTGAAACCCCGTCTCTGCTAAAATACAAAAAATTAGCTGGGTGTGGTGGCACGTGCCTGTAATCCCAGCTACTCAGGAGGCTGAGGCAAGAGAATCACTTGAACCTGCGAGGCGGAGGTTGCAGTGAGCCGAGATCACGCCACTGCATTCCAGCCTGGCAACAGAGCAAGACTTCATCAAAAGAAAAGAAAAGAAAAGAAAAGATGGTTGTAACCCACCCAGGGCAAGTGTTTATCAGTCTTAACTTCAATGATCTTCAATAAAATTTTCACTATTTCATACCATAATTTGTTTTGGGGAAACTCCCAAGTTTCCCCATATTTGCATATGGTCTTGCAGTCCAACATCAAGGTTATTATATGCAGGACAGAGGGATGCTCTTTCAGGGTAGGGACCCTGGCAATCGTATCAACTGATGGATCTCAGTGCCTCATTTAACGCCAGGCAGTAAGCCCTTAGAGACATTTGTTAAACAAATAAATAAAGTTAAAGAACTCATGACCACTGACATAGAGTACAAAATAAACACACAAATAAGAATGTGGTTTTACCAAAATGAAAGGAAGACTTGCTTTAGCCAATCACATGAATGATTGTCCCTCAAGATCTGGGTTATGCAACCATAACTAAGTTACATACAGGTCTTATTAAAGTCTAAACTCAAAAATGAAAAATGATTTCTTCCTGCATATTTAAGCTGAAAACCTCCTTAGGGGTTTCTGTTTTATGCACACTAATTTAATATTAATAAGAAGTATATTGCTATGCCTAATATATGACTTTGGTGAGGGAAGAAATGTACATGGGGCTTTTGGACATTTTTGATGAGGGATCTGCTAGCATCTGGACTTGGCTTTCACAAGTGTAAACAAAAGCTCAGTTGAATGAGCAATGGACGTGCCTTGCCGAGTTGCTAAGTAGCAAGACGCTATTTGAGGAAGCCCATATTCTTCTTTGAAGTGTAATTCACCTGGCTCAATGGCACCGTTGGACAGCTGGAATTTTTGAAGTGACCATTGCTATTAAAGATAAACAGTTCTGGCTGGGCACAGTGGCTCACGCCTGTTATTTGGTGTACTAGAGGCCAAGGTAGGTGGATCACTTGAGACCAGGAGTCTGAGACCAGCCTGGTCAACATGGTGAAATTTCCTCTCTACTAAAAATACAAAAATTAGCTGGGCATGATGGCGCACACCTGTGGTTTCAGCTACCTGGGAGGTTGAGGCACAAGAATTGCTTGAACCCGGGAGGTGAAGGTTTCAGTGAGCCAAGATCACGCCACTGTACTCCAGCGGGGGCAACAGAGTGAGACCCTGTCTCAAAAAAATAGAATAAAATAAAATAAACAGTTCCTGATTTAGCAAAGTCTAATTCCAATGTATGTATCATCATTCCACAGTGAAGGTAAGAGATAAGAGTCACCAGAGGGATTTTATCAAGTCTCTCTCTCTCTCTCCACACACACACACACACACACACACACACACACACACACACACCCCAATATGGTAGATATTATAAAGATGTAAGATATATCATGCATATACAGATGTATGCCACGAAAATCAAGTTCTAGGAATCTACAATTTGGTATGAATGTGTCTGCTCTCCTTTGAACTATTAAGCCAACTCTGGACCCTGAGTGAATTTCCTTTCCTTCCTGTAGTTGGTTGTTTTAGGGAAAAGTTTAAACAAATGCTTTGTCCACTAGAATCACATGGAGGGATTATGGTCAAGGTCATGCATAGGTAACCAGGTTGCGAGCTCTTTGCAGTCACCCAGGCTGGTGTGCAGTGGCACGATCATAGCTTACTACAACCTCGGACTCTTGGCCTCAAGCGATCTTACTGCCTCAGCCTCCCAAAGTGCTGGGATTATAGGCATGAGCCACTGTACCTGGCCATGACTCATTTTTTAAAAATCCTTTTCGTAGCTTGTCTTGCACTAACTAGATGTCTAGTAAGTGTCTGTCAAGTAGGCTATGTATATACTTGTATCCAGTAACAAAGCTGAGATTATACATGTAGAAACTCTACAACCAATATTTTGCAGTCAGCTTTTTGATAATGGGAAAAAGTTGGTTTTGCTCTTAGGATTTATTGGGTTTGGTTTCAGTCTCATTATAAACAATGCTTCATCTTTAACTTTCAAAGTAATGAGCTACAGTACAAAGCACTTTTCTGAACTGTTTGAGGATATGCTGGCGACCAGATATCCCATCACCCAGAATACTTTAGTGTAGATTTTTCCTCCTATGAAGGAACATTCTCCTACTAGACCACAATACAACCATCCAAGTCAGAACATTAACACTGATTGCGTTACCCTCGAATCCTCAGAGCCTATTCAAGTTTCTCCAGTTGTGGTTATAACATGCCCTATAGCAAAAGGATGCAGTCCAGAATTACACATTGCATTTAGCGATCACAGCTCTTCACTTTTCTTTTGTTAGAAACTGTTCCTCAACCTTTTCTTGGCTTCCATGAGCTGACCCACTTTTCAAGTGTACCAGAGGCTGACTTGATAGAATGCCCCTCCAATGTGCCCCGTTACAGGTGGTGTTCAGTTCAACTGCTTAAGATAATGTGTGCTAGGCTTCCCCACTGCCAATGTACTGTTTTTTCCCTTTCTTTTCTTCTTTCTTTTTTCTTTTTTTCTTTTTTTTTTTTTTTTTTTAGAAACAGAGTCTTGCCCTGTCACCCAGGCTGGGGTGCAGTGGTGCCATCATAGCTCACTGCAGCCTTGAACTCTTGGGCTCAAGTGGTCCTCCCACCTAAGTCTCCCACGTAACTGGGACTACATATGTGCACCAGCACACTAGGCTAATTTTTAAATTTTTTGAAGAGATAGGGTTTCGCCATGTTGCTCAGGCTGGTCTCAAACTCCTGGACTCAAGCAATCTGCCCGCCTCAGCTTCCCAAAGTGCTAGGATTACAGGTGTAAGCCACCACACGCAGCCCACTTGATTATTTGGAAAGATGTGCTTTCATCAAGCAGAAGTCTGAAACATTCATTGTAATAAATTTGAAGCTAGAAGGTACCTTAAGGATAATTTAATTCAATCATTTTATTTAGGAACTACTTAATTTCTAGGGATAATTTTGCTTATTCTGATTAAGATAAATTGAGTCTTATTTTTAAAAAAAATTTGTTGGCCAGGCACAGTGGCTCACGCCTGTAATCCCAACACCTTGGGAGGCTGAGGTGGGAAGATTGCTTGAGTCCAGGAGTTTGAGACCAGCCTGGGCAACACAGTGGGACCCCATCTCTACAAAAAATTTAAGAAATTAGCTGGGCATTTTGACCAGGTCGAGGCTGCAGTGAGCTGCGATCATGCCATTGCACTCCAGCCTGGGTGACAGAGTGAGACCCTGTCTCAAACACACACACACACACACACAACCCATAAAACTTCTGTATAAATGAAGATGTGGTTATAAAGGAGCTTCTGGAGTCAGAGACTCTGTCTCAAAAAAAAAGAATGGAGCAGACTTAGGAATGGGAGGCTGAGGGGAAGCTGACCAGGGATAAATGGAGAAAAGCAACAAAGCAACCAATCCCTTCATGAGCCTGATTTGATTGGGGCTAAGAGGAATTTATAAACGTACAGTGAGAGAACACAGCCTGCCTTGGGAAGTTGAGTGGATTTATGTCTCTCCAGTCACGTGAAATCTTTAGGTGATGTACTTCAGATGTGATTGAGGTCAACTGCAAATAATAGAAAATCAGAAGATAGTGGCCTAAAGGAATAAGGGTAGATTTGTCTTAGAAGGTTGGAGGTTACTGGTTGCTGGCAGTGGTTCAGTAGCTGAAAGATGAAGGCCAATATCTCTGATTCCCTTGGCCTTTCTCTCATGATTCCAAGATGTTGCTGTAGCTTCAGGTACCATGTCTGCATTTGAGACAGGAGGAAAGGAAGAGCAGCATTGCCAGACATATTGGTCCTGTTTCATCAGGAAAACAAAAGGCTTATTCAGGCCCTTCCTCACTACCCCTCCCAGTAGGTAGTCATCCACTGAACGTCAGTCTAAGGTCTCACATCATCACTTCCTGCTACAGTGAAGCCTGGGAAAGTGAGGACTTAACTTTCCCAGTTTCTATAGTAGAGGCATGAAAGAAAAAAGCAATTAGGAATGGATTTTGGGTCCATCAGTCTATTTGTCTGCCACAAGAAGACGGATCATTTATTTTTCATATCTCATTTGGAAGACAAGAGAAGTTTCAGTTGGACACAAGAAAAAAAGTATTTACCCTGAGGTCAGCCTACTGTGGCAGACAGTGTAGACAGTGATGCCTCTATCTTTGAAGAGCTTCCAGTTGTGAAAGAATGGGTTTTAGAAGATTTAGACATTCGGTTTCCTGAATCCTGAAGACTGACCAGATGATTTCATTAGATCTATAATCATTTGATTCACTACTTCAAAGCAATATGTTCCCGACCTCTCAAAGCACTGTGAAATACCAAAAAATACAAGATGGCCGCGCCTCCATCCTTCAGCCCTTCTCCCCCTCTATCCGCTTCATTGGAAAACTTCCAAAGGCATTTTGGTTTAGTGGTTCTAAGCCTAATGCTGTTTCTCCTATTCAAAATTGGTTTCAAGTATGTCATGAAAAAATAAAGTACTCGAAAAATGAAGTTCAAGTAAAACATCAGGAAATCAAGATTTGTTTAGTTTATTGAAATGCATTTGGATAAAGCCAAACGTTGATCAATTACTTGAATATGATGGGAGCATTTTACAGGAGAGTCACAAAACTTCTCTAGCCATAATTTTATAAAAGGTTGTGTGTTCTGCTTATTTTTAAGTAAATACACTTGCAAATCACTTGGCAAACCTGTTGAGAGCCCATGGTTTCTTTCTGCTTCACCTCGGTTTTGGCTATACCAGGTTCCCTAATGGCAACAGCTAACCTTTTCCAGACAATCCTTCATGCCCCAGGGGAGGAAAGACAATGCCGCATTGTGAACTCACACGAGGTTTGCAAATGTGGTGCAATTTTGGTGTACTAGTGGCCTGAACTTTACAAACCCACCAAAGAGTCCAGCCAGCCTGGACTTGTTAGCCAGAAAGCATGAGAAAGACTGGTAAAAATCCCTTTTCTTCACCACGTTTAAAGAAGATCTAAAAGAGACTTTCTTACCTCCTAGACTTTTTAACAACTAGAATGAGAACTGGGATTGGTTTCACAATAGCCAAACAAATGATCTCTTTCACACATACTTTTTTTTTTTTTTTTTTGAGACGGAGTCTCGGGGTTTCACCATGTTGGCCAGGCTGGTCTCGAACTCCTGACCTCATGATCCGCCCGCCTTGGCCTCCCAAAGTGCTGAGATTATAGGTGCGAGCTGCCGCACCTGGCCCTCACACATACTTATTTTTATTACATTCCCACAATCGCTTAGGGATCCTATTAGCGTCTATTGCCTCTGCAGAGTTTTGATAAGCAAAAGCTCTTGTTTTCACCTTGCACCAGGCTCTATGTGAAGTGCACCATAAGTTATCCCTAATTCATTTATCCATTCAACAGATTTTTTTTTTTTTTTTTGAGGCAGGGTCTCCCTGTGTCACCCAGGCTGGAGTGTAGTGGTGAATTCACAGCTCACTGTAACTGTAAACTCATGGGTTGAAGCGATCCTCCCATCTCAGCCTCCTGAGTAGCTGAAACTACAGGTACCTGCCACCACACCCGGCTATTTTTCTTTTAAATTTTTTAGAGATGGGCTCTTACTGTGTTCCCTAGGCTGGTCTCAAACACCTGGCCTCAAGCGAGTCTTCCTCCTTGGCCTCCCAAAGTATTGGGATGACAGGTGTGAGACACCACACCCAGCTCCATTCAACAGATTTTTATTGAGCATCTACTTATGAGCTGGTGTTCTGTGTTGGAAATACATGCTATTGCTAACCCTCACAACATTACAAGGGAGTTGTGATTAGCTACATTTTAAAAATGTAAAAAACTAAGCCCCAGGGAGAATAAACAACTCTCCAGGTCACACAGCAAGTCTGTGGCAAAGCTAGGAACTGACTGTCGGCTCTGTTCCACTCCATATTCCATGTGCCTTACACAGTGTCTCACTGCTGCCTTCTTCCTGTCAACCAACTTTATCACAAAGGCCTAGCATTTTGAGACTACAATTCATGAATTTTTTTTTTTTTTGAGACACAGTCACTCTATCGTCCAGGCTGGAGTGCAGTGCCTCAATCTCGGCTTACTGCAACCTCTGCCTCCCAGGTTCAAGCGATTCTCTTGTCTCAGCCTCCCAAGTAGCTGGGATTACAGGCATGCACCACCATGCCTGGCTAATTTTTTTTTTTTTTTTGTATTTTTAGTAGAGATGGGGTTTCACCATGTTGGCCAGGCTGGTCTCAAACTCCTGATCTCAGGTGATCCGCCCACCTCGGCCTCCCAAAGTGCTGGGATTATAGGCAAAAGCCACTGCACCGGGCCCAATTCATGAACATTTAAGGTTACTCTGCCAAAACAGGTGACACTCCTGGTACAAAAATTCAAAGCAGGACCTTGCCTTTCAGTGAGGCTGGTATAAAATTTCCTTCACTCAGTCCCTCTCCTTCCTCACCAGCTCATCTTCAAAATATGATTTCAGAAGACTTTAGTTCTAGGGATAGCTAATCCATGCTTCTGTTAATCACCTTGGCGGACTAGCCTCAGATTGGGAATTCAACACATCCTGGCAGGAATATCCTCAGAGAGGTGAGGAAAAACACCCATCTGCAGTCAGGAGGCCCTGCGTGTCTGATCTACTTGCTCACCATCAGGACAGCTCTTAGTGGTTTAGCTCTGTATGGTCCAAGTTCAGGGTTGTGAGAAACAAATGAGATAACACATGTAACAGCAGCTTGACAATTGGAAGGTAATATATTTTAAAAAGATGATGATCCTAGTTTGCAATACAGAAGGGACTGAACGTTAAAGGTGGAGTTGGAGAACCCTTCAGCTCAACTTTACAAAACTTTTTTTTTTTTTTTTTTGAGACAGCGTCTTGCTCTGTCACCCAGGCTGGAGTACATTGGTGCAATCTCAGCTCACTACAACCTCTGCCTCCCAAGTTTGAGCAATTCTCCTGTCTCAGCCTCCCGAGTAGCTGGGATTACAGGAGCTCACCAGCACCCCAGGCTAATTTTTGTATTTTTAGTAGAAATGGGGTTTCACCATGTTGACCAGGCTGGTCTCAAACTCCTGACCTCAGGTGATCCTCCTGCCTCGGCCTCCCAAAGTGCTGGCATTACAGGCATGAGCCACCACACCTGGCCTTGCAAAACTTTTAATAAAAGATTTTTCAATTATGAGACTCCAAGGAAGGATAATGAAATGAAGCATCTTCTGTCACAGCCCCTTTCTCACTGGTATCTGGGGCATGAAATTCTAAAGAGCGTTCATTCTTCTTGAGCATAAACACGACTGTGGTCAAAAGTGGGCCCTCTCTGTTCCATCAATCTTCTAAAAGCCAAATATGATGATTTAGCAAAGAAAGATATCTAGTGGAATATCCATCACAGCTTCTTCTTTTTTAGAGATGGGGTCTTACCGCATTGCTCAAGCTGGTCTCAAACTCCTGGGCTCAAGTGATCCTCTTCCCTTGACCTCCCAAGTAGCTAGGGCTACACACTCGACTCCATCACAGGTTCTGAATGGAAGGTTTATAGTGTATCAGAGCCTCATGAAGGCAGGGAGCTACTTCCCTTGTGGTTGGTGAACCTCAAATTGCCTCTATATGGCCATAAGCAAAAATCACAGAGGCGGATTTTGATGTGTCTAAAGAGGCAGGCACGGCTGGGCACAGTAGCTCAAGCCCATAGTCCCAGCACTTTGGGAGGCCAAGGCAGGCAGATCACTTGAGCTCAGGAGTTCAAGACCAGCCTGGCCAACGTGGTGAAGCCCCACCTCTACACACAAAAATGTACAATTAGCCAGGTGTGGGGGCATGTACCCATAGTCCCAGCTACTTTGGAGGCTGAGGCAGGAGGATTTCTTGAGCTCGAGAGGTCAAGGCTGCAGTGAGCTGAGATCACACCACTGCACTCCAGCCTGGGAGCAAGATCTTGTCTCAAAAATAAATAAATAAATAAATAAATAAATAAATAAATAAAGACACAGGTACAAAGGAAAGAAAACGAGGAACACTTGTGCTGGTCTAAAGCCCTCTGTAAAAAAGGGTGGTGCGTTTCCCATGTACTGAACCCCAGGGGGAAGGCGCATCACCTGAAGCCCATTTTCTACCTCCTCAAATAACTTCTCCAAAGCCCTGGTCTCCTTTCCTCCTTTCCCTCACCAGCCTACTGCCCGTTTCCAACCAGCTCCTTTGTTTCCAGGTTTTACACTGCCATCTCTAACTTTGTAACTCCTACTGGGAGTGATGAGCCCTTTGTCAAAAGCATGCATAGTGTCTTCCAAAGACTGGTTTACAAAGACGGAGCTGGGTAATGCAAAAAAAAAAAAAAAAAAAAAAAAAAAAGCACTCCCTGCCAGGAGGGATGTCAAGGTTTCAGTCTTACCTCTGCCTTTTGCATGTTACAGCATCTTGGGCAAAGCCTTTCACCTCCCTGAGCCACAGTTTCCACATCTGGAAAACTGGTAACAATCCCTGCTTGTTCGTTCCATATAAATCAAGTGAGATGTGGATAGAAATGCTTGGAAACACTCTACAAATCTAAAAGGTCCTGTTTTCCCCTCACTTATCCTATGACAAATACTGTCATTCAGTAAATGATTATTGAGTGCCTCTGATGGGCCACACTGGGCTGGGCCCTGGAGATACAGCAGTAAATATGGCATGTTCCCTGACCTCAGGGAGCTCACCTGGGGGTGGGGGGACAGCAGTGTAATGAGCAATGAAAATAAACTCAGCTCAATCTCATAAGTGAACCCAGGAGGGGTGCCCAGCTTGGACTGAAGGGTTTTGCAGGGAGAGGGCTAACAACACAGCATTCTCTAGTCAGAGAATAGGAGAATTCGCCAAGAAGAGAAGGTGGTAAAGGTCATTCCAATCAGAAAAGCAGCATGTACTGGTCGGGCATGGTGGCTCGCGCTTGTAATCCCAGCACTTTGGGAAGCCGAGGCAGGCGGATCACCTGAAGTCAGGAGTTCGAGACCAGCCTGGCCAACATGGTGAAACCTCGTCTCCATTGGAAAAAAAAAAAAAATTAGCCAGGCATGGTGGCAGCCACCTGTAATCCCAGCTACTTGGGAGACTGAGGCACAAGAATCACTTGAACCCAGGAGATGGAGGTTGCAGTGAGCCTAGATTTCACCACTTCACTCCAGCCTAGGTGACACAGAGAGACTCTGTCTCAAAAAAAAGGAAAGAAAAATAAAAAAAAGAAAAGCAGCATGTACAAAGGCAGGAAAAAATGAGGGTATGGGAAGTTTAAAGTATGGCAAGTATTTATTTCATTCTAATGGGGCCTAAGGTAAGGAGGCCAGGGAGGTGTGACTCTGGAGAGTCAGGCAGGAGGCACATGTTGGGTGCCATGCTGCGTGCTTGTGATTTGTATATACTGCAAGGGGTACCAGGTGTTGTTCTAGTACATTCCATGAATTAACTCCCTTAATTCTCCCAGCAACCCCATGAAGTATGTCCTATTATTGCTGCTTACAGAAGAGGAAATGGAAGCGCAGAGAAGTCCAGTAACTTACCCAAGGTCACACAGCTGGGAAGTTTGCCAAGGAGTTGGGTTTTGCCCTAAAACTGTTGAGAAGCAACTAAGAGATGTTAAGCAGGTTTAGAGAAGCCTGATCAGATTGACTTTTTCTTATTCTGGTGCCTCTCTGTTTCTAGGCTTTTAGATAATTTCTTGGCAGCCTGCGTAACTAATAAAGTATATGTCACTTTCTCATGTGGAAATTTGTATTGTTTGTTTAAATACTTAATGATTATCTCTTGGGCTTATCAATGAAGCAATCCAGTAATTGAAGTCTTCTGGAATGGGGTAGATTATAAACGGAAATTTATACTTAATGGATTTTGCTTTCCTCTTTTCTGTAATAACCTTTTGTCAGAGATAAATAGAACAATCAGTGGACTTGAAAAATACAAAAGCTTATAAATAAGACACAATATATAGCAATATATACCAAAAAGCCTTAAACTATTCAGACTCTTTTTTAGTTCACTTTAGTTCCAGGAATTAAAATAAACTCATCTTAAGTACATAATCAGGTACACTAAGTTACACATTCAAGAAGAGTGTTATTTAGGTAACAGGCATGAATTCCTCCTGATGCTTGGATACCATATAACCTTTCTAAACAAATCAATTCTGGTTTGTGACCATCAGCCAGCATTGGTGGGAAGCTCAATCTTTTTTTTTTCTTTTTTCTTTTTTTTTTAGTTGTAGTTTTCCTCTTTTATCCATCCTTTGGAATTGTGGAGAATCCTTGAACATGTACAGTACTGGAATTTAGGAAAGGTGGTTCCTAGTTTCCCTAATGAGGCTTCCATGCATATGGTGATGGCCAGCACCGCTGCTGATGACGTCACGACCCTTAGGTAGAAGTCAACCACAAAAGCTGGGTGCTACAGCTCATGCCTATAATCCCAGAAATTTGGGAGACTGAGGTAGGAGGATAGCTTGAGGCCAGACGTTTGAGACCAGCCTGGGCAAAAAAAGTTTTAAAAATTAGCCAGGTGTGGTGGTGCATGCCTGTAGTTCCAGCTACTCAAGAAGCTGAGGGAAGAGGCTGACTTGTGCCCAGGAGTTCGAGACTGTAGGGGGCTATGATGGCACCACCGCACTCCAGCCTGGGTGAGAGAGAGACCCTGTCTATTAAAAAAAAAAAAAGAGAGAGAGAGAGAAAGAAAGAAAGAAACAGAGAGAGAGAGGAAGGAAAGAAGGAAGGAAGGAAAGAGGGAGAAAGAAGAAAGAAGGAAGGAAGGAAAGAAAGAGAAAGAAAGAGGGAAAGAAAGAGAAAGAAAGAGAGAAAGAAAGAAGAAAGAAAGAAAATAAATCAGCCACAGAGACACAGGGTAGTTCCCACCATCTCCACAGTTGCTCTTCCAGGGTTCTGCCAGCTTCAGGATGCCACCACCAGCCTCTTAGGAATCCAGGCTTCTTTCCCAGTCTTGAAATACTGTGCCCTTTACTTCTAGAATTTCACAGCCCCCAGGCCTTTCCTGTCTAGGTAGGACTCCCCAGTATATTGGACTTCCAGTGGACTCACCTTCTTGAGCACAATTTTGAAAACAAGGAACTGTTAACTTGCCCCTAGGACTAAGAGAAACCCAGATTGCTATAACCCAAAGCCCCACCACTGGGCTCTAGGGAAGGAAAGAAAGACTTCTCTTGTTTTTATAATGCAGCTACAGCCTAGAAAGCAGGCACAGTTTATTCTCAATGTATTCTGCTGCATTCAATTTTTAATAAATCTTTTGATTACATTCATGATAAATCTAGAAAAACCTTAAATGTCCTATTGAGGAGATTATACACTGGAATAATATGCAGCGACTAAAGGGGTCAAATTTTTTTAAAAAAAAAACCATTTTAGTGATTTGAAAACCGGATCTTGATATTCCCATGTTTTAAAAGTAGGTTGCAAAGCAGGGTATGCAATTTAAGACCAATCTCAGAATTTATTTACACACACACACACAATACTCTGTCACAGACAATCAGTGCTTGTCTCAAGAGTAGAGGGATTATGATTGAGGTTTATTTTCCTTATTATGCCTCTGTGCACTTTTCCAACTTTCCCGATTTCTTCGTATACTTGAATTACTTTTGTAATAATACTCCCTGGCACAGTAAGTACAATGATGCTTGTGTGTGCGTGTGCGCGTGTGTGTGTGTGTGTGGCATTGGTCCTTTTCTTGGAGTGCTTACCTCATGTAAATGAAGTACCGACCTGTCCCAACAGACTTTGGTTGGGAATAAGAAATTAACTTGAAAAGAGAATAAAATAACAACGTGGAAAGAAAAATACAACATACAGAAGGTATAAGACAAAAACTTAAATATTTATCAGGATAACAGTACTGTAGTATTTTTAAAATACTTTTTGTTTCTCCTTTAGTGATATAATCAATGATACAAATATATATTTTGTTTTGGCCAAAATTAGCTTTTGAGCAATGTGTAATATTCAGTAATAGGCCTAATGTTTGGATATCTGTGTTGAATAGTGGATCTTTTTTTTTTCCGAGACAGAGTCTCGCTGTGTCGCCCAGCCTGGAGTGCAGTGGTGTGATCTCGGCTCACTGCAACTTCCACCTCCCGGGTTCAAGCAATCCTCCCTGCTCAGCCTCCTGAGTAGCTGGGATTACAGGCGCCTGCCACCACGCCTGGCTAATTTTTTTATATTTTTTCGTAGAGACGGAGTTTCACCATGTTGGCCAGGCTGGTCTTGAACTCCTGACCTCAGGTGATTCGCCCACCTTGGCCTACCAAACTTCTGGGATTGCAGGCATGAGCCACCATGCCCGGCCTGAATGGTGGATCTTTTACTAATTTGCTGTGTGATTAAGAACAAGTTGATAACCTCTCTGGATGACTTTACTCAAGTAATCTTTACTCAAAGATTACTTTGTCCATCTTTCATTTTTACTTTGTTATTTAACAAATGCTTCCATCGCACCACTATGTGCCAGACACTCTTCTAGGTGTTTTGCAGATATTAACTAAGGTAATCCTCAGTACTATCCTATGGGAAAGGTATCATTCATTATCCTTACTGTATATGTATAAGAAAACTGAGAAACAAAGAAGGGTCAAAAATTCATCCAAGGTCACACAGATAGTAAGTAACAAAATCAGGATTAGAATACCGACTGTCTGGCTTCAGATTCCATTATATTGACCTCCGTATTATGTTATGCTGGACTAAATGACATTTACATGTCAATAATTTATTGTGTGTAAAACACCTGGACAGTCTCAGCCATACTACTTCCCTGTACTTCCAAAATCTCTTTATCTTTTTGTCTCCTGAATTTTCATTTGGAAATCTAATTGAGAAAACTATCAAATGTAGTCACTCACTGGACCCCACAATTAGCTGAAAGCTGGGGATATTTTCAGACCTTGAAAAATGTGAACTTTAATGGGAGGTCCGTTAGGATAAGCAAATTTGGACATAGAAAGAGAACGTAGTCTGCCAGGATCTATGAGATGACCCTAATTGATGGAGAGCCAACTGAGCTCTGGGATGATGGCACCTTCTGTTGAGATGATGATGATTATTATTATTTTTAATGACACTAATACATAACAAGTACCAATCAGGTGCTAGATACTGTGATATATATATATGTGCTAGACACTGTGATATATATATATATATATATATATATACTTGTTATGTATTAGTATACTGTATATATACATATATATACACACACACACATACAAACACACAGAATAGTGCATTTTTCCAAAACTTGGTCATATATTCATATATGTGTGTGTGTGTGTGTGTGTGTGTGTGTGTGTGTGTCATCTAATACTCATAACAACCTTCTGAAGAAGTGAAGCTTAAAATTTGATTCCGTGACTTGCCTGGAGTAACGCTACTAGTTAAGTTGCAAAACTGAGACTACAATTCAGGTTTGTCTTACTACAGAGCTTAAACTCTTAACCAGTCTGTCATATCCAATTACGACTTTATAAAAATAGGCAAACTGGTAGAATTCCAGCTAAGGTTAGACTCACTGTTACCTATCCAGTGAAAACTTTAGGCGTGGTGAACCGAATAAAGAAAAATGGCCTGAGAGAGGAGCCACCTGGAAGGCGACTGCCTTGTGTAAGTGGACCAAAACCTAGCGAAGAAGGCTTTGGAAATTTCTGCACCCTGGGGGCCGAGGACCAAGGGCATAAGGCCTTGTGATGCTCCTGAATGGAAGCACCACGGAACATGGCTAATGACAGGAAGCTGCAGTCTATGAAACTTAGTAGATTTTGGAAGCATAGCAAATGCCCCCATTCTTCGGAGCTAAACAAACTCAAATCTTAGAGAAGTTTGGTGTAGGGTTCAGTTAAAAGATGAATGAGTACGGCCAGGCGCGGTGGCTTACCCCTGTAATCCCAACACTTTGAGCGGCCGAGGCAGGCAGATCACAAGGTTAAGAGATTGAGACAATCCTGGCCAACATGGTGAAACCCTAGTTCTACTAAAAATACAAAAATTAGCTGGGCGTGGTAGCGCACGCCTGTACTCTCAGGTACTCAGGAGGCTGAGGCAGGAGGATCGCCTGAACCCAGGAGGCAGAGGCTGCAGTGGGCCGAGATCATGCCATTGCACTCCAGCCTGGTGACAGAGCGCGACTCAGTCTCAAAAAAAAAAAAAAAAAAAAAAAGATGAATGAGTAAATCTCATTCACATGACTGGATCCAAGAGATGAATTACTGAAGCGGTCTTGAGAGGACAATTCTCAACTCATTTATGTTTTAATTAAGACCAAGAGAAACTAATCCCTTTAAGAGTTCTTGTGATTATTTAAATCCCTCATCTTTGCATCCATGAAATTGAGTGCAGGAGAATGACTTGAAAAATAAAGAGATTTGTTCCTTTGTTTCTGAAAAGAAAAGGTAGGAGTAGGGAGAAAGTGGAAAAGAGAAAGCTAAACGGGAAGAGTTGGGGAGGAAAGACAAGAGGCAGAGAACAATCCAAGTAGAAGGAAAGCTGGTGATTGGTCAAGAGGCCAATGGGTTACTTCTCATGCACCTGCAGGAGAGAGAAAGAAAACGTGGTCCAAGAACAAAAATAGACGCTGGGAATTACTTTTGTATGCCTGGACACCTCCTCCATCCCAAAACTGATGGTGACTTACCAGTGGTCCCTGGGCATGGTGGGTGAAGGCTGAGGTGGGGGACACATAGCAACTGAAGATGGGGAAGGCCCATTTATCCCTATCATAGCGGTTTCCCTTTGTCACAAATGAGGATTTCAAGTTAAAATATAGAATCATGAGAGTTTGCATCCAGCTATTCATCATGTTAAAGAGATAGTTTATGTCATATAAAATACAACCGTGCATTTTTCCAAAATCAGGTCATCATCATACACATACAAATCTTACGTAAAGATAAGCACTGTAAACAAATGTTGAATTCTAGTGAAACACTTCAGCAGGCACATCTTTAGGAGTGAAGTGTGCTGATGCCTGCAACTTACTTATAAGTGCATCAAAACAATAAGATGGAGTGATGGGTGAATAGAGGGGTGGATAGTTGGATAGATACGTGACAAAACAAGCACAGTACACTGTTATTCATAGAGTCGAGGTGGTTTGTGTATGGGTGCTCACAATTTTTTAGCTTTTTTGTATGTTCACAAAAATGTATAATAAAATGTTGGGAAAAAATCTTACTAGAGATAAGAGGTTATTTAAAAAGACGGCACCCAGACACAACATAACCGACCTTTTTTGATTATGCCATTAAAAATAAAAAGCCTCACTGAATACAGAGTGCTTTCTTTTATCTTTACCTATTTCTTTTGTCTTGCCTGCCTTTTTCTCTTGGCAGACTAGTATAACACAAATATTGGTACTCGGTAAAGGCGTGTTTTATTACTACGCTTAAAACTTGGGGGAAAATATACTATGCTGTTGTTCTTGTGGAATATGTTAACTAGAGAAATCCAACTGTGATTGTCAACTAGGAATATCCTGTTTGGTTATATGTAAAAATGCATTTTTTCACTACAGCATTTGTTAACTAGTTAATAAATAGCCAAGAAATATTAATATATTGTCTATGAAGAATTTTAGTTTAGTTTAGATTTTCGTTCCCTGCTAGCAATGAGGTAAAATAGAAAATACACTAATATCCAGAAGTGACTGCACTTGTTAGGTGGCACTGTTACTCATTCTGTCTTAAAGCATAACACATTTGGGTGGACCCTATGCATATGTTCCTGTGTGTTTAAATTTTAAATCACTCTTTGTAACTGCAGCTGATGTTCTGGAGTGATTGAGAGTTTTCAGAAGTAAAGAGGAGGAGATAATTTTTAACCTATTTTTCTCATTCCCACCAAAAAATAAAATAAAATAAAATACTGTTAACCCATGATTGTCTAAGATTTCATGTAAATTAACTCATACTTTCATAGTTGATTCTTTATTTTCAATTACCTACAAATGTAAAGTGACTCTATGTCTTTTTCACCTATGTCATGCTTATCCAGAGCATTATAAGTAAGATATATCTATAAATAGCAAAAACATTGCCAGTAATGGATTAAAACTTATCTGATGAATGTATTTTAAAGTGTTATGTTTATTTATGTTCAATTACTTAAATAAAGTTGAAAAGAAAAACTGATTGCAAAGAAACAAAGGAGTTAGGATTTTTAAAGTTAGCAGCTCTATATAATGGATCTCATCTTTTTTATGGCAAAACAAGTGAATTTCAATATAAAGTATAACATGCAATAGTAAACTGTTGCTCATATTTTATATAAAAGACTAATAGTCTGGCACTTGCATCCTAAAGAAACAAGACATTTTCCAAGACTGTAAAGTATAAATACCTGAATGATCAAACGATAAGCTTCAAATTATCCATTTTTATCAAGTGAATATAATTAGTTTCTAATGAGACCCAAGAAAGTGACAAAAGTCTGATTTGAAAGTATTCTTAGATGATCTTAGGATTCCTGTATTACTTAAACATCAGACATGTAAACCGATCTGCTCAAACAATGATTACTCTGTTCAAACCTGAACTACTAAACAGCTTTAAAATGCTAGAAATTAAAAACCCTTTGCAGAATATCCAGACTATGTTTTCATAATAATAATAATAATAATAATAATAATAATAATAATAACATGCTAGCACATAGGCAGTGTGGGCTTTTGAAAAGTCCTTTGTCACTAAGTCAAGCCTCTTTCCTGAAAGATAAAAATAATGGGTTCAGTATTAGAAAGCTGAGCTATCTAAAGAAAACAATATAGTAACATAATTGATATATACTGAATTGCTTACTATTTTTAAACAAATTATTCACTAAGTAAAACTGTTTTCCCCTTCTTTTTGAAAAGCATTAAAACCTTGAGTGTATTTAGTTAGATAAAGGGAACAAAAACTATATTTAAATCACTTTTAAAAATACCACGTTTTCATTTGTACTTAGAAAAACACAAAGGAAAAAATTTGGGAGTTATCTCAAGGGTAGTGAGAATAACAATAAGCAGAAAGTAACAATAAGCAGAAAGAAAAGATAACATAAAAAAGCACATTCTTGCTGAAAGCACACAATGAAAAACATATTCAATTATACAAATGATGAGAAACACAACTTACCTGCTCTGACAAAGGTATTTGTTGGGTCACAGGATAAGGGAAGGGGTAAAGCTGTGATAAAGGATTGAGGAACATATCAGAGCTAAGAATCTCAAGCAAAAACCCCAGAACGTTAGAAAGGTGTGTTTCAAAACCTACCTTCCTCCCAGATGGTGGTCATACCTCTGAAGCCCTACCTTCGATAATCACACTTAAATCACTTGACTAGCAGAAACCCACATACTACCTTCACACTATTGAAAGTAAAATTCCAGAAGCCATTGTGCCTATTAATGATTACAGTCTGTTCTCCAGGGAGGATTGATGATCCATGCCACCTTCTCAGGATGGCACAATTACCCTGAGATGAACCGTGCAGCCTGTCCCAAAAAGTTCTCTTTAGTACAGACTTCTACTCCAGAGTGACCAGACACAAACATAGCCGAAGTTGTACCGAAGCTTCATTTAATCACTGAATTGAACATGCATGCTTTTAATAAAAGCTGTACAGAGTTATTACTGATTGTATCTCCTGAGCTTCTTTGCAATCTGAGAGGTTTTTGACACATCACACCAGGACTAAACTTCCCTGAAAGGATTTCTAACCTGAAAGAGACAGACAGGGGTTTCAAAGAAGAAACAAACACATATGCTACATCTCGGCTGCATTTTAAAATTACTCTCCCAGAACAGCATCCTCCCTCCCTTTTAGTAAACACAGGCTTGTATACATTAAAATAAAGAGGGTATATAAATTAACAAGTCAATGCTCTTCTGTATCAAAAAACAGTCTCCCAACCCATGACAGGCTCTCCATTTCCCCAAACACATTTGGGGTAGAGGCATTGGAAAAAAGCGAAAATGTGAACCAAAGGAAAGAAATATTGTAACCTAGGAGAATGTTCTTTGCTAGGCATTCACAGTTAAGGTAGCAGGGTGTGCGTGCACATACACACATACACACACACACACACGATGCCACTTTTGTTCCAGTGCGAGATAGCTTCACGGGTGCCGGGCATGGTGACATACAATGGATATCAAAACCGTACAGTCAGTCTTAGCAAATTAGGTAAATTAGAGATCATTTGATGGTATTCTATTGTTGCTATTGTAATCACCGTAATTTTCCCTGGTAATGGTGCTTCGTGATGAAGTGCTGTTCTCATAGGATAATTGTGAAAGATACCGAAAGATTCAGGGATGCAGCATCTGGTTTTAAAAGCTCTTCAGATTCAAATTGGCATTTTACTTTATCTTGAAAATTTATGAGAGATTCAGATCATGCCGGCTTAAATGGAAAGGTGAAAGCAGGGTAATTTCAATCTATGAATTATTCAATCTCAGCCTGGTGAAATTGCCATCCATGAACTGATGCTCTGACAGTCCCTTCGCAGAGCCTCCATTACGCTTGTCATTTTTATTTCTTTATCTACGATCTCTTCCTCAGTTACCGAGCTTGTCCCTTAGGGCTCAGCTTCACAAACCAAGTATTTCAAATTGGCAATAACCTAAATGTGCCGCTGTTTCGAATCGCTGTCTCCACAGGCTGTCTTTTTTTGTTTTTTCCAAATTATTAAAAATCACATCCATGATGATATTTGTTGGGCTCTTCGATTAGATGAATTAAAACACACACACACACACACACACATACACCACACACAAGGGCATCACTGCGAAGAAGAGTTATGTTCCGCTAACATCACAAGAGAAGAGAAAGTGATGCTTTCTGCTTCCTTCTTTGTTGTCAGCATGACCCATCCTAGCTGCATAGCATCACGCAGAAAGGAGCCAGGGCTAAAGGCGGCTTGCCTGGCACCCTGATTTCCAGCCAGAGTTGATGAGGACTGCATGGCAGGCAGGCTAATCCAGACAACTGTATACTTAGCGAGCACGATTATTTAGGAAAATAAGGAAAAGCCGTTGGATGACCGAAATTAGACTGTCATTCTCCCGGGCTCCACCTGCACACAGACTGCAGTCGCAACGATTCTCCACTTGATGGCTGGTTGTGTCACTGCTAGTCGACAGCTGTCCCGCATCCAGAGAGGACTGGGAGTGATTTAGGTCAGGGAGTCTGGTTTCTCCTTTAAACCGTGCGCTAACTGAGGAGTGGGGATCTGCGCCAGCCCCGTGACCAGCCTTAAATGTGAGCTGGGGAGTCACACAGCATCAGTGCGGTGAGTCGCTCGCACAGGCCCCAGCCAGACAAACCATAGCAAGCATCCTCTCCTTTGTCCTAGCCTTTATTCCTGCAGGTAGAGCAGCGTGGCATAAGAAGCCCCCAAACTATTCACACACATGGTGGGAGACCAGCCGTGCTCCATCAGAGGCGGTTTGGTTACAAGTCTCCGAGCAGTACCTGCTCAGCTGAAAATTCACGCTGCCAAGTTAGAAGCCATCGTGTACATTCAGGATGCATCTCTGCTCCTGGCTAAACAAAGGTAAATACTCCTCATGTAAGACATGCTAAGTAGTAGCAGGAGAAGAAAACTTTAAAACTCTGTTGCTTTGTGCCTAGTTGTCTGCTTCTGCTTTGCTGCATTGCGACTGGGAAACTGCAGGAGCTGGAGCTGGCAGTTGCGATAATGCAGAAAGCAGCAGCTCTGACACAGCAGTCAGCTGACTTGCGGGGTGTTATCATTCAATGTCCTCTGCAGAATCAGACCAGTTTCTAAGGTGGCACCAGACAGATGACCTTCAATGGAAAGAGAGGCTTAAGGAGTGCAGTTTTTCTCCATCCACACCTGGCAGGGACATCTTACATTGCTTTTCTCTCAAGCAGAGTTTTTAATTCATAGCCTTTAGGACTTAACTATTTCTGTCCTGCTTGCTAAGATGGCAGGTAATTCTTAGGGTGACCACCCCAATGTGAACATAAGTTAAAGCCATCGCTGCCCCTCTCGCTTTGGCTGGTTTCAGCGTTGTGAGAATGATTGCGGGAGAATTCCTGCCCACATTTTGTTTGAAAAACACACTTCTTTTTTAACAGGTAGAAATGGCCTTAAGCTACTTGTATGCTGTAATGAACTAGTCAATTGTACCTAACAGAATGGCAAGAGCAAGAGGGAAAACTCGAAGGTAAATTAGTTCAGCACTAGCCTTAAATCATGGTCCAGTTGCTGTAAGGCAGTGTGCATGCTCTATCGTGAAACGCAGGTTGTACAACCCAATTAATCTGACAATGGAGCAAAAGCCTTATATGGTATTACCCCAGTGGTTTGAGGAATTGCTAAAATAAGAAGGCAGTCATTACCAGGCATTTGTTTAATGACTGTAATCATACTGAATTAATTTAACTTGCTGCGATGTTTAACAGAAAGTCAATTATAAATTTGTGCTAAAAAGAATAACAATACCAGTATTTGCATAGCACCTTCCTCTGAGGAGACACCCTCAGAAGATTACCTCATAGCCTCAACATTTACGGAGCACTCAGAATGTGCTAAGTGCTCTACAGAACCATCCGTGACCAGCCTCTCTGAGGACAGGTGCTTATGTTTCTAAGCGAGAATGATATACACCATCTTGTATGAAAGCATACGAGGAACGCCACCCTGACCTGTGCTACTCACTTTGTAAGGGATTTCCGTGATTTTTCCCACTTCTGCCCTATGGATTGTATTTTTCTGTTTGTATCTCATTTGGTTCTTTTGATATGAATGAACAATGTGAACTTTGACATGAAAATGTTTCTAGACAGCAGAGAGGTTAAAACTAGAAGAAAGAGCATCATCCCTATAATGACAGCATTACAAAGAGTATTAAGTGATATTCAAATAAGGGACCAACTCCACTTTTAGGGTGAGCCGCAGACCCATGCTCAGAAGTGCCAAATACAGTCTTCTCTTCTTGCACCTTTTCCTACACTCAATAGCAGAATCCAATAGTCTCATAAACTTACCTTGCTAACCCCTTTCAAAACTTGCTATGAGGAGATGAGCCCAAATGATACAAATCACCAGTAAGTTTTACTGTAACTCCTTAGAGGCACTTCTATTTTTGAAGAAAATAAAGCTTCTGGAAAAGGTGTGGCCATCTAACTGTGAAATTTCAAGTATCAATTCTCAAGGTAGGAAATCATTTCTGAGGGGTGAGGAGCTTTTCTAGGGAGGCCACTTCTGCTTCATCATATGGCAGGCTCGGTGCCCATCTCCCAATGCTCATAGGGAGTATTCAGCTGGGAAGCCCCTACAGCCAATTTGTGCCATGAACGTTGGTGATCAGTCTGGGTCCTTGGGGCAGGAGAGACTCTGACAGCATCTCACCCTCCTCGAGGGCATCCCATTTTTGCTCGAGAGTTTTCTAAGGTCCTTGCTCACCAAGAAGTAGCTCAAGCTTTGGTATTTTTTGAAAACTCTCCCAGGTGCCATATTCTACCATATACCCAAGATTAAGAACCACTGATGAAATAATGTCATGTGTTATTTTTTTGCACCTGTGAATTTGTGCTTGGAAATTCAAATACACTTGTATGTTATAGCATGAGGATGAAGAAATGAAAATGAGCCCTTAAATTTATCTATTCTTTACTGTTAAAATTCTTTACTAATCAATGATCTGGCACAGTGGCTCACGCCTGTAATCCCAGCACTTTGGGAGGCCGAGACAGGTGGATCACCTGAGGTCAGGAGTTCAAGACCAGCCTGGTTAACATGGCGAAACCCCTTCTCTACTAAAAATACAAAAATTAGCCAGGCGTGGTGGTGGGCTTCTGTAATCCCAGCTACTTGGGAGGCTGAGGCAGGAGAATCACTTGATCCAGGGAGGTAAATGTTGCCATGAGCCAAGATCATGCCATTGCGCTTCAGCCTGGGCGACAAGAGTAAAACTCCATCTCAAAAAAAATAAAATAAAATAAAATAAAATTCTGTACTAATCAATAAAAAGAAAATAATTTTAATAGAGAAAACCTATATAGCTGTGATTGACCCATATGTGGGGACAGTCTAGCCACATGTAGTAGGTACACTCTCCCACAGCTTCTTCTTGTCTTACAGCACTCACTGCCCGCCTGTGTCATAATGTTTTGTTCACCTCATGTCCTCCTCTGTGAATTTGGGAGTTCTTTGAAGATGGGGTATGACATTTATCTCACTGGTCCCAGTGCCTTCAGCCGACCTGGCAAGTGGCAGGTCTCCACAGTATTCATTACAGGAGTGAGGCAATGTAAAGTCACCTTCCTGCGGACGCAGTGGCTCATGCCTATAATCCCGGCACTTTGGGAGGCCGAGGCAGGCAGATCACCTGAGGTCAGGAGTTGGAAACCAGCCTGACCAACATGGAGAAAACCCGTCTCTACTAAAGTCATCTTCCTGTTAGACAAGAAAGTTTAGAGACATCCAACTCTCCAACATGAGAACATAAAAGTTTTTCTTTCATTGTAGATTATCTTGAAATCACATGCTTCCCCATAAGGGAGAGAATGTTATTTTTCAACTATAAACATTGACCTAAAAACTATATAGCAAATAATTTTTTAAAAAAAGGAGGGAGGTGGAAAAATGGATAACATGCTTTGTGAAAGAAAGTCAATCAAAACTCTATATCCCTAATAAATTTCCGTTAATTTTAGATATTTATTCAGAAGAAAAAGGTATACATTTTCTTTTCCTTTTGCACTTTGAGAGAGTCCAATGAGGAGAGTGGCTCTTAATTCCTTTGCTAGAAATCTCCCCTCTTCAGCACCGAGGAAGGAAAACATTCTCTTCCTAAAGATTTTTTTTTTTTTTTTGCGCCATACACTCTCTAGCACTCTTGAGAAGTCTGTGGATTACTTTTCAATAATACTTTTATATGCATATGCAATACAATAAATAGGATTACACAGGAAACTAATTATATTAAATACCCTCACCTTTGCCTTAGAAAATCAAAATACTTCCAAAGTGAAATCACGAAGTGACTTTGATTGTCTCTGTTCCAACTATTACCCAATAAGGAAGCAAGTTAAAGAAAAGCCTAGACAAGATTAGGGGGTGGGAAGGGGAATAGATAACTGTATGTAATGAATTTCATTAAACTTAAGATTGAATGTTTCTTCTTAAAAGTAACCTTTTTAGTTACTAGCAGATTCCCCAACTTCACATTTAAAAAGAAATACTATGGGCCCAGCATGGTGGCTCACACCTGTAATCCCAGCACTTTGGGAGGCCAAGGTGGGTGGATCATTTGAGATCAGGAGTTCATGACCAGCCTGGCCAACATGGTGAAACGCTGTCACTACTAAAAATATGAAAATTAACCAGGCATGGTGGCTCACGCCTATAATCCCAGCTACTTGGGAGGCAGAGGCTGGAGAATCACTTGAACCCAGGAGGTGGAGGTTGCAGTGAGCCGAGTTCGTGCCACTGCACTGCAGCCTGGGCAACAGAGAGCGTCTCCATCTCAAAAAGAAGCAAAAAAAAAAAAAAAAATACTATGTTGGCTTTCCCTGATTAATTCACATGGAATAAACCCTTCCTCAGGTGCCTTGAAAAAAAAATTAAGTAAAAGCAATTGATTCTTTCAACTTTCTTGTTTTGCAGTTGAGGAAGGAAACTGAAGCTCAAAATAGTTGAGTCATGCTACAGCATCATATAAGAGGCAGAAGAGCCCAAGGCTCTGTGTCCTAAACCTACATCAGACTCTCTCCATTACATATTAACAGACAGGGGTGTGCTGGAGCCAGGTGGTGAGAGAGACAATTTTTAAATATTCAGGAATTTTGCAACCTGGGTACTAAACCATTGGCAGCTTGAAATCAACCATAGAGGGAGTATTTGCACCACAAAAATTGGCAAACATTACAATTCAAGATTGTTGCTTTTTAAAACAGCTGGGCCAGGAGCAGTGGTTCATGCCTGTAATTCTAGCACTTTTGAGTGGCCAAGGCAGGAGGATCACTTGAGGCCAGGGATTCAAGACCAGCCTGGGCAACCTAGTGAGACTGTATAGAAAGATATCCAAAGTAGGCTGGGTGCAGTGGTTCACGCCTGTAATCCCAGCACTTTGGGAGGCCAAGGCAAGTGGATCACCCGAGGTCAGGAGTTCAAGAGTAGCCTGGCCAACATGGTGAGACCCCGTCTCTACTAAAAATACAAAAATTAGCCAGGCATGGTGGTGTACGCCTGTAGTCCCAGCTACCTGGGAGGCTGAGGCAGGAGAATCACTTAAACCCGGGGGGCCGAGGTGGCAATGAGCTGAGATTCCGCCACTGCACTGCAGCCTGGGCAACAGAGTGAGACTCAGTCTCAAAAAAAAAAAAAAGTGAACAGAAAAATATACAAAGATATTAAAATTTTTTTTTAATTAGCAATGTATGGTGGCGTGTGTCTGTAGTCACAGCTACTTGGGAGGCTGAAGCTGTATCTCTTGATCCAGCAGTTAGAAGCTGCAGGCTGCAATGAGCCATGATGGCACCTACTGCACTTCATCCTGGATGACAGAGCAAGACCTTGTCTCTAAAACAAAACAAAAAAACAAAAAGCAAAAAGAAAAGAAAATTGGTTTATATGTTCTAATATATTTAATTATGCCAGTTTGTTTCATGTGTTCATTTATTTCAATCCCCAAATCCAAAATGCTTAAAAATAAAAATCCCAATGGTTAAGCCTAAAGCTCTTGGGTCAGTTGGCCTATGTTTGAGTCCTGCCTATACCACTAATTATCTGTGTGACCTTGGACAAGTTGATCCCCTTCTCTGGGACTCATCTTCCTCTTGTGTCACACAGGGCTGATAATGTGTCCTTCTTAGATAGTTATGTACACTACACGAAGTGGCGCATTTAAACCACTTAATAGCATGGATCCTCACACAGGCACGCCTCCCCTGGCCTTTAGCTATGGTTATTTTCCTCTTGTTTCTCCTCCTTCTTCTTTCTCCTTTTCAATTGTTCATCACGGTAGGTTGACATTATTTGGACTGATATTGAAAAAAGGCATTTTAAAGAGATTATTAACAACAAACAAACAAACACACAAAAACACCATATACAACCAACGTGGGATTCTAGAGAATGGAGATTTATCCTGTTGTTCCTGCCTCTTATGGTGCATGGATATTTAAAGGGCTAGTGCTATTTCTGTATAAATTCTGTAATCATAGCATTACAATTCAACAGGGTTATTATCGATAGGCATAGTTTCAGCATGATTTTAAAGATTTTAGAGAAACCAGATTAAAACCATGTACTGTATTAAGGGTCGCTGTATCCAAAATGTACAATCAAGCCTCTTACCCTTACAGGTAACATAGCTTTATTCTTGACTATGTTTTTACTTGCAGAACCTAACGTCAATCTGTACACCTGCTGAGACATACTGTCTTTTTCAGAGCTAAGCGCTCCTCTGTTAATGAGATTAAGCTTTGGGGGAAGAGGCTTTGCCTAAAGTCCCCAGAGGACTCAGTCCACAAAGGCCAAGGAGTTGGAATGTCATATCGGCCCTGTCAGTGGGCCACGAGCCAGGGAGACATCTCCCCTTTGCTTTTGCTGTTGGCCTTGGCTTGCCCATGGAATGGGTCCCACAGATTCTCTGCCGCCAGAGTGTTATGGAAAGCAAGATCACTACCCCAGGGAGAGGGAAGTGAAGCAGCTGAGGAGAGGTGGTGCAGAAGCCCTCTAACTTCCACCCATCCCGGCCCAGCCACAAAAGCACAAAAAGAGAATAACGTTATCACCGTGGTACCCAAGGTTCAAATACAATCCCCTGTAAAAGAGAATACAGAGTAAAGTCAGAAACAGTTATTACAGACCCAGAGTTCCAGGCAATAAGTTCTGTAAGTTCAAAGAAAGGGAAGAGCATGCTGCTCTCCTTGCCCTGTCTCCTTCTGCAGTGTGGGTCTCCTGGCCCAGCCACTTTGGGCTTGTTCATTTTCAGAGCGAAAGGTCTACTTCCAAAAATGGCATCAGGTGTGACAAATGGCTGGGCTATGGCCCAGGAGACATCAGCCTTCCAGCTCCTGCAGAAAATGTGTTTGAGCCCAAATATGAATTCTGTATAACAGAGAACTGCAAGAAGAGGAATAGAAACAATTACCATTTGCTGAGTGTCTACAATGTCCTAGGTACACATGGTATCTTAATCTTGCCAATCATATTAATACATTCAATTATAAGTACATGGATAGGACTTTCTCCTTTTTCCCAAAGTTAATAAGATATAATTGACAAATAAAACTTTTGTATATTTAAGGTATATGACATGATGTTTTGTTTTGTTTTGGCTTTTTGAGATGGAGTTTCACTCTTGTCGTTCAGGCTGGAGTGCAATGGTGCGATCTTGGATCACCGCAACTTCCGCTTCCTGGGTTCAAGCGATTCTCCTGCCTCAGCTTCCCAAGTAGCTGGGATTACGGGTGCCCGCCACCACTCCCAGCTAAGTTTTGTATTTTTAGTAGAGATGGGGTTTCACCATGTTGGCTAGGCTGGTCTTGAACTCCTTATCTCAGGTGATCCACCGGCCTCAGCCTCCCAAAGTGCTAGGATTACAGGCATGAGCCACCGCACCCAGTCCATGATGTTTTTATATACATATACATTGTAAAATGATTGCCACAATCAAGCTAATTAACATATCTATCACATCACATAGTTACCATTCATATAGCTTTCTGTAGCCAGAGTTCCAAGTGCATTACATGTAATAACTCATCTAATCCCTACAACAACCCTGTAAAGGAAATATTACTATTATTCCCACAAGAACTCCAGTAGGTAGTATTATGATGCCCTTTTCAGAAAAAAAAAAAAAAAAAAAAAAAAAAAAGCATGTGGAGTGCATGCTGTTTAAATTACACATCTGGTGAATGCAGGCTGCTGGATTCAAACCCAGACGTGTCTAATCTAGATTCAAATTCAAATCTTGCCCTCTTAACCATTAATATTCAAATATGGGCATCTTTCAAATTAGTGTTTAGTTGTGATAGGCTCCAAGGGGATTGGAAGATCTTACAGAAAGAAGGAAAAAATAGAAATTAGACTTGGAATCACTCAGGGGAAGGTTTAAAGTCTAAGAGTTGGTGAGTAGAGAGACTCTGTCCCATAAGAATTATCAGAAAATTGGGCTTTTTCATTAAAGTGTTCCTTAATAATATTTGAATTTGTTGGTGTGCTGGTAAATTGGCTCTCTGGGGTGGGGGTTGGAGGGAGACCTGACTTGTAGTGTTTGCCAGTATCTGTGGTGTAAACACTCCCATCATGGCTGATTTCAAGATTGCAACAGCTTAACAACCTGTTTGCAAAATTGCTGGGTATTTAACAATTAGCTCTCATAAGCCAGTAGGAGCTGGCTTCAAGACACCACAATTTGGACTCAAGTAGCAGATTATTCTGCCCTGCTCTAGAAGCCGTCCGTATCCTTTTATAATACCTATACATTCAAGGCAGATTAAAGGCGGAGTCCTCTGGTGTTTAAAGATCTGAGGTAGTCCTCTGTGTGCTTCCTGCTGTCCCTCCCAAACTGGGTGCTTTTACTTCTTGTATTTAATGGCAATATTTTTAGTTTGTTGTTCTTGATTTTAAAAGGAAGTTGAGATGTTTATGTTTCTCTTCCCTTGACCATCAAATAAATCTAACACATGTGGGTGGCTTTGTAAGTGGAGCGGCCTTTGATTGACTGGGTAAAAGGTTTCCTCACCCTTGGGAAGTGGACCAGTCTTTAGGAGACCTAAGGCACCTGCAGGTGTATGTTTATGTGTGCATGTGAATACACATGCATGCATCCAACAATATTTACTGCTATCCCTGTATAAGCCAGGAGTGTGTATGAACACATAGCACTCACCATTTTGGATTTGCACCTGTTCCTAAGTGCTTTCCCACAATATTTTGAGGCCCCAACATCCATGGAAGTCCCTCTGTAAGCACATGATTACCATGAGGTCGTGATATGAATTCAGACCTAACAAATTAAATGGCAAATTAAATGCTTTGAGAAACCATGTAACTCTAAGGATAATCACCATTTTCTGTGTAATTTTTTTTTTTTTTAGCTCTTTGGGGCTGCGAATTTGTAAAGCACACATAACTAAATGAATAATTACATAGCAAGGGGCTGAAAGGTAACTGCAAAATAATTGCATGCTATATGATCCCTCCATGAAAACATGTTTAATAGAATATTCCCCTAAAGTGGTTCTTTTACCTATGGCACACTTTAAGGTTGTTCTTCCAAAAAAAAAAAAAAAAAATTCTGTTTAATCCTAAGCTATAACTCCTTTGAAGAATATTTGGTAAAATACAAAAAGTGTAGGCTCTACGTGTACATTAAAAAGCTAAGTATGAAGCTTGGATTTTTTTCTACATTATGTAAACACTATAAGCTTTTCGAAGTTGATATCAAATGCAGTCTATTTTTGGAAAAACACAGTGATGCAGGGTTTTTATTTGCTTAACATAGGGCTCTTTCTAGCATCTGGATGTGCTTCCAAAGTGTTTTCCAAGTCCAAGTGTTGCTAACTTCTTATTCCATGTTATTTTATTTATTTATTTTTATTTTTATTTTTGAGACAGAGCCTCACTCTGTTGCCCAGGCTGGAGTATAGTGGCATGATCTTAACTCACTGCAACCTCTGCCTCCCAGGTTCAAGCAATTCTCCTGCCTCAGCCTCCCAAGCAGCTGGGATTACAAGCACGCACCACCACGTCCAGCTAATTTTTGTATTTTTAGTAGAAACAGGGTTTTGCCGTGTTGGCCAGGCTGGTCTCGAACTCCTGACCTCAAGTGATTCACCCTCCTCGGCCTCCCAAAGTGCTGGGATTACAGGTGTGAGTCACCGCATCTGGCCTATTCCATTTAATTTTAATAGCAAGTTCAATTGCATGTCTTTCTTTTTCTCTCTCCCATTCTTGCACTCTCTCTCTCTTCTCACTTCAGGAATAGAAACTAATGTAGGTCAGAGATAAAACTAAGTAAGTGTGTGTATGTGGCATGGGGAAGAGATCTTTGCGCTAGGAATTAGTAGACATTGGGCAAAGCAGTTACCTTTCCTATCTTATAGTTTTAAGCTGGGAATGTAAACATTTTGTGAGTACTGCACACAAAGGCATAATGCATGTGAATGTGCTTTTAAAAGTTTGAAGTGCTATTTAAAAATACACCCACAAATGTAATTGAATTCTCTAACATTTGGAGTAATTCTATTGATCTAAAATGATGTAGTTGCATAGTGCTACTCACTCTCCATCCCCACGGCTCCTGGACCCCACCTCTCATTCCATTCCTCTCCTCTCTTTAGTGATTTTTTATTCTAATCATGTTCTGTAAATGGTCAGGAGCCAAAAGCTGCAAAAAGTCAAATAAGTATCTGGTGAAGAAATTATCCTTTGTGCCATAACATGATACTAAGTTAATTACTGTTTCGCTTCTACCTTTAAGAAAGTTGAGGATTTTTCCTTGAAGAATATTGCTTGCTTCAATGACTGCATACAGAAGTGGCCTAAGAGTTAAAATTACCAAGTATCAGAACTTTCCAACACCACCAGTGTTCTTAATATCTTCTAGATGATGAAGTTTAGAAATATAATTATATTACATTTGCAATAGATGCTTAAGGCTTTCCATGCCTTTGTGAAATTATTTGCTTCTAAAGTGTTTTGCCAAAGTGAGTCAGATTTTTTTCCCGTTCTCAGAGGATGTGGTGCTGGAGAATGACAATCCCAGGGTAGATGCAGACTGACAGTGGAATTTCTTTCCTTGGATCCTTCCTGTCAGTAGTGCTTACTATGCTGATAATTTTTTTTTCCTTTAAGCTCTGTTGGACTTGAATATGCTGATAATTCAAAATGGAACCAGCCACTTTTCATTCATTTTATCACTCAACACACCACTGTTTCCATGATAAGTTAAATACTGTTATAGCCACCAAAATTGTTTCCTAAGTATCAAAAAGCAGAAGCAGTCAGCCTTCTTGTGTTAAGACTAATGTAATGAGAAAACCAGTAGAAAGCCAATAAAACTATACAGAGTTTAGGTTCGCAGTGTCATTGGGAATTAAAAGTTATCTTGATTTAGTAGTAGGAGAGCACATTTGTGAAAACTAGACTTAACAGATTTATGAATGCTTTCTAGATCCATGTCAGATAAATGAGCAGCCCTTAAAATACAATAATACAATCTGTAAACTTCTTTGACTTTTAAAGATAGCTGCCACTGAGGAGGGGCTTGTATTTTGCAGATGCTGGGAAATACAGGAGGTCAGGAGTTCGTGAACAGCTGGCCAACATAGTGAAACCCCATCTCTACTAAAAATACAAAAATTAGCCGGGCGTGGTGGCGCACATCTATATCCCAGCTACTCGGGAAGCTGAGGCAAGAGAATCGCTTGAACCTGGGAGGCAGAGGTTGCAGCGAGCGAGATTGCGCTACTGTACTCCAGCCTGGGCGACAGAGCGAGTCTCTGTCTCAAAAAAAAAAAAAAAAAAATACTACGTAAGCTTTCCCTGATTAATTCACATAACATAAACCGTTCCTCAGGTGTCTTGAAAAAAAAAGTAAATGAAAACAATTGATTCTTTCAACTTTCTTGTTTTGCAGTTGAGGAAGGAAATTGAAGCTCAAAATGGTTGAGTCATGCTACAGCATCACGTAAGTAAAGGGGCAGGAAAGAGCCCAAGGCCACCTGTCCTGGAAGCTGAAGGTGTGGATGGGAAGTAAGGAGGTGGAGACAGCCTAGGTTAAATATTCTTTTAAGAAGTGTGATTAACAAGGACTCATTAGAAGCAGTAGTTTACAAAGTGCAGATTTCCACAAATGAAGTTTTGTGGGGGTTATTTATTGGGGTGGAAACTTTCTGAATAAATTTAATTGCTGGCTGGGTGCGGTGGCTCACGCCTGTAATCCCAGCACTTTGGGAGGCCGAGGCGGGTGGATCACGAGGTCAGGAGATCGAGACCATCCTGGCTAACACGGTGAAACCCCCGTCTCTACTAAAAATACAAAAACTTAGCCAGGCGTAGTGGCGGACGCCTGTAGTCCCAGCTACTCAGGAGGCTGAGGCAGAAGAATGGCATGAACCTGGGAGGCGGAGCTTGCAGTGAGCCGAGATCACACCACTGCACTCCAGTCTGGGCGACAGAGCCAAAGTCTGTCTCAAAAAAAAAAAAAAAAAAAAAAAAATTAATTGCTGAGGAAAAAAGAATAGGCAGAATGTGATAAGTTGAAGATATGGGAGCTTGAAGGGTCAGTTGATGGAGTTCCTGAGGAAACATGAGATGGGGCCAAGAGCAGGTTGAGAGAGTTGGCTTTGAGCGTCCTTCTTATCCTCTGAGACTAAGGCAAAGGACGTGTGGATGTAGGAAGAAGACAGTGGTTCCTGTCTGAGTGTGGGCTCCAGAGTAAAGAGCAATGTTGCACAGATATTCTGACTAGAAAAGAGAGACTACCATCTTTCTGGACATTGATGTCATAATACTATTAGTGCAGTCCAAGATTTACTTAGCTTTTTTAGACAATAGATCACCTTTCCTTGGGAAACAACATAGTATAGAGGTAAATAGCAAGGACTCTGCCATTAGGTTCAAACCGCTTTCTAGCTGGAGGACTTTGATCAAGCTACTTATAATTTTCAGTTTTCTAAAAAAATGGGGATAATAATAATATATCTACCTCAGAGAATTGCTGGGAGAATTACATGAAATAACTAACAGTAAACATTCAGGAAAATTTTTTTTGAGACAGTCTCGCTGTGTTGCCCAGGCTAAAGTGCAGTGGCACAGTCTTGGCTCACTGCAACCTCTGCCTCCTGGGTTCAAGCAATTCTCCCACCTCAGCCTCCCAAGTAACTGGGACTACAGGCGAACGCCACTGCGCCCAGCTAATTTTTGTATTTTTAGTAAAGATGGGATTTCACTATGTTGGCCAGGCTGGTCTTGAACTCCTAACCTCAAGTGATCCACACTCCTTGGCCTCCCAGAGTGCTGGGATTACAGGCGTGAGCCACCACGCCAGGCAAGAAATGTTAAATGTTACTTTGTTGATATTACTCTTGTGGCAAATTAAAATGAATAAGTATCTTTATAGGGTGCTGTTGAGAAACATTTCCCCCATTCTGTGTGTGTCCAGTTACCATTTTAGACTTGGGATAAGACTTTAATTTAACCCTATTGAATTCTGCATGTTAAATTCATTTTATTATTTCACTCTCCTAAGATCATTTAGAGTGCTGACTCTATCATTCCACGTACTTGTCCTCTCCAGCCTGTGTAATCTGTGAATCTGTTAAGAGCCCTGTGGCAGACACTGCTAATCGCATATCTGATATCCATTTTCACTTTCTTCCTTACACATCCCTGACTTAGTTGGATTGTAGCAATGGACCCAGTTTAGGTGCTTTAACTCCCAGCATCCCTTGCGGCTAGTGGTGGTCATGTGATACAGTTCTGGCCAATGAGATGAAAGCAGAGTCATTGGGTAGGCTTCCAGATCAGTTTATTGAAGAGGCCAGACCCATGAGAATGAAAACCAAATTCAAAGAATGATGGAGAGGGAAAAACAAGTAGTCCAGGGCACGATGCCACTGTGGGGCTGTAGCGTCAGCCCTGTGTTGTGCACCTCCAGTCACATAACTCCTGGAGATGTGACAACAACAACTCCTATTTGATGAAGCCTCTGTCACTAGGTTTCTGTCACATTTAGCTAATGCAATTACCACCTGTTGCAGATGCCATCTACAGTCTTATCAAAATATATGGCGGGGTGGGGGTGAGGGATGAAATACTACCTACTAGGTACAGTGCACACTATTCAGATGACAGATACACTAAAAGCCTAGTCTTCACCACTACATAATATATCCATGGGCTCATGCCTATAATCCCAGCACTTTGAGAGGCCGAGGTGGGTGGATCACCTGAGGTCAGGAGTTCAAGGCCAGCCTGGCCAACATGGCGAAAAGCCATCTGTACTAAAAATACAAAAATTAGCCAGGCGTGGTGGCGCACGCCTGTAGTCCCAGATACTCAGGAGGCTGAGGCAGAAGAATCGCTTGAACCTGGGAGGTGGAGTTTGCAGTGAGGCGAGATTGTGCCACTGTGCTCCAGCCTGGGTGACAGTGACAGAGGGAGACTCTGTCTCAGAAAAAAAAAAAAAAAGTCCTAGAGCTGAGGCTCACACTCATATTCTCACAGCCAGTGTTAATTGTAGTACGCCATATCATTAGAATAACTCATACAAACCTCCCTTTTATATGATACCTTCTCTTCAAGATCTCATTTTACTTTACCCAAATTATATTATTAACCTTTCAAATGTCCTTGGGCATTAATAGGAATTAAAGAAAGTTTTTTGCTTCTCAGGGGAATATACTTTGGCTTTGAGTATCTGAGTGCCCTGCTCATAATCAGAGATCCAGAGGGAGTAAAGAAAATATACTTAAAAGCTTTTGCAACTATAGGGGCAACAGACTGGAAAAGGGGCCCAAATTTTCCTCTGGACTCAGATGGGTCACTTTGCCCTCAACCCCATTGTTGGGATCTCACTAAGAATAACTTTTTCCCTGTTAACATTTGCCACTCTTTCTAAATGGAAAACAGTTTGTACATTTCTCTTACCACCCAGAAGTAGGACAGTCCTGGCACAAACATTTCCTTGATATTTAATAACTCCCCAACTCCCTCCAACTGCTGCAGCTGCTGCACAGCAGACACAGGGAAAGATTAGATATGGCATTTGCACCTGGCCAGTCATAAACGGCTCCTTGGTTACATGCGAAGGTTAACAGGCCCAATTCCCTTCTCTTCTTCCACCCAGAATGCTGCAACATGAAAGAGAGCTGTAATTATTTATAAACAATAAAAACTCCTATGGAGCATATAAAATGAATGGGTTTATTTCCCTACTCAGAATGCAAGTAGACATTTTCCTGGTTGTCGACATCTTTGGGGCTATGATTAGAAATGCCTCCTCTACCCCTTGTATTTGAATGTGAGACTCTAGGTCTTGTTTGTATCAGAGTGATGGGGGCAGACTCTTCATATCTATTGTATGCTGTCTGCTACTTAGTGATTCTAACCTTTGCAAACTAAGACTCCTTCTCTTAGTAACGTTGCCTTGGTACTTTGTGGTACGTCTGCCACTAGCTGGCCTCTCTTCCCCTTGCTCCTGTTTTTCTGACCCAGCAATGATCTCAAGTGGGAGAAATGCAGCTCAGCTTGGGAAATGGGGCGGAGTTGGGGGCATTTCATTGAGTTCTCTCCTTAATCATGATTCAGTGGGTCCTGGCTGGCTCAACACAAGACGAAAATGAGTTTATAGACCTCTATAGTCAGCTGTCATCTGCTTAGCTCCAATGTGGTAATTTGAGAGCAAAACAGAAAAAAATGCAAAAACTCAAAGACTCCATGTTAATAGATGACTTGAATGTGCTCCCTTTTTTCACAAACCCTAATGCTGTACACTTTTGCTACCAGTATGTTACATAAGCATGATTCACTCTTAGAACTGAATGACTCCTTTGACCACTTGGAGTTCAGAGGCACACAAGGCACTGTAGTGGAAACGGAAGCTTGTCATATTGGTGGCACTTTCTACTCATAGTTTCTAGGAGTTTCCAAGCTTTTCAAGTAGGAGAGCCTGTTTTTTACCCAAAAATAGCAGTTTTGTTTTCATCTCTGTTGATTGAGAACACCAAAAGTTACCACGAAAGCCGCACATTTTGTATTTATTCATCATTACAAAGCTACTTACGCATGAAAAAGAGCAGTACACATATTGCAATACGTTATTCTGTCCTTGATAATACTTGATATGTAGATTCCAGGACCCCTTAATGTAACCCAGAGGGTTCACAGGGATTCAAAGCCCAAATCAGTCACCTTTGAAAGAAAAAATGACTCTTTTAGAAAGGATTTAAAGGGAGAGCTGTTAAAATCTTACAAAAACTTGCAGAATAAGATCCTTTGATACACCATGTTCCAAAGGACAAATGAGAAATCTAGGGAGATAGCTTTTAAATTTCTAGCAATAATTTCAGCACTTAGGCATCTGCTGTTTAGCCAACCTATGGATATTGTATTTTTTAATGGACCAATGTAATTGGATAAAATTCCTAATCAGCTCAAAATTTTTATTTTAAATGAGTAACCCTTAGTATAATCACTGCATTAGCAATAGTGAACTACATTTGAAAATCCCTATTTAGTAAAACTACATTAAGTAAAATGCAAAAAATATGATAAGCAATCTAATTTAATTTCTATATGAGATTATTAACACATATTGCGCTATCATCTATAATTTTAAAATCATGTTTTCTCTATCTAGACCTGTAAAATCATATTCTTATAATTGGATGTGTATTCAAAGTTATTTCTAGCTTTATTTTCCCTTTTGAATTTGGGCAAGCAATAGTTCCTAAAAGAGTCTCCAGTTCACATCTTAAAACACAATGTAAAATTCTAGGGTAAATTACAGTCTAAATTACAGTCCTTTCTTCTCTAAAAAAATTGGGGGGAAAAGTATTCTGTATCTCATTTCCACTAATCCTCAACTGTTGGTCCTTGACTGCTTGTATTTTCTCATTGGAGTCTACTCTTCCCCATGGGATTATATTCGGTTTGTAATGTTTTCACTGGGTGAGAAGAAATGAGAGGATCAGCCTCACACCTAAGCCAAACTACTCCCTGGATAATCCTCTCCAGATAGCAAACACCAGGAAAGCAAAGATAAACGTCACATGGGCAACTCCAAGGATACACATCCCTAGTAGGAATACTTCAAGGCTTCCCCAGGTGCCTAGTAACAAAAACGATGTGGTCCACAAGCAGGAAAGATACACATTCCCAAGCAGAGTTTAAAGAAGTTAAACACTGACCCCCACCAAGCAGGCAGGGGACCTGATAACCTCTCCTAGTCAGGCCGCCCAGAGAGATCTGTGAAAGCCAAAGGCCAGACTACTGACATAAATTCGACTGCCCTGACAATATGCAGTTGACCTGCTGACATCTAATGGCTACGCACCTATGCAGACCTTCCAGAAGGGCAAAAATGAATGCTTCACTCTCACTCCTGTTTTGGGCACAAAGTTGCAGTCTTCACATAGTGTAACACCTCCTTCCTTCACCCCAAAGACTCCAACTCCTTCTCCCCAGCGCCCACCCCTAAGCCCACTCTTCCTGGATTTGCATCCAGGTGCAAATTCATACATGTGGTGGGAATCCTTCATCCAAATGCAAATCATTTTGCAGAATCAGAATTCTTTTGCTATGGGACTGGATGGGCCAGCCTCTAGGAAAATTTGCATATTGACTGGTTATGATAGGCGCCACCATGGGTTACAGAAATGAAGGGACAAAGAGATCATTACAAAATCAAATTAACAAACAAATGAGAAACAAATATACTCTATTAACTGTCTACATTTTTTCTGAACCCGGAAGAGACTAAAATTTAGAATGCTGAAATGCATCCAACTGAAAAGGGGCAAAAAGAATTTTAATGAATTACAACACAACTTGAGATGCAGACTGTATAATTAGAGTCTGAGACTGTAAGTCAGTGGAAAGCTGGCTTGATTTAGTCCCCTTCAGATGATTTGCAAGAGAAAATGACTGTATTTCAAAGTAAGAGTTCCAAATAGATTATAATTTAAGACAGTGTAGGCTGGGTGCAATGGCTCATGCCTGTAATCCCAGCACTTTGGGAGGCCGAGGCGGGCAGATCACGAGGTGAGGAGTTCGAGACCAGCCTGACCAACATGGTGAAACCCCGTCTCTACTAAAAATACAAAAATTAGCTGGGCTTGGAGGCACGCACCTGTAATCCCAGCTACTCAGGAGGCTGAGGCAAGAGGATCACTTGAACCCGGGAGGCAGAGATTGCAGTGAGCTGAGATCACGCCACCGCACTCCAGCCTGGGCGACAGAGTGAAACTCCATCTAAAAAAAAAAAAAAAGACAGCAAGCATAGTTATACAGAATATTCAAGCTAATATTAGAACATTTTAAAAACATTTTCAACCAAATATTTTTAAATGACTTGCTAATATAAGACATTTTTTCTATGTTATAAACAATGAAACCAGAAATGTTCCCCCAAATTTAGTTCCAAATATTTTTCTTTAAAAATCCCATATTACTTTGTTCTTTAAATCATCCTCCTTAATCCAAATATATTGACACTGAAAAACCAACATATCTAGAGCCAGTGACGTAGATAAATGTGAGGGCAATGAAAAAGACTGACAGGAAAAATGTCAAAGCAATTCGTGAGATACATTTGCAAGTACTTTGACTGTTGAGGACACAAACTTGAGCAGTGAGAACAGAAACTCGGACAATGACCAATGTCACCTACCCTTGATCCTTGAAGTTGATTTGGATACCCTTTCCTCCACCCACCTCCAAACGGGCATGCAGATTCATATCTTCAAGAGCTTTAGGATTATACATTGGCCCTGTGCAGACCTGGGCCACCTCTTTGCACAGGCTAGAAATGGTTCAAAGTTTATCTGGAGATGTATTTCCTGAGTCAGGATTTGCAGAATACAATATGATTATCCTTAGAAACCATGGAGGGCTGGGCACGGTGGCTCATGCCTGTAATCCCAACACTTCGAGAAGCTGAAGTGGGTGGATCACCTGAGGTCAGGAGTTTAAGACCAGCCTGGCCAACATGGTGAAATCTTGTCTCTGCTAAAAATACAAAAATTAGCTGAATGTGGTGGTGCACGCCTGTAATTCCAGCTACTCAGGAGGCTAAGGCAGGAGAATCCCTTGAACCCGGGAAGCGGAGGTTGCAGTGAGCGGAGATCGTGCCACTGCACTGCAGTCTCGGTGACAGAGTGAGACTCCATCACAAAAAAAAAAAAAAAAAGGAAAGAAAGAAACCATGTAGGATGAATGACACCAAATCTATTTTCCTTGTTTTTAGGTCTTCCTGAGTATGACTGAAATTGCTCGCGGACAATCTTAGAATTGCTAATGTAGTATGCCGTAATGTAACTGCCTGACAGGTTCTCCTTGCCCACTACCTAGACAGAGCCAATTTATCAAGACAGAGGAATTGCAATAAAGAAAGAGTTATTCACACAGAACCAACTTCGTGGGAGACTGGAGTTTTATTATTACTCAAATTAGTCTCCCTGAGCATTTGTGCATTCGGGGATCAGGGTTTTTAGGTATAATTTGGTGGGGCAGGGGTGGGAGGGAGGCAGTGAGTTGGCAGTGCTGATTGGTTAGGTCAGAGAAGCTGTCACCTTGCCCTGAGTCAGTTCCTGGGTGGGGGCCACAAGATCAGATGAGCCAATTTATCCATCTCAGTGGTGCCAGCTGATCCATCAAGCTCAAGGTCTGCAAAATATCCCAAGCACTGTTCTTAGGTTTTACCACAGTGATGTTATATCCAGGAGCAATTTGGGGAGGGTCAGACTCTTGTAGCCTCCAGCTGCTTGACTCCTAAACCATAATTTCTAATCTTTTGGCTAATTTGTTAGTCCTACAAAGGCAGTCTAGCCCCCAGGCAGGAAGGGGGTTTGTTTTGGGAAAGGACTATTATTGTCTTTGTTTTAAACTATAAACTACAAACTAAGTTCCTCCCAAAGTTGGTTCCGCCTACACCCAGGAATGAACAAGGACAGCTTGGAGGTTAAAGGCAAGATGGAGTTGGATACGTCAGATCTCTTTCACTGTCTCAGTTATAATTTTGCGATGGGGGTTTCAATAACATTCCGTCTTGTCTCTCTAAGTAGACCGTATGTTTCTGTTTTATTTTATTTCACTTTAAGTTCCGGGATACATGTGCAGAACGTGCAGGTTTGTTACATAGGTATACGTGTGCCATGGTGGTTTGCTGCACCTATCAACCCATCATCTAGGTTTTAAGCCCCACATGTATTAGGTATTTATCCTAATGCTCTCCCTCCCCTTGTTCCCCACCCCCCGACAGGCCCTGGTGTGTGATATTCCCCTCCCTGTGTCAACGTGTTCTCATTGTTCGGTTCCCACTGATAAGTGAGAAGATGCGGTGTTTAGTTTTCTGTTCCTGTGTTAGTTTGCTGAGAATGATGGTTTCCAGCTTCATCCATGTCCCTGAAAAGGACATGAACTCATTCATTTTTATAGCTGCATAGTATTCCATGGTATATATGTGCCACATTTTCTTTATCCAGCCTATTGTTGATGAGCATTTGGGTTGTTTCCAAGTCTTTGCTGTTGTAAATAGTGTTGCAGTAAACATACGTCCGCATGTGTATTTATAGTAGAATGATTTATAATCCTTTGAATATATACCCAGTAATGGGATTGCTGAGTCAAACGGTATTTCTGGTTCTAGATCCTTGAGGAATTGCCATACTGTTTTCCATAATGGTTGAACTAATTTACACTCCCACCAACAGTGTAAAAGCATTCCTATTTCTCCACAGCCTCACCAGCATCTGTTGTTTCCTGACTTTTCTTTTCTTTTTTTTTTTTTTTTTGAGGTAGAGTCTTGCTCTGTTGCCAGGCTGGAGTGCAGTGGCGTGATCTCAGCTCACTGCAACCTCCACCTCCTAGGTTCAATCAAATCCCCTGCCTCAGCCTCCCGAGTAGCTGGGATTACTGGTGCATGCCACCACACCCAGCTAATTTTTTGTATTTTAGTAGAGACGGGGTTTCACCATGTTGGCGAGGATGGTCTTGATCTCCTGACCTCGTGATCTGCCCACCTCGGCCTCCCAAAGTGCTGGGATTACAGGCGTGAACCACTGCGCCCAGCCTGTTTCCTGACTTTTTAATAATTGCCATTCTAACTGGTGTGAGATGGTATCTCAAACAAATTCACAAGAAAAAAACAACCCCATCAAAAAATGGGCAAAGGATATGAACAGACACTTCTAAAAAGAAGACATTTATGCAGCCAACAAACGTATGACCACACATTTCTTTTCTTTTTTTTTTTTTTTTTTTTTTTGAGATAGAGTCTCACTTTGTTGCCCAGGCTGGAGTACAGTGGTGAAATCTTGGCTCATGCAACCTCTGCCCCCTGGGTTCAAGCGATTCTTCTGCCTCAGCCTCCCCAGTAGCTGGGACTACAGGCATGCACCACCATGCCCAGCTAATTTTTATATTTTTAGCAGAGACAGGGTTTCACCACGTTGGCCAGGCTGGTCTCGAACTCCTGACCTCGTGATCCACCTGCCTCAGCCTCCCAAAGTGCTGGAATTACAGGCATGAGCCACCACGCCCAGCCGACGGTAAGTTTCTTAAGGGAGGAAAAGTCTTCCCGCCAGGCCCCTCCACCAACCAAGTGCCAGGCATTTGACCTTTGAACCGTCGACCATAGCAGGAACTCTAGGCTAGATAGCCTGAGAGACTCTATTCAGAATAATTTGGTGTGATTACTGGCACATAGTGATCTCTTTCTCTCTCTTTCCTGCCTTCCTTTCCCACTTTTCTGAAACCAAAGCAGAAGTGTGCATGTGCACACTTGAGTGAAGCTCCTCCTATTCCCATTGGACTGTAATTGTAGAACTCTTTCTTATCACCAAAGACTTGAAAGGCCTATCTTTATAAAAAGAAACGCCCACCCCTAACTGCTTAACCCTTCTCCATTCTAACAGTAAAACTTCCATTCTATGGTTGATGTCCATAGAGACAGCAGTTACATTTTTACCAACTGTGGTTTAAATAATGCCTCTCTTGGAGAATATTACATTTTTCTTTTTCCCAATCAGTCCTTCCCATTTTTTCCCATTCGATATTCAGGGTCAATATCGAGCTCAAAATTCAATTATATACCAAGGTCTGCTGGCACTATTTTATGTTGCAGTCTGTTGAGAAGGTACCAAACTCAATTATCAGGCATGTAGTAAGTATTCAATGAAAGTTCTTTACCTTTTCACCCCTTAACCTTAAAGCTACCTGAAGGTTGGAGTAGTGCATACCTTGTGTTATCTACTCCACTGAGAAAGCTCACAGCATTTACAAACCATTTGGTAACCACCCAGCTGGTTCTCCTTGCCCACTGCCTAGACAGAGTCAATTCATCAAGACAGAGGAATTGCAATAGAGAAAGGGCTTAATTCACACAGAGCCGGCTGTATGGGAGACCAGAGTTTTATTATTATTCAGATCAGTCTCCCTGAGAATTCCAGGATTGGAGTTTTTAAGGAAAATTTGATGGGTAAGGGGCCAGTGAGTCAGGAGTGCTGATTGGTTGGCTCAGGGATGAAATCATAGGGAGTCAAAGCTGTTCTCTTATGCTGAGTCAGTTCCTGAGTGGGCGGGGGGGACCACAGGACTGGTTGGCAGGTCCAGTTGGGGCCATCTGGTTGTCAGAAATACAAAAACCAGGCGGGCACAGTGGCTCACACCTGTAATCCCAGCACTTTGGGAGGCCGAGGCGGGCAGATCACAAGGTCAGGAGATCGAGACCATCCTGGTTAACACGGTGAAACCCTGTCTCTACTATAAATACAAAAAAATTAGCCGGGCGTGGTGGTGGGCGCCTACTGTAGTCCCAGCTACTCAGGAGGCTGAGGCAGGAGAATGGTGTGAACCCGGAAGGCGGAGCTTGCAGTGAGCCGAGATCGCGCCGCTGCACTCCAGCCTGGGCGACAGAGCCAGACTTCGTCTCAAAAAAAAAAAAAAAAAAAAAGAAATGCAAAAACCTCCCGGGCACAGTGGCTCACGCCTGTAATCCCAGCACTTTGGGAGGCTGAGACGGACAGATCACTTGAGGTCAGGAGTTCGAGATCAGCCTGGCCAACATGGCGAAACCCCGTCTCTACTCAAAATACAAAAATTAGCGGGTCATGGTGGCAGGCGCCTGTAATCCCAGCTACTCGGGAGGCTGAGGCAGGAGAATCGCTTGAACCTGGGAGGCGGAGTTTGCAGTGAGCCGAGATCGCACCACTGCACTCCCGCCTGGGTGACAAGGGCAAGACTCTGCCTCAAAAAAAAAAAGGAAAGAAAGAAATGTAAAAACCTGAAAAGACATCTCAAGAGGCCCGTCTTAGGTTCTACAATAGTGATGTTATCTTCAAGAGTAATTGGGGAAGTTGCAAATCTTATGAGCTCTAGAATAATGGCTGGTAATTATTTAGAATTCAAGCCCCTCTCATCCTAAATTGGTGGCCTTTCACTAGTTTTACAAGAACAGTTTGGTTTTGGGGAAGGGCTATTATTTAAACTATAAATTTCTCTCAAAGTTAGCTTGGCCCATGCCCAGGAATGAGCAAAGACAGCCAGCCTGTGAGGCTAGAGACAAAATGGAGTCAGCCATGTCAGATTTCTCTGTCTTAATGTCCTCGGTTATAATTTTTGCAAAATCAGTTTCAACTTGATTGCTGAGCCTCTGTATTTTCTGAATGATTTTAACCCTATTCATAGTTCCTGGTGCATAGCATTACTGCTTGCAATCATTCTATAGTTCATTCCACAGACATTTATGTGGTGTCTTTTAGGTAGAGTACTGTGTATATTATCATAGTGAGACTGGGAAGCAATGTAGTGTTGTGGTTAAGAGAGCAAGCTCAGGAATAGCCTTGTGCAAGTTACTTAAATGCTGTTCCTCAGTTTCCTCATCTGTAAACTGGGGATAATTACAGTATCTACTTTATATGATGATTATAAGGAATAAATGGGGTAAATCATGTGAAGTGATCAAAACAGCATCTGCCACACATTAAGCACTTGGTAGATGAAAATTATTTTGATGTATCCAGGAGCTAGTACAGGGGTTCTTAACCAAAGGTCCCTGGATTCCCAAGGTCCACAGATGGATTTCGATCGAGCATCTCAGAACTTCTTGAAATTATTAGCAAAATTTAGAATAATTTGTCTAGACTTTATAGTTTAGAATATAGAGTTTTCGTCAGATTTTCAAAGGTAAGGAGAGGCCAAAAAACATCAGAATCCACTGAAGTAGGGCAGTAGAGAGACCAGACAGAAATTTTGCCCTCAATGACTTCACAGTTTAATGGAGGAAATGGACATTTAGTAACAATAAGATGTGACAGCAGCTATACGGAAATGAGCCCACAATGCACTGGGGTACACAGAAAAGGGTCTCCTGAAGGAGTGATGCCACAAGCAAGGCTTCCTAGAAGAGGTGGCATTTAAGATAAATCTTAAAGTATGAATACAAGATAGCCAGATGGAAAAGGGGAGCAAGAGTGTTCCAGGCATAATGAGGGTCAGGTGCAAAGGTACGAGCTGGTGTGGGAAGAGCAAATTGTTGTGAGTGGATCAAGAAGAAACTGGAGACAGGGAGGCTAGTAAGGTGGGCAAGGAACTAGTCATGAAGGACTTTCATTGAATGCTATGCTGAAGAGTTTACATGTTATATAGAAGGCCATCATGGTAGACATTGTGCTGACCAATATTTCCAATTCTCCTCCCCACCCTAGATTGAAGATATATTTCCTTGCCCTATTGCAGGTGGGGAAGACCATGGGAAAGATTCTGACTGATGCACTGTGACTTGAGGCAATGTGCCATTTTTAGATCAAAGCCTTCACATGCCAGGGCATGATTCTCTATTGCCGCAGCAGTCATGGAGGATGATTTGTGTTAAGATGGCTGATGTTTCAACTAAAGTCTCCACCAATGAGCTATACCCCTTACATGGCAGACTTTGAATGAGTGGAAAACAAATTGTGATTGCCTTTTGCCAGTGAGAATTGGAGGTTGTCTTTTACCTCACCATCTCTTGACTTAACATAACTAGTATAGCCATGGAAGGCCATTAAAAATGTTTTCCCTGAATATTACAAACAGGGGTTTGCATCCTATAGAGAAGGTGCTCTTGAGCGATGGAAGGATTCTAATTAGGGTCATGATTATGATATTTGTGTTGAAGATTGCTCTGGTAGTAGCAATGTGAACTACACAAGAGGTGAGGAAGCTGGATGCAGTCAGGAGGCTGGTACATTAGCTGCAAAGTGAAGCCAGCGGGGCCTCAACTAAGGCAATAGTCTTGGGTTGGGGATAGTAGGTAAGCTTGGGTCTTTTATTATGCTTCAGGGGCTCATGAGTCTGCCAATTCATTATTGCAAATGTGTACTGAAATATATTCCCCAGTCTATATGGAAAGCATATTATTCTTACTTTCCATGATTACTAACTATGGTCACTGATTTTCATGGCAGAATTAGAAAAATTTATTAAGGAAAAGAAAGGGCAAGTCTGAAAGCTAACTTATTTATAAAAAAGCATTTCCAACTCTATTTTGATTTATTCTGAAACCCAGTTGTAATGAACCTAAGCATTCCTTGTACATGCAACATAAAGGGCATCTATGATTGTTTCAGTGGTGGTGAATAGTTTTACATATTCTGTAGCTAAACATAATCGATTTTGTAGCTTCCTAATGATCTACCCTGAGGAGTTATTATTCCTGATGGCAATTAATCAAAATTAAAACAGACTGCATAGAATGAAGCAAATTCAAACATCCAGCCTCAGTTAGGAACACCTGCACATTAAGATTAATCATGGGCCCTGCTAGAATGTGACAGATATATCAATATTATAGAGAAAAGAGAAAGGTAACATTTTCCAGGAGAGTTCCAAGTGTATTTCCAAGGAGCAAAGGTTCTGAGCCTGAGTCTAGGTTGAACAAAACCACATAAAATCTGTATTTATCCATGACATTGAAATTAAAATTGTTTTCTTCCAAAGAGCTTAAGTAGTTGTGACAATTTGTGTTACAAAACCACAAGTACCATTGTAGAGAGCTCAAAGGAATTTAGATCAGTGAAATGTTGACTTTTTTTAAAATTTTTTTGCCCTGAATAGTATCAGAAGGTAGATGAGAATTTACCTATTAGATATTCTTAAATTTAAAATCAAAATGTGCTTTTGTGTTTTTCTCAACTTTCTATTTTATATTCATTATGTTAATTGTTTTACAAACCATGCCACTGTATAATAGAACTAGAGAGGTAGTGTTACTGAAACATCAGAGGCTCAGTCTAGGTCCTACTGCTGCTGCACAGAAAGCCAATCACCAAGACAATGAATTTTGCCAGGGAGGAGGGCTTTAATCAGGTGCTGCAGAAGAGGAGATGGGAGATCAGTCTCAAGTTCATCTTCCTGACTGACTAAAATTAGGAGTTTATGTAGCAGGGAAGAAATGTAATCATGTGAGGGAAGACAGGAATTAGGGAGGGGTTAGGAAGAGAAGTTGGTCAACAGGAAGAAGGTGGTCAGTTCATCCATCATGACTCATGAGGAGTCTGGTGTCCCATTGTCCAGATGCAATGATCTGGTGAGGTTCAGCTCCTTGATACTATCTGGGAGTCCTGATGGTTGGTTTCCTGAGAAAGGAACTCAGATAAGACAAAAGTAACTTTCTCAAGTTTTTAAACTGGGAGGATTACTTTTTACGTTTATTTAAAGAAACCATAAATATCAGTTCTGTGGGACAATTGGGCTGGTTTCAGTAGCATAGCACAGTGATTAAGTGCACATTCTCTGAAGCCAGGTGAAATTGAATCCTACTTCCACCAATATGAGCTGCGTTACCTTAAACAAGTTACTTCATACTTCGGCGTTTCAGTCTTCTCTGCGAATGGAGATAACAAAAAGATCTGCCTCTTAGGATTAACAAATAAATGAATTCACATGAAAACAGTTTAGAATAGTACCTGATACATGGTGAGCAATTTATAATTATTTGCTATTATTATTATTGTATTTTTTTCATTTTATTTTTATTTCAATAGTTTTTGGGGAACAGGTGGCTTTTGGTTACATGGATATGTTCTTTAGTGGTGATTTCTGAGATTTTGGTGCACCTGTCACCCAAGCAGTGTACACTGTATCCAATGTGTAGTCTTTTATCCTTCACTCCCCTCCAAACCTTCCCCCTGAGTCCCCAAAGTCCATTATATCATTTGTAGTTGTTATTATCATTAAGCAAGTTACTTAAAGCTCTCTAGGCCTCCATTTCTCTATTTGTAAGATAGGGATTATAGCATTGCCTATATTATAGAATTATTATAAAGACTAAATAAGGCAATATAAGGGTATATTCTCCAACTAACAGATGATACAATAGCAATGATGATGATATCAATTATTGAGTGCTTGTTGTGTGCTAAGTTCTTTACATATTCTATCTCATCTTCATAGAAAGTCTATGAGGTAGATACCACTTTATTCTTTTAACAGATGACAGAACTGAGGCATGGAGAGAAAGTAACCTGCCTCTTCTTACACAGCTTAATCAGCAGAATCAGGACTCTGGCTTGTGTGTCTCATTCTAAAACTTGTGCTTTTAGGCCAGGTATGGTGGTTCACACCTGTAATTCTAGCACTTTGGGAGGCTGAGGTGGGAGGATTGCTTGAGCCCCGAAGTTTGAGATCAGCCTGGACAACAAACTGAGACCCCATGCATACAAAAATTTTGTTTTAATTAGCCAGGTTCAGTGGCATGTGCCTGTAGTCCCAGCCACTCAGGAGGCTGCAGTGGGGGGATCCCTTGAGCCCAGGAGTTTAAGGTGGCAATGAGCTGTGATCCCATCATTGTGTGTCCGGAATTGGTGGGTTCTTGGTCTTACTGACTTCAAGAATGAAGCCGTGGACCCTCACGGTGAGTGTTACAGCTCTTAAGGTGGCATGTCTGGAGCCTGTCCCTTCTGATGTTCAGATGTGTTTGGAGTTTCTTCCTTCTGGTGGGTTCATGGTCTCGCTGGCTCAGGAGTGAAGCTGCACACCTTCGCGGTGAATGTTACAGCTCTTAAGGTAGCACGTCTGGAGTTGTTCGTTCCTCCTGGTGGGCTCGTGGTCTCGCTGGGCTCAGGAGTGAAGCTGCAGATCTTTGCAGTGAGTGTTACAGCTCATAAAAGCAGCGTGGACCCAAAAAGTGAGCAGTAGCAAGACTTATTGCAAAGAGCTAAAGAACAAAGCTTCCACAGTGTGGAAGGGGACCCCAGCAGGTTGCCAATGCTGGCTTGGGCAGCCTGCGTTTATTCTCTTATCTGGCCCCACCCACATCCTGCTGATTGGTAGAGCCCAGTGGCCTGTTTTGTCAGGGTGCTGATTGGTGCGTTTACAATCCCTGAGCTAGATACAAAGGTTCTCCATGTCCCCATCAGATTAGTTAGATACAGAGTTTGGACACACAGGTTCTCCAAGGCCCCACCAGAGCAGCTAGATACAGAGTGTCGATTGGTGCATTCACAAACCTTGGGCTAAACACAGGGTGCTGATTGGTGTGTTTACAAACCTTGAGCTAGATACAGAGTGCTGATTGGTGTATTTACAATCCCTGAGCTAGACATAAAGGTTCTCCAAGGCCCCACCAGAGCAGCTAGATACAGAGTGTCGATTGGTGAACTCACAAACCCTGAGCTAAACACAGGGTGCTGATTGGTGTATTTACAATCCCTGAGCTAGACATAAAGGTTCTCCAAGGCCCCACCAGAGCAGCTAGATACAGAGTGTCGATTGGTGAACTCACAAACCCTGAGCTAAACACAAGGTGCTGATTGGTGTATTTACAATCCCTGAGCTAGACATAAAGGTTCTCCAAGGCCCCACCAGAGCAGCTAGATACAGAGTGTCGATTGGTGAACTCACAAACCCTGAGCTAAACACAGGGTGCTGATTGGTGTATTTACAATCCCTGAGCTAGACATAAAGGTTCTCCAAGGCCCCACCAGAGCAGCTAGATACAGAGTGTCGATTGGTGAACTCACAAACCCTGAGCTAAACACAGGGTGCTGATTGGTGTATTTACAATCCCTGAGCTAGACAAAAAGGTTCTCCAAGGCCCCACCAGAGCAGCTAGATACAGAGTGTCGATTGGTGCACTCACAAACCTTGAGCTAAACACAGGGTGCTGATTGGTGTATTTACAAACCTTAAGCTAGATACAGAGTGCTGATTGGTGTATTTACAATCCCTGAGCTAGACATAAAGGTTCTCCAAGGCCCCAACAGAGCAGCTAGATACAGAGTGTCGATTGGTGCACTCACAAACCTTGAGCTAAACACAGGGTGCTGATTTGTGTATTTACAATCCCTGAGCTAGATATAAAGACTCTCCACGTCCCCACCAGACTCAGGAGCCCAGCTGGCTTCACCTAGTGGATCCCGCACCGGGGCTGCAGGTGGAGCTGCCTGCCAGTCCTGCGCCGTGCGCTCGCATTTCTCAGCCCTTGGGTGGTCGATGGGACTGGGCACTGTGGAGTAGGGGGTGGTGCTCGTCGGGGAGGCTCCGGCCGCACAGGAGCCCATGGAGTGGGTGGGAGGCTCAGGTATGGCGGGCTGCAGGTCCCTGAGCCCTGCCCCGCGGGAAGGCAGCTAAGACCCGGCGAGAAATCGAGCACAGCACAGGTGGGCCGGCACTGCTGGGGGACCCAGTACACCCTCCGCAGCCACTGGCCCGGGTGCTAAGTTCCCCATTGCCCGGGGCCAGCAGGGCTGGCTGGCTGCTCCGAGTGCGGGGCCCACGAAGCGCACGCCCACCCGGAACTCCAGCTGGCCCGCAAACGCCGCACGCAGCCCCGGTTCCAGCTCGTGCCTCTCCCTCCACACCTCCCTGCAAGCTGAGGGAGTGGGCTCCAGCCTCGGCCAGCCCAGAAAGGGGCTCCCACAGTGCAGTGGGGGGCTGAAGGGCTCCTCAAATGCCACCAAAGTGGGAGCCCAGGCAGGGGAGGTGCCGAGAGCAAGCGAGGGCTCTGAGGACTACCAGCATGCTGTCACCTCTCAGCGTGATCCCGGGAGGAGGATTTTGCAGTGAGCCGAGATCGGGCCACTGCACTCTATCCTGGGCAACAGAGCGAGACTGTCTCAAAAAAAAAAAAAAAAAAAAAAAAAAGAATCACTGTATAGTGTGTGAGGTGCTCTAAAAGGGAAATGACAAGCTAATTCTTTTAATAGGTACCTAGAATTGAAAGAAAATTGAGGAAAGCTTCTCCCAGGAAGTTACATGTAAATTGAGACCTAAGAAGCCTAGGGTAATGGTAATATAGTCAAATTTGCATATTTAAATGGTTACTACCTGAAAAAAGAAAAAAGATCAAAGGGGAACAAATTGGAGGGAGGCAGGAAGGAGAGGGGAGCAGTGTTGCAGGCTACAGGTGATGGCAGTGGGAAGTGGCCAGCTTTTCGAAATAATTATGAGGTAGAATTAATAGAACTTGGTGATTGACTGGAAGAAGGGGAAAGGAAGAGAGTGCAAAGAAGAATGATGTCTTACTTTGGTTTTCTCCAGAAACAGACCTCAAGGCAGGGATTCAAATGCAAGTAGTTTATCTGTAAAGAATGGGGAATATTGGTAGGAAAGTGAAATGAAGAAGGAAAAGCAGCCAATCAAGGGTTGGCCCCATTAGCCAACTGTGCTGTGAAAGCCTGGAGCATATTCCATGGAGACATCCTGTGAAATGGGATAAAACAAATGCTTTAGTTGTCCCACTCAAGGGGGTGAGGAGCTGGGGCATTTATAAACCAATTCCCATGAATCACTGGCCAATGGCTTTATTTCCTCAGCATTTCTAGCTTGTTCTGCACAAACCAGAGCAGGCTTTTGTTGCTTTCTAAAAGGTCCTTAGGCAAAAAAGATACCAATACAGGCCATTGGCAACAGGCAGGAATGCAATGGCATGGTTAAGACCCAAAGGACATCTGCCTCAGCTGACACTCGGTCTCTGGTTTGGGTAAATGAGGTAAGGATTGATTAACTGAGTGGGGAAACCCAGGAGTTAAAGCAAGACAGAAAGGGGCTGAGGAGTAGAGGTTATGCGTTTGATTTTTTTTTTTTTTTTTTTTGACGGAGTTTTGCTCTTGTTGCCCAGGCTGGCCAGGCTGGAGTGCAGTGGTGCAATCTTGGCTCACTGCAACCTCCGCCTCCCGGGTTCAAATGATTCTCCTGCCTCAGCCTCCCGAGTAGTTGGGACTACAGGCATGTGCCAACATGCCCAGCTAATTTTTGTATTTTTCTTTTTTTTTTTTTTTTTTTTAGTAGAGACAAGGTTTCACCATGTTGGCCAGGATGGTCTCAATCTCTTGACCTGGAGATCTGCCTGCCTCGGCCTCCCAAAGTGCTGGGATTACAGGCGTGAGCCATGGCGCCCGGCCCACGTTTGATTTTTGACACGTTGCATTTGCAGTGTTCATGGGAAACATCTAAGTGGAGTTGTCTAGTAGACAGTTGGATATGTGAATGTGAGCCTTTGGAGTGATCCGAGCTAGAGCTATAGACTTGGAAATTGTCAGTGATAAATTCATGGGAGTGACAGAAATCCCATGGGAAACTGTTTAGAATGAGGAACAAAGAGAGCCAAAGGGGCCAGGCGTAGCGGCTCACACCTCTAAACCCAGCATTTTGGGAGGCAGAGACAGGAGGATCCCTTGAGCCCAGGAGTTCGAGACAAGCCTGGGCAACATAGTGAGACCCCATCTCTTACAAAAAATAAAAAACTAGCCAGGCCTGATGGTGCATGCTTGTAATCCCAGCTACTCAGGAGGCTGAGGTAGGAGGATCACCTGAGCCAGGGAAGTCAAGAGTGCAGTTAGCCAGGGTGACAGAAGGAGACCGTCTCAAAAAAAAAAAGAAAAAAAAAAAAAAAGCCAAGGGCAGAAATCAAAGAACACTAATATTTAAGAAACAGGCCAGGCGCACTGGCTTACACCTGTAATCCCAGCATTTTGGGAGGCTGAGGCAGGCAGATCACCTGAGGTCAGGAGTTTAAGACCAGCCTGACCAACATGGTGAAACCCCATCTCCACTAAAAATACAAAAATTAGCTGGGCATGGTGGCAGATGCCTGTAATCCCAGCTACTTGGGAGGCTGAGGCAGGAGAATCAGGGTGAAAGCCAAACCTGTCAAAAAAAAAAAAAAAAAAAAAACACCGGCTGGGCTCAGTGGCTCATGCCTGTAATCCCAGCACATTAGGAGGTCAAGGCAGGTGGATCACCTGAGGTCGGGAGCTCGAGACCAGCCTGGCCAATATGATGAAACCCTGTCTCTACTAAAAATACAAAAATTAGCCAGGCACAGTGGCAGGAGCCTGTAATCCCAGCTACTCAGGAGGCTGAGGCAGGAGATTTGCTTGAACCTGGGCGGCAGAGGTTGCAGTGAGCAGAGATCATGCCATTGCACTCCAGCCTGGGCAATAGAGTGAGACTCCGTTTTTAAAAAAAAAAAGAAGAAGGTACCTTGTGTTTTCCCCATGTATTTAAGAAGGTACAGGTGTATTTTCCTCATGAATTAAGAGTTCAGGGGAGAAACATGTTGACGAGAGGAAACTGATGATGTCACAGGTTTAAGGATTTTATGGATGCGATGAAATGCCCATGCAGAAAACTGAAGAGAAAGCTAACTAGGTAAACAGATTTGATTTCCTCTCACAGCGCTCAGCTGCCCAGGTGTGAGCCCAGACTAAAGAAATGGACTTATTCAAGGCTGGGTTCCAACAAGTGGGTGAAAGGGAAGGATGGCAGGACAGAAGAGTTACAAGGAGGTGACTGAAATGATGACAATGGAAAACCTGTGCAACCCAGGGAAGATTTAAGGCAGGAGGAAGGTGATCGATAGGAGTGATTTATAGGAATGGCTTTCTAGGTTCCAATCAAGAAGTTCTATTTCTAGGGTTTGGAGTAAGGAAAGAGCATGCCAACAGGGGACTGTTCACAGTCAGAAACCTATACATTGATGAAAGTTGACATTGACCATCATGGAAGAAGGGTAAAGCAGGAGATGATTCCAAAACCAAAATGAGGGAAGAAAGCAAGGTAGCCATGGCTGAGATGAGATGTGGCTGGGTCAGAGTCTAATTAAAGAGTTAATTCAAGGATCTTGGTCTGTCCACTGTGCTGTCCCTCTGTTATGGGTTGAATTGTACCCCCGAAAAAGATATGCTGAAGTCCTAACCTGTAACCTTACTTGGAAATAGAATCTTTGCAGATGTAATCAAGTTATGATGAGGACATTTCGGTGGGCCCTAACCCAATATGACTGTGGTCTTTAAAAGAAGAGAAGAAGCCAGGCGTGGTGACTCACTCCTGTAATCCCAGCATTTTGGGAGGCCGAGGCAGGCGGATCACCTGAGGTCAGGAGTGCGAGACCAGCCTGGCCAACATGGTGAAACCCCATCTCTACTAAAAATACAAAAAAAAAAAAAAATTAGCCGGGCGTGGTGGCGGGTGCCTGTAATCCCATATACTCAGGAGGCTGAGGCAGGAGAGTTGCTTGAACCTAGGAGGCAGAGGTTGCAGTGAGCCGAAATCGTGCCATTGCACTCCAGCCTGGGCGACAGTGTGAGACTCCATCTCAAAAAAAAGAAGAGAAGGGACACGTAAAAACACACAGGGAGAATGACATGTGCCAATGAAGGCAGAGATTAGAGTGATGCATCTACCAGCTTAGGGATGCCAAGGATTGCTGGCAACACCGGAAGCTAAGAGAAAGCCATGGGACAGAGTCTTCCCTAAAGCCTTCAGAGGGAGCTTGGCCCTGCTGACATCTATATTTCACATTTCTAATGTCTAGAGCCAAACCCGAATAGATTTCTATTGTTTAATGCCACCCAGTTTGTGGTCCTTTTTAGGCAGCTCTAGAAAATGAATATACCCTCTATGCTGGTGCATGACTTGGTCTGGGTCACGGGTATTTTCTAATGTCATGGGACACCAACAGATGTCAGATAGGGGTCGAGAGATACTTGTGCACTCCTCCATTTCTAAGTAGAAATCGGACATTTGCATTCACATTAAGCGTTGTTTTCAACTATCATCCAGCAATGCAGTAATTCACTGCATTCTTATTACCAAGCAAAGATGTTCCTAGGTAAGGTCATCCAGCAGGAAAAGAACTAAAATTTAGTTCTTAATATTTAGAAGTGTTAGGATATTTTAGATTAGAATAAATCATAGTGCCAGAATATCTGGTGTTTACTATATTTTTACTTTCAAAAAGAAGTCGGTGCACTTTTTCTGGTGACAGGATGTGCCCATTCTGTGTACCAGAACCTTTTTTTTCCACAGCGATGTTGACATACAATGATTTAATGTTCCCATGTCTACTGATTGATTTGGCACAAACAATGAGTCCATGTGCCAATGAATCACACAGATCTACGTGACCCCTTTCACACACACACAGAACACAGAAAATGTATCATTGTTTTTTCTATGTACAAACACTGAGAACAATCTTTTAATCGATCACTTAATTGATACCCCACATTGTTCCCAACAAGCTCAAAGTCTGGGCACGTTTCCTAGCCAAAGACTTGATGAAAATTAGAGATGTTGCATGTCCTTGAAATTTTGTTAGGTTTTTACTTTACATAAATTATTTAAAACTTAAAAGTAATAAAGAGTCTATATAAATCAGGGAGGTAAGGTAAACACAATTGCCCTCAGGAGCTGGGTAGGTAATAAAAATAACTTGGCCAGATTATATTCTTGGGACATACTTTGTTTACACATTAAACATGTAGCTTCACTTCCACCAAGAAATGTGTTTTCTCCCACTTTTCTTGAAACACAAGGCCCTGTTAAGTCTTTCATTTTCTGATCTTTGTAGAGATGTGGCTATACAGTTGTTTCACCATTCTTTTAATTCTGAAAAGAGAAACAACAGAGCAAGCACCAGGGTGACAAGAACACAATAAGGAGTGGTAAGAGGTGTCGGCTCCATCCAGGGATTGGGAGGACATGCCTCTCTTGGCACCAGCTGATCCTCCCTAAGTAACAATGTGGGTTCGGAGTTTCTAGATAGCCCAGATTTTTAAAGGGATTTTAATACAAAATCTCCAGATTTTTAAATGTTGGAAATGATTTAATTATTATTACACACTAATGGCCAAAACAGCATGAGGATGAACAAACATGTCTGAGAGCACATTTAATCAATAGGCTGCTAGTTTACAACCTTCACTACACACTGCATTTTTTCAAATTGTGGTAAAAATACATAACATAAAATTGACCATTTGCTATGATCTGAATGTTGGCATCCCCCCAAAATTCATATATGGAAACCTACTCACCAATGTGATGATGTTAGGAAGTGGGGATTTGGGGAGGTGATTAGGTCATGAGGGCTCCACCATCAGGAATGGGATTCGTTTCTTTATACGAGAAACCTCAGACCATTGCCTTTCCCCTTCCCACCAAGTGAGGACACAGTGAAAAGTCACCATCGATCAACCTGGAAATAGTCCCTCATCATACACTGAATCTGCTGGCATCTTAATCTTGTCCTTCCCAGCCTCCAGAACTGTGAGAAATGAATTTCTGTTATTTCCAAGCCACCCAGTTTATGGTATTTTGTTCCAGCAGCCTGCACAGACTCAGACACCATTTTAACCACTTTTCAGTGTACATGTCAATGACATTAAGCACATTTGCAATGCTGTGCAACCATCACCACTATCCATTTCCAGAATTTTTCCATCATCCCAAGCAGAAACTCTGTACTCATTAATTGGTTGTATACTTTTGCAATCAACTTTACAAAGAAAAGGCAGCTTTGAAAGGAAAATGGTCCCGAAAGTTGTCTTTTTTTTTTTTTTTTTTTTTTTTAAACAGAGTCTCGTTCTGTCACCCAGGCTGTAGTGCAGAGGCGTGATCTCATCTCACTGCAACCTCTGCCTTCTGGGTTCAAGCGATTCTCCTGCCCCAGCCTCCCGAGTAGCTGGGACTACAGATGCACACCACCACACCCAGTTAATTTTTGTATTTTTAGTAGAGATGGGGTTTCACCATGTTGGCCAGGATGGACTTGATCTCTTGACCTCATGATCCAGCCGCCTCGGCCTCCCAAAGCGCTAGGACTACAGGCATAAGCCACCGGGCCTGGCCAAGTTATCATATTTTTTGTAAAAATAATAAAAAACATATTTACACCAGTATTAGACCAAGTGCCCACCTTCTTCTAAAAGACCTTCAGAAGCAAACCCTCCACCAGACATAGAAGTCTCTCCAGAAATCCTTTATCTTAACTCTCAGCTCCAACCAGCTTACTACTACATCCATCATTCCATGTGACGCAACCCTGTACCTCATGATGAGTTTGAAAATGCTTGCTCTGTACTCAGCAAACTTCCTGATATTCTCCATCTCTGCTCCCACGCTCCTTCCACAATTTTGCCTCAGTGAGACCCAAGCACTGTCTGAGAACTTCATTTCCCCTGCCTGCGTCTGAAGTGAAGACTGCTTTTTCTCATCTCAGCTTTGATAGTTGGGTCACTGTTTACCTGCTTTCAGACATTAAACCTGGTTCCTTTTGTCTCCTTTGAGACTCAAACCATTCAGCTGAATCACTCTCCTCCTCCTTATTACTGTCATCAGCTGTCACCTCTCTTCATTCATTTGAGATTTCAGCACCTGGTTGGCAATCTTCCAGTCCATCTTACCTCCTGTCATCATTTTAGGCAATGTTAATGTATCTTGAATGACGCATCCAAAACACTACACTGTTAGTTCATGGAACTCTCCACCTCAGCAGCCTATACAATCACAAAGTCAGACGTCCACTTCTGAAACAAAGCTATGTTGTTTTCAGTGAATTCACCCAAGCACACCACTCTTCCACCATCTTCCATCTCACTAAGACTTCCAGTGCACAACCCATTGCTCTCTCTCTGTCCATCAGCCCCACTTGCCTTTACGCGTCTGTTGATTTAGGTACTTAGAGTCCCTTGGTATAACTCCTTTGCAAACACTACACTAATTACCTTGCTTCTTTCCCCTCTGTCAAACACACTAAACTCCAACCCTAGATGAACCCAACCATCTGTCTTCTCTGTTCTCACACCAAGCTGGAGAAAACACATGCCTGAACTGATTGATATCATTGAAAAATCAACATCTCCAACCTAAACATTGCCTGGCAACCTAGTTGTGTATCTCTAGTTAACTCAGTCGATCACATTCCTAAATGATTATTTCCTACTTCTCATTCTACTCAAATCTTTCTCTCCATATCTCTTTAAGAGTCCATCACTAAGCTCTATGAATTCTACCTCCAAAATATATCCCCTAACCATTCACTTCCCTCCATTGCTTCCAAAACCACCATCATCTCTAGGCTGGGATATAGTCTTCAAAGGATTCTCCCTACCATCTTATTGCCCTCTCCAAGAGTTCTCCACATAGTGGCTAGAGCGATGTTTTTAAAATGTTCATCACAGTATGCCATTCACCTATTTAAAATTAATCCATGGATTCCCATTGTATTTAGAAAAAAAATCTATAATCCTTAATATAACCCAGTCCCCTGGATGGTCTGACTCCATTTTCATCTGTGCTACTTTTTTGCTTGCTTGCTATATTCTAGCCACAGTGGTTTCATCTGTGCTACTTTTTCTCTTGCTGCTGTATTCTAGCCACAGTGGTTTCAGGTGCCAAGCTTTCCTTTCTCTTCTGCCTTAGCACATTCTCGTCCTTCTGCCAAGTGTACCCTCCCTTTCTCCCCATATTTCCCACCAATCTTCACCTAGACAACTTCTATTCATTCTGTAGATCTCATATTTAGTGACCCAATCTTAGAGAAGTCTGTTCTGACCAACCCCATCTATAAATTTTGCCTCTTCTATTCCTTCTCAGGTGTCAATTTATTTTTCTTTTCTTTTCTTTTTTTCTTTTTCTTTTTTTTTTATTGAGATGGAGTCACACTCTGTAGCCCAGGCTGGAGTGCAGTGGCATGATCTTGGCTCACTGCAACCTCCACCTCCCAAGGTTCAAGTGATTCGCCTGCCTCAGCCTCCCGAGTAGCTGGGACTACAGGCGCATGCCACCATGCCTGGCTAATTTTTTGTATTTTTTGTAGAGATGGGGTTTCTCCGTGTTAGCCAGGGTGTTCTCGATCTCCTGACCTCGTGATCCACCTGCCTCGGCCTCCCAAAGTGCTGAGATTACAGGCGTGAGCCACCACGCCCAGCCTAATTTATTTTTCTTTATAACACATAGCTACTCATTTTCATGCATATTCATTCAATTTCTTTTTTTTAATTTTTAACTTTTGTGGGTACATAGTAAGTGTATATATTTATGGGGCAATAAGATATTTTGATACAGGCATACATGCATAATAATCACATCAGGGTGAATGGGGTATCCATCTCCTCAAGCATTTATCCTTTGTGTTACAAATAATCCAGTTATACTCTTTTAGTTATTTTTAGCTGTACAAAAAATTATTGTTGACTATAGTAACTCTGTTGTGCCATCAAATACTAGATCTTATTCATTCTATCTAAATCTATTTATGTACCCATTAACCATCCCCACTTCCAGCCCTGCCCACTGCCCTTCGTAGCCTCTGGTAATCATCATTCTACTCTCTATCTCCATGAGTCCACTTATTTTAATTTTTAGCTTTCACAAGTAAGTGACAACTTATGAAATTTGTCTTTCTGTGCCTGGCTTATTTCACTTAACATAATGTCCTCCAGTTCCATCCATATTGGTTGCAAATGACAGGCCCTCATTCTTTTTATGGCTGAATAGTACGCCATTGTATATATATGTACCACATCTTTTTTTTTTTTTTTTTTGAGATGGAGTCTCACTCTGTCACCAGGTTGGAGTGCAGTGGCGCCATCTCAGCTCACTGCCACCTCCACCTCCCAGGTTCAAGTGATTCTCCTGCCTCAGCTTCCCCAGTAGCTGGGATTGTGGGCATGCACCACCACGCCCAGCTAATTTTTGCATTTTTAGTAGAGAAGGGATTTCACCATGTTGGCCAGGATGGTCTTGATCTCTTGACCTCATGATCCGCCCGCCTCGGCCTCCCAAAGTGCTGGGATTACAGGTGTGAGCCACCACGCCCAGCCTGGTTTTTTTGTTTGTTTTTTAAGATGGAGTTTCACACTTGTTGCCCAGGCTGGGGTGCAATGGTGTGATGTTGTCTCACTGCAACCTCCACCCCCAGGTTCAAGCGATTCTCCTGCCTCAGCCTCCTGAGTAGCTGGGATTACAGGCACATGCCACCATGCCCAGCTAATTTTTGTATTTTTAGTAGAGACGGGGTTTCACCATGTTGGTCAGGCTCATCTCGAACTCTCGACCTCAGGTGATCTGCCCACTTCGGCCTCCCAAAGTGCTGAGATTACAGGCATGAGCCACCACACCCGGCTGGTACCACATCTTCTTTATTCATTCATCTATTGATGGACACTTAGGCTGCTTTCCAATCATGGCTATTGTGAATAGTGCTGCAATAAACATGGGAATGCAGATATGTCTTTGATATACTGACTTCCTTTCTTGTGAGTATATATCTAGCAGTGGGATTGCTGGATTGTATGATAAATTTATTTTTAGTTTTTGAAGAGCCTCCAAACTGTTCTCCATAGTGAGTATACTAATTTACATTCCCACCAACAGTGTAAAAGGGTTCCCTTTTCTCCACGTCCTCACTGGCATTTGTTATTGCCTGTCTTTTGGATAAAAGCTATGTTTTTGTTTTTGTTTTTTTTATTTGAGACAGAGTCTTGCTCTGTCGCTCAGGCTGGAGAGCAGTGGCGCAATCTCGGCTCACTACAAGCTCCACCTCCCGGGTTCACGCCATGCTCCTGCCTCAGCCTCCCGAGTAGCTGGGACTACAGGCGCCTGCCACCACGCCCAGCTAATTTTTTGTATTTTTAGTAGAGACGGGGTTTCAGTGTGTTAGCCAGGATGGTCTCGATCTCCTGACCTCGTGATCTGCCTGCCTTGGCCTCCCAAAGTGCTGGGATTACAGGCGTGAGCCACTGTGCCCGGCCATAAAAGCCATTTTAACTGAAGTGAGATGATATCTCATTGCAGTTTTGATTTACATTTCTCTAATGATCAGTGATGTTGAGCACCTTTTCATATACCCGTGTGCCATTTGTATTTCTTCTTTTGAGAAATGTCTATTCAAATCTTTTGCCTATTTTTTGATTGGATTATTAGATTTTTTTCCTATTGAGTTGTTTGAGCTGCTTATATAGTCTCGTTATTAATCCCTTGTCAGATGGGTAGTTTGTAAATACTTACTCTCATTCTGTAGGTTGTCTCTTCATTTTGTCAATTGTTTCCTTTGCTATACAGAAGCTTTTTAACTTGATGTGACCCTATTTGTTCATTTTTGTTTTGGTTGCCTATATTTGTGGGGTAGTACTCAAGAAATCTTTGCCTAGAGCAATGTCCTGGAAAACTTCCCAAATGTTTTATTTTAGTAGTTCATAGTTTGAGGTCTTAGATTTAAGTCTTTAATCTATTTTTATTTGATTTTTCTTCATAGTGAAAGAGAGAGTCTAGTTTCATTCTTCTGCATATGGATACCCAGTTTTCCCAGCACCACTTATTGAAGAGACTGTCCTTTCCCTAATGTATATTCTTGGTATCTTTGTCGAAAATGAGTTCACTGTAGATGCATGGATTTATTTCTGGGTTCTTTATTCTATTGATCTATGTGTCTGTTTTTATGCCAGTACTATGCTGTTTTGGTTACTATAGCTCTGTAGTATAATTTGAAGTTAGGTAATATGACTCCTCCAGTTTTGTCCTTTTTACTTGGAATGGCCTTAGCTATTCTAAGTTTTTTGTGGTTCCATATAAATTTAAGGGTTATTTTTTCTCTTTCTGTTAAGAATGTTATTGGTACTTTTATGAGGATTGCATTGAAGCTGTAGATTGTTTTGCGTAGTATGGACATTTTAACAATATTGATTCTTCCAATTCATGAACATGGAATATCTTTTCCATTTTTTTGTGTCTTCTTCAATTTATTTCATCAAGTTTTATAGTTTTTATTGTGGAGATCTTTCACTTCTTTCATTAAGTTAATTCCTAGTTATTTAATTTTATTTGTAACTATTGCAAATGGGATTACTTTCTTGATTTCATTTTCAAATTGTTTGCTGTTGGCATATATAAATGTATTAAAATTTTTACTTTGATTTTGTATCCTGCAGCTTTACTGAATGTATCAGTTCTAATAGTTTTTTGGTGGAGTCTTTAGGCTTTTTGAAATATAAGATTATATCATCTGCAAACAAGGATAATTTGACTTCTTCCTTCCCAATTAAGATGCCCTTTATTTCTTTCTCTTCTTTGATTGCTTTGGCTAAGGACTGTGTTGAATGACAGTGGTGAAAGTGGGCATCCTTGTGTTCCAGATATTAGAGAAAAGGCTTTCAGGCCAGGCGCAGTGGCTCACACCTGTAATCCCAGCACTTTGGAAGGCCGAGCTGGGTGGATCACGAGGTCAGGAGTTCGAGACCAGCCTGGCCAATATGGTGAAACCCCATCTCTACTAAAAAATACAAAAATTAGCCAAGCGTGGTGGCAGACACCTGTAGTCCCAGCTACTTGGGAGGCTGAGGCAGGAGAATCGCTTGAACCTGGGAGGTGGAGGTTGCAGTGAGCCGAGATCATGCCACTGCACTCCAGCCTGGGTGACAGAATAAGATTCCATCTCGAAAAAAAAAAAAAGAAAAGGCTTTCAGTTTTTCCCATTCAGTATGATACTAGCTGTGGGTCTGTCATATATGGCTTTCATTATGTTGAGATATGTTCTTTCTTTACCCAGATTTTTGAGAGTTTTCTTTTATCATGAAAAGATGTTAAATTTTATCAAATGCTTTTTCAGCATCAATTGAAATGATCATATGTTTTTTGTCCTTCATTCTGTTGATATAATGTATCACATTGATTTATTTGCATATGTTGAAACATTCTTGCATTCCTGGAATAAATCCCATTTGGTCATGATGAATGATCGTTTTAACATGTTGTTGAATTCGGTTTGCTAGTATTTTATTGAGGATTTTTGCATCAGTATTCACCAGGGATCCTGGCCTCTAGTTTTCTTTTATTTGATGTGTCTGTCTGGTTTTGGTATAAGGGTAATACTGGCTTCATAGAATGAGTTTGGAAGTACTTCCTCTATTCTTTGGAATAGTTTGGGTAGAATTGCATTAGTTCTTCTTTAAATGTTTGGTAAAATTCACCAGTGAAGCCATCAGGTCCCAGGCTTTTCTTTGCTGGGAGGTTTTTTTTTTTTTTTTTTTGAGACAGAGTCTCACTCTGTCACCCAGGCTGGCATGCAGTGGCATGATCTCGGCTCACTGCAACCTCTGCCTCCAGGGTTCAAGCAATTCTCCTGCCTCAGTTTCCTGAGTAGCTGGAATTACAGCTAATTTTTTGTATTTTTGTTAGAGACAGAGTTTCACCATGTTGGCCAGTGTGGTCTCCAACTCCTGACCTCAAGTAATCTGCCTGCTTCGTCCTCCCAAAGTGCTGGGATTACAGGTGTGAGCCACCATGCCTGGGAGACTTTTTATTACAGCTTCAAACTCATTAGTTGTTACTTGTCTGTTTAGGTTTTGGATTTCTTCATGGTTCAATCTTGGTAGGTTGTAGGTGGTTAGAAATTTATCCATTTCTCCTAGGTTTTCCAATTTATTGGCATATAGTTGTTATAGTAGCCTCTAATGAGCCTTTGAATTTCTGCAGTATTAGTTGTAATGTCTTCTCAGCTCTGATTTTAGTTATTTTAATTATTTAATTATCCGATTTAATTATTTAATTATTTTTTCCTTAGTCTGGCTAAATGTCAATTTTATTTATCTTTTCAAATAATTTATAGTTTTATTGATCTTTTGTATTGTTTGTTCTGTTTCAGTTTCATATATTTCTGCTCTAATTGTTATTATTTCTTTTTTTCTACTAATTTTGGGTTTGGTTTTCTCTTGCTTTTCTAGTTCTTTAAGATGTATTGTTAGGTTGTTTATCTGAAGTTTTTGATGTAGGCCCTTATTGCTATAAACTTTCCTCTTAGTACTGCTTTTGCTTTATCCCAAAGATTTTGATATGCTATATTTTCATTATCATTTGTTTCAAAAGTTTTTTAAATTTCCTTTTTAATTTCTTCATTGACCCATTGGTCATTCAGGAGCATATTGTTTAATTTCCATGTGTATGTATAGTTTCCAAAATTCCTCTTGTTATTGATTTCTAGTTTTGTTCCATTGTGATCAGAGAAGAACCTTGATATAATTTCATTGTTTTGAATTTTTAAAGATTTGTTTTGTGGTTTAACATATGGTCTATCCTTGAGACTGATCTATGTGCTGAGAAGAATGTGTATTCTATAGCCTTTGAATGGAATGTTTTGTAAATCTCTGTTAAGTCCATTTGATCTGTAGTGCGGATTAAGTCCATTGTTACATTCTGTGTTAATTTTTTGTCTGGATGATCTTTCCAATGCTGAAAGTATGGTATTGAAGTCTTCAGCTATTATTGCATTGGAGTTTCTCTCTCCTTTAGCTCTTATAATATTTGGTTTGTATATTTGGGCGCTCCAGTGTTGAGTGTATATAGATTTATAATTGTTAAGAGTCTCTTGTTGAATTGACCCCTTTATCATTATATAATTCTTTGTGTCTTTTATATAATTTTTGTCTTGAAATCTATTGTGTCTGATATAATTGTAGCTTTCTCTGCTCTTTTTTTGGTTTCCATTGGCATAGAATATATTTTTCCATCTCTTTATTTTCAGTCTATGTGTCTTTATAGGTGAAGATTGTTCCTTGTTGGCAACAGATTGTTGGGTCATGGCTTTTGTCCATTTAGCCACTCTATGTCTTTTGATTGGAGAGTTAAGTCTATTTACATTCATTGTTATTATTGATAAGTATAGACTTACTCCTGCCACTTTGTTATTTGTTTTCTGATTGTTTTGTTGTCTTCTCCTCCCTCCCTCCGTCCCTCCCTTCCTTCCTTCCATCCTTCCTTCCTTCCTTCCTGTCTTCCTTTTACTGAAGGTGATTTTCTCCTATGACATGTTTTAATTTCTTGCTTTTTATTTTTTGTGTGTCTGTTATACATTTTTTGATTTGAGGTTACCATAATGCTTGCAAATAATATCTTATAATGCATTATTTTAAACTAATGACAACTTAATACTGATTGCATAAACAAGCAAAGAAAAAATTAATTTAAAACTCTATACCTTACCTTCATCCCCCTGCTTTAACTTCTTGTTTCTATTTATAACTTATTATAATATCTGTGTCATGAAAAGCTGTAGTTATTATTTTTGATAGGTTCATCTTTTAGTCTTTCTACTCAACCTATGAGTAGTTTACACACCACAATGATAGTGTTATAATATTCTGTGTTTTTCTGTGTACTTATTTCAGGTGATTTCTTTTTTTTCTTTTTTTTCTTTTTTTTTTTTTTGTGACAGAATCTCGCTCTGTCGCCTAGGCTGGAGCACAGTGGCACAATCTTGGCTCACTGCAACCTCCACCTCCCAGGTTCAAGCGATTCTCCTGCCTCAGCCTCTCCAGTAGCTAGGACTACAGGCACCCGCCACCATGCCCAGCTAATTTGTGTAGTTTTAGTAGAGACAGGGTTTCACTATGTTGGCCAGGCTGGTCTCAAACTCCCGACCTCATGATCTGCCTGCCTCGGCCTCCCAAAGTGCTGGGATTACAGTCGTGAGCCACCACGCCTGGCCTCAAGTGATTTCTTGTAGTTCATTAACATCCTTTTCTTTCAAACTGAAGAACTCCCTTTAGCATTTCTTGTAGGAAAGATTTGGTATTGATGAAATCCCTCAGATTTTGCTTTTCTGGGAAAGTCCTTATTTCTCCTTCATGTTTAAAGGATGTTTTCATTGTTAAGGTTAAAAGTTTTCTTTTTTCCTTCAGCACTTTAAATATGTCATGCCACTGTCTCTTGGCCTATTAGATTTCCACTGAAAAGTCTGCTGCCAGATGTATTGGAGCTCCTTCGTATGTTATCTTTCTTTTCTCTTGCTGCTTCTCTATCCCTGACCTTTGAGAGTTTGATTATTAAATGTCTCAAGGTAGCCTTATTTAGGTTAAATCTCCTTGGTGTTCTGTAACCTTCTTGTACTTGAATATTGATATTTTTCTCTAAGCTTGGGAAGTTCTCTGTTATCCCTTTGAGTAAACTTTCCCTACTCTGATTTCTCTCTCTACCTCCTCTTTAAGGCCAATAACTCTTAGATTTGCCCTTCTGAGGTTACTTTTTGGATCTTGTAGGTATGCTTCATCCTTTTTTATTTTTTCTTTTGTGTCCTCTGAGTGTGTATTTTCAAATAGCCTGTCTTCAAGCTCACTAATTCTTTCTTCTGCTTCATCAATTCTGCTGCTAAGAGACTCTGATGCATTCTTCAGTATGTTAATTGCATTTTTCAGCTGTAAATTCTTAATGTACAGCTTCTTAATTATTCCAATCTCTTTGTGAAACTTATCTGATAGGATTCTGAATTCCTTCTCTGTATTATGTTGAATTTCATTGAGCTTTCTCAAAACAGCTATTTTGAATTATCTGTCTTAAAGGTCACATATCTCTTGTCTCTCTGAAATTGGTCACTGGTGCCTTATTTAGTTCTTTTTCTGAGGTCATGTTTTCCTGGATGGTCTTGTTGCTTGTGAATGTTCATAGGTGTTTGGGCATTGAAGAGTTAGGTATTTATTGTAGTCTTTGCACCCTGGGCTTGTTTGTAGCTGTCCTTCTTGAGTAGGCTTTCCAAGTATTCAAAGAGACTTGGGTGTTGTGATCTAAGTCTTTGGTCACTGCAGCCATCTGAATTACAGGGTACCCCAAGCTCAGTGACATTGCAGCTCTTGCAGACTCATAAAGATATCACTTTGGTAATGTTGGGTGAGATCCGGGAGAATTCCCTGAATTACCAGGCAGAGACTATTGTTCTCTGCCTTTACTTTCCTTCAGCCAAATGGAGTCTCTCTCTCTCTCTGTCTCTGTCTCTCTCTCTCTCTCTGTGTGTGTTTGTGTGTGTGTGTGTGTGTGTGTGTGTGTGTGTGTGTGTGTGTGTGTGCTGAGCTGCCTGGAGCTGTGGGAGGGGTGGGCACAAACATCCCTATGGCCACCACCACTGGAACTGTGCTGGGTCGAACCTGAAGCCAGCACAGCACTAGTTCTCACCCAAGGCCTGCAGTGACCACTGCCTAGCTACCATTTATGTTCACTCAAGGCCCAAGGGCTGTACAGTCAGCAGGTGGTGAATCTAGCCAGGCCTGTGTCCTTCCCTTCCGGGCAGCAAGTTCCCTTGGCCCTGGACAGGTCCAGAGACGCCATCCAGGATCCAGGTCCCGAAGTTGGGAAACTTGGGAATCTACCTGGGGCTCTATTTTACTGCAGCTGGCATCCAAGCCACAGAGAGTCCTTCCCAGTCTTCCCTCCCCTTTCCTCAAGCAAAGGAGTCTCTGTATGGCCACCACCACACCCAGGCCCACTGTGAGGTATTATCCACTGCTAATATTCACTCAAGGCCCAAGTGCTCTTCAGTCAGCTTGTGGTGAATGCTGCCAAGCATAGGTCTCCCCCTTCAGAGCAGTGGGCACCCCTCTGGCCCAGGGCAGGTCCAGAAATGCCATTCAGGAGGCAAGGCCTCAAATCAAGGACCCCAGAAGCCTGCTTGGTGTTTTACTCTACTATGGTTGAGCTGGTACCCAAGCTGCAAGACCAAGTCCCCTTTACTATTCCCTCTCCTTTCCTCAAGCAGGAGTCTCTTTCCATAGCCACCATAGCTGAGAATGTGCTGGGTCATAACTGAAGCCAGCATAGCTCTGAGTCTCACCCAAGGCCTGTGACAAGTACTGCTTGGTAACCACTGCTGATTATTCAGGGCCCAAGGCTCTTTAGGCAGCAGGAGATGAATTCTGCCAGGACTGAATGCTTTCCTACAAGACAGCGGGTTCCTTTCTGGCCCAGGGTGTCTCTTGAAATGTCATCTGGGAGCTAGGTCCTGGAATGAGGACCTTGGGATTTTGCCTGAAGCCCTGTTCTACTGTGGCTGAGCTGGTATCCAAGTTGCAGAACAAAGTGCACTTTATTGTCCCCTCTCCTCTCCTCAAGCAGAAGAAAGGGGTCTCTCCAGGCGCTGCAAGCTATGCTGCCTAGGGTTGGGAGAGTAGTGACACAAGCACTCCCTTGACCACCCCAGCTGGTGTCTCACTAAGTTGCATGCCCCCCAAGTCCACTGGCTCAGAGCCCAGCACAGCACCAGCACTTGCCTGGGAATGGCATCCTTGTGGTCTAGACTCCCTTTCAAGTTTATTTAGGATCCGAATCCTTTAGCCCACAGTGGCAGGGCTTGCCAGAATTCAGGTTATAACCGCTGGGACTGACGATTCACTTCTGGCCAGGGCTCCTCTAGATGCTGCCTCTGTGGACACTGGCTGAGTTTTGCCCATGTTCCTTTCCACTGTGACAGGACAGCACTGAGTTCCAATGCAGAGTGCCATAAAATCATTGCCCTCTCCCGCCCTCAAGTGCACTGATTATCTGTGCCATGTGGCCACTGCTGGGGGATGGGGGAGTGGTGGTCTTGGCAATTCAGGACTGTCTTTTTTTTTTTTGGGAGGCCGAGGCGGGCAGATCACTTGAGGTCAGAAGTTCGAGATCAGCCTGGCCAACACGGTGAGACCCCGTCTCTACTAACAATACAAAAATTATCCGAGCGTGGTGGTGCATGCCTGTAGTCCCAGCTACTCGGGAGGTTGAGGTGAGAGAATCACTTGAACCTGGGAGGTGGAGGTTGCAGTGAGCCAAGATCCTGCCACTGCACTCCAGTCTGGGCAACAGAGTAAGACTCCGTCTCAAAAAAAAAAACACCAAAGCCACAGCCTACTTTAAGTCTTCCTAAAACAATCACACTGTATTTGGGCTAGAAGAGACCTTACTTCAATTACCTCATATTGCAAAATAAAAGAATCCTATTTTATGACTTATTTTAAAGAAAGGGTGATAGCCTTGCTGATGATTAAAAGCAGGAGGTCAGCAAGCTATTCCTTGCAAGCTAAATGTGGTCTGCCGTCTATTTTTGAAAATAAAATTTACTGGAACACAGCCATGCTCATTCATTTATGTATTGTCTATAGCTGCTTGTACATTTTGACAGCAAAGCTGAGTTGTGATAGAGAATATGGCCTGCAAGCTTAAAATATTTACTATTTAGCCCTTTACAGAAATCATTTGCTGACTCCTACTTTAAAGTATTGGATAGTAAATTTCCTTTAAATATCCTTGTGTTTTCTGATTTGTTTTTATCTTTTTACTGAGGCATGCATAAAGGCATAAACACCACTGATCTTTAGTGTACTGTTTGATAAATTATTATGTATAAAAACCCCCTTGCATGCATTACTCAGGTAAATATAGTCTATTTCAAGTATTCTAGAAGGTTGTCTTGTGCCCATCCTAGTCAACCCTTCATCGATAGGTAACCACCACTCTAACTGCTATGACTAACAATTAAATTTGTCTGTTCTTGAACTTCATATAAATGGAATAATACAACACATGCTCTTTTTTTGTGCTAGCTTCTTTTACCCAATATAATGTCTGTTATTTTATTTCTGTGTAGCATTCCACTGTATGAAAATACCACAAGATATTTATCCATTCTTCCTTTAATGGATATTTGGATTATTTCTGTGTTTGGGACATGAACATTTTTTGTTTGTTTTTTGTTGAAACAGGGTCTCACTCTGTCACCAAGGCTGGAGGGCAGTGGCGCAATCATGGTTCACTGCAGCCTCAGCTGCGTGGGCTGAAGTGATTGTCCCACCTCAGCCTCCAGCATACCTGGACCACAGGTGCCCAACACCATGCCGGGCAAATTTTTTTTCTTTTTTCCTTTGAGACGTAGTCTCACTCTGTCGCCCAGGCTGGAGTGCAGTAGCACGATCTTGGCTCACTGCAACCTCCGCCCCTCCAAGTTCCAGCGATTCTCCTGCCTCAGGCTCCCAAGAATCTGGGATTACAGGTGCTCGCTACCACGCCCGGCTAATTTTTGTATTTTTAGTAGAGACGAGGTTTCACCATGTTGGCCAGGCTGGTCTCGAACTCCTGACCTCAGGTGATCCACCCACATCAGCATCCCAAAGTGCTGGGATTACAGGCATGAGCCACCGCACCTGGCCAGGCTAATTTTGTAATTATGTGTAGAGATGAGGTCTCACTATATTGCTGAGGCTGGTCTCAAACACCTGGGTTCAAGTGATTCTTCCACCTTAACCTCCCAAAGTGCTGGGATTACAGGCATAAGCCACTGTGCCTGGCCAACATTCTTGTATGTGCCTTTTGGTGGATATATACACTTATTTCTTTTCAGTATATAACTAGGGGTAAGGTTGCTGGACATATTAGCTTAGTAAGTAGCCACAGCTTTCCATAGCAGTTGTATAAATGTACATGACCACCAAATGTGTGAGAATTTCAAATATTCCACATCTGTGCCAACACTTGCTTTTGTTACTCTTTTAATTTTAGCCATTCTTGTGGGTCTACAAGTGGTATCTCGATGTGGTTTTATTTTGTATTTCCCTAATACATACATTTTCATATGGTTAATGGCAATTTGCATAGCCTATTTTTTGAGGTGCCTGTTCAAGTCTTTGCCTCATTTTTTTAATAGGAAAAAATAAATACTTCATCAGATATATGTATTATGAATATCTTCTTCCAGTATTTGGTTTATTTAATGCTTAGTATTCTTTTTTTTTTTTTTTTTTTTTTTTTTTGAGACAGAGTACTTACTCTGTTGCCCAGGCTGGAGTGCAGTGGCACAATCTTTGCTCACTGCAACATCTGCCTCCCGGGTTCAAGCAATTCTTGTGTCTCAGCCTCCCAAGTAGCTGGGATTACAGGCATGCACCACCACACCTGACTAATTTTTCTATTTTTTTAGTAGAGATGTGGTTTTGCCATGTTGGCCAGGCTGGTCTTAAACTTCTGGCCTCTAGTGATCCACCCACTTTGGCCTCGGATTACAGGTTTGAGCCACTGCACCTGGCCAATGCTTAGTATTTTTGTGTGCCCTATGTAAGAAATCTTTGCCTACTTCAAGGTCATAAAGATATCCTCCTATGTTTTCTCTGCACATTTAGGTTTGTAACGTATGACACATTGTTTTCTACATATGGCTTGAAATAGAGGTCAAGGTTCATTTTGTTTCTCCATGTGAACATGAACATACAATTGCCCCTGCACCATTTACTAGTGGAAAAAATAAACCCACTATCCTTTGCCACAAAATTGCAGTGGTGTCTTAGTTATAAATCAAGTAACTCTCTAAGTGTGAGTCTATTTCTGACTCTCTTTTCTGTTCACTTGGTATAATTTGTCTAATCTTATATCAATACCACTCTGTGTTAATTACTATAGCTCTTGAACTCCGGCAGTGTAATAAATTCTCCATCATTGTTTTTCTTCTTCAGGATTCTTTTGACTATTTTAGGTCCTCTGCATTTCTACTTAATTTTATCATCAGCTTGGTTATTTCTACAAAGCAAAACAAAAAACCTAGAATTTTGTTTGGGATTGCATTGAATCTATACATGAGTCTCAGAGGCATAAACGTGTTTACAAAATGGAGTTTCCCAACCTAAAAACACAGTATACCTCTTAATTCAGGTTTTTTGTTTTGTTTTGTTTTGTTTTTAGACGGAGTCTCTCTCTCTGTCACTCAGGCTGGAGTGCAGTGGTGTGATCTCGGCTCACTGCAACCTCCGCCTCCCAGATTCAAGCAATCCTCCTGCCTCAGTTTCCTGAGTAGCTGAGATTACAGGTGCCCACCACCACACCCGGCTAATTTTTGGATTTTTAGTAGAGAAGGGGTTTTGCCATGTTTGCCAGACTGGTCTAAAACTCCTGATCTCAGGTGATCCACCCACCTCGGCCTCCCAAAGTGCTGGGAATACAGGTGTGAGCCACCATTCCCCGCCTAATTAAGGTTTCTTTTGTTTTTGTTTGTTTGTTTGTTTGTTTGTTTGAGATGGAGTCTGTCTCTGTCGCCCAGGCTGGAGTGCAATGGCGCGATCTCCACTCACTGCAACCTCCACCACCCAGGTTCAAGTGATTCTCCTGCCTCAGCCTCCCGAGTAGCTGGCATTACAGGCACCCGCCACCAACCACGCTCAGCTAATTTTTGTATTTTTAGTAGAGACAGGGTTTCACCTGGTTGGCCAGGCTGGTCTTGAACTCCTGACCTCAGGTGATCCACCTCCCCACCCTCAGCCTTCCAAAGTGCTGGGATTATAAGTGTGAACACGGTGCCTGGCTAATTTAGGTATTTTTAATGTCTCAGAAAAGTTCTGTAGTTTTCAGGACACAGGCCTTTTATTTCTTTTATTAGATATATTTATATGTATTTTATGATTTTGGGTGCTATTGTAAATTTTTTTTGTACAGTTTGGTTTGTTGTTAGTACTTGGACATTCAATTGATTTTGCATCCTTAATATGTTGAACTCACTTATTAATGTTAATAGTTTATAGATTTTTTGGATTTTCTATATACAAAAGCATGTCATTTAATAAAAGCAATGTTATTTCTTTTTTCTAATCTTTATATATTTTATTCCTTTCTTCACCCCTATTATATTGGGTAGGGCCTCTGGTACCATAACTGAATAAAACTGGTAAGAGTGGACAGTGTTGCATTATTTCCCACTTCAACCAAAAAGTATTCAAAATCCCACTATATATATAATTTTAGGATTATGAGATTGAGAAAGTTCCCTTCTGCCCCTAGTTTGCTAAAAGTTTTTATCCTAAGTGGATGTGAATTTTATCAAATGCTTTCTATGAAGCTATCAAAATGATAATAAGATTTTTCTCCCGTATTCTGTTAATGTGGTGTTATACTAATTATTTTTAAGTGTAAACTAATCTTGCATTCATGGAGTAAACCCTACTTAGTCATGTATTATATATATCTTTATAAAAATACTGTTGTTGTTTATTTTATTTATTTATTTATTTATTTTTGAGACAGAGTCTTGCTCTGTTGCCCAGGCTGGAGTGCAGTGGCGCGATGTCAGCTCACTGCAAGCTCTGCCTCCCGGGTTCATGCCATTCTCCTGCCTCAGCCTTCTGAGTAGCTGGGATTACAGGTGCCCGCCACCATGCCCAGCTAATTTTTTTGTATTTTTAGTAGAGATGGGGTTTCACCGTGTTAGCCAGGCTGGTCTCGATCTCCTGACCTCGTGATCCACCCACCTCGGCCTCCCAAAGTGTTGGGATTACAGGCGTGA